>NC_000014.9:64157167-64460197 GCF_000001405.40 Homo sapiens
ACACAGCCATCACCACTATCTCATTACAGAACATTTTCATTACCTCAAAAAGAAACCTCCATACCCATTGGCAGTCACTCCCCACTTTTCCCCTTCTCCAGTCCCTGGCAGCCACTAGTCTACCTTCTTATGGATTTACCTATTCTGGACGTTTTATATAAATAGAATCATATGCTATATAGCCTTTTGGGTCTGGCTTCCTTCACTAAGCATAATGTTTTCAAGATCATCGGTGTTGTAGTATTTACAGTACTTCATTTATTTTTATGGCTAATATTCCATTGTATGGATATACCATATTTAGTTTACCTCTCCATCAGTTGATGAACATGTGGGTTGTTTCCATTTTTAGGCTCTCATGAATCGTGCTGCTATGAACATTTGTGTCAGGTTTTTATGTGAACATACGCTTTTAATTCTCTTGTGTGTATAAGAGTACAATTGTTAGGTCATATGGCAACTCTATTTAATTTTTTGAGGAACTATCTAGCTGTTTTCCACAGTGACTGTACCATTTTACATTCCCACCAGCAATGTATGAGGATTCCAGTTTTTCCACATCGTCACCAACACATTATTATCTGACTTTTTGATTATGGCCATCAAAGTGGATGTGAAATAATATCTCATTGTGGTTTTGATTTAGGTTTCCTTAATGACTGTATATGTTCAGTGTCTTTTCATATGTTTATTGACCATTATATATGTTCTTTGGGGAAATGTTTAGTCACTTCCTTTGCCCAGTTTTTAGTTAGTTTATCTGTCTTTAATATTGATTTGTAAGTTTTCTTTACATACTCTTGATTGTATCTGAGATCATTTTGGATATGCAACAGAATGCTTGGACTTTTTTCATCATTATCAGAACATACCAGTGGACAAAATACATTCACCATTGCTTGCCTCCTGCTTTGCACTTGCCCATCATTTTGGTAGAGCATGTTCCTCTCCAATTGGTGCTTGCTCTGTAGTAATAATCAGACTTAAGTGCCAGGTAACATCTTACATTTATAATGTTGTGCTGTTGTCAGAGCATTTTCACAGACACTATTTTATTTGTGTTTTCAATTATTATCTCTGTTTTGTGGATGAGGAAACTGACTCTAGGGTCCAATAAGTTGCCCAAGGTCAGAAAGCTAATAGAATATAACTGAACCTTGCACTCACAAATTCTAATACTCACCCAGTGTTCTTTCCCTGGGCTGTCTCTTCCTAGTCTGAACTCCTTCAGTGCTGATCCTTCTGATCTTTGGGCTCTTTTTCATTCACTCATTATAAAACAGCCTTCTCTGATATGTTCTTATGCATTGACCTACCCTTTCCACCTTCAGTTAATCACTGGTGATCCTTCAATACTCTCAAATTGAAATGCCTAAATTGGACACAATGGTAGATCTGTTGGAGAGCATGTCTTCTCAGTGATTTTCTAAATCAGTACGTTTCCACTTTTTGTCTAGGTCAATCAGCTCAAAACCTCCATGCAGTCAGTTTTACAGGAGTGGAAGATTTATGATCAACTCTATGATGAAGTGAATATGATGACAATCCGATTCTGGTACTGCATGGAACACAGCAAGCCTGTGGTGTTATCATTGGAGACCTTGAGATGCCAGGTGGAGAACCTTCAGGTAAATTAACCAGAGCTTGGCATGGTGCATTATTGGCAGGAAATTACAAATGGGAGGAAGCACAGTAACGGGCATAACTGTGTTTGTGCCCTCCCACAGAGAAGCACAAAGCATGTTAAATAGCAGTTTCAAAAGAATAACTGGAAATTCCAAAATAAGTCACATGAGCCAAATCAGTAAAACATTGTAAAATGTTTGAATTTTGAGTTGAAAATGTTGAATCTTCCTTTATTTTCCATGTCCATATTATTTCACAATTTAAGGTTTTGGTTTTTGAGTGGCCTTTTTTTTTTCAGTATGCCTAAGTGCTAAGTACTTTATATTACTTAGTACTTAAAAGTTCAGCCTCAAATAAAGAATGCCTTCTCCATTGTTTTCTTCACATTCCTAATAGTTTATCAGAGCTGTAAGATTTGAGTGTTATTGCTACATAGTAGCAAGTGTTGAGAAGCTGCCACCTTCTTTGGAAGTAGCCAGGCCATTCTGAAACTTAAATTTCTTGTTTGTGTCTCTTAGTCTCTGCAAGATGAAGCTGAGAGCAGTGAAGGGAGTTGGGAGAAACTCCAGGAGGTTATCGGCAAACTCAAAGGTCTCTGCCCCTCTGTTGCTGAAATAATCGAAGAGAAATGCCAAAATACTCATAAAAGGTATGCTTTCAGATATAATTTGAATGATAGATATCTTTATCTTAATGACTTGTGAAGAATGAGGGGGCATAGGCATTGTAAAGTCTTCTTCCTCCTCTGAGATGACTGGTTTCCTACTGTTCTGGTCTCTTCTGCTTTGATGAATCTAGTCTATGTAAGATTCTATGTCATGAGGGCTGTGACATCCCTTGTACAAGTGTTTGGTATAATTAGTCTAGAAATGGCCTAATAACAACCCCAGTGTACTCACTTACAGACAGTATAGACCAAATGTCAAGTTCGATCTCGGAAACACCAAAGTCAGAGGCAGAAACAGACAAAGGAGTGGGCCAGATGGGCATCCTGCAGGGGGTGTTCAAACATCACTGGAAACATTATAAGGTGGAAGAAAGGGGATGTTAGAGTATCTGTTGCGGAGGGCATTTGTGGGTTTGGAAGGAATTCTTTGATGAACTACTTATGGTGGGATATGAAAGCTCCCTTTAAGGAGTGTGGCCCTAGTTAATTGCAGGGCTTTTATTTTGATGAGTGGGATATAAAAGTTGGCCTCCAACCAATTGATTAGAGATAGGGATGAAGAGTTATGCTATCTTAAGTGTCCTTCCTGATTATTCCTGTATGCAGTTTCAGCCTCTCTTGTAAATCAACTTCGAACAAGTAATGAACAAGGGACCCCAAATTATATACCCTGCAGTGGTGCCCTTAGCTCTTGATCCAGTCTTTATTGGAAGACGGGGAGGAGACAGACTAAGAGGAACCTGCAAATGCATCTGACTCCACATACAATATCAGGGCTACCGTCAAAACGTATGGCAGGGCAGTCTGTTGGTAAAGGAACTCAGTTGTTACGCTGCACGTACACATTCACTTGTTGGCACAAGAATATGTTGGAAGGCATGTTGAAAAACATGCATAACAAAAAGACTGAAGAGAAGAACACTAAAATGCTAATAGTAGTTACCTCTAGATAAATGAGATGTCAAGCATTTTTTAACTTCCTCATGGATTGGTAAGTAGGTAGGATAGATAGATAAAAAGAAAAATATCTGGAGGGATTTTGTTTGCTTTTTGACAGTGAATATATGTTGTATTTATAATTAGGGAAAATCTTATTTTAAAAGACAGTTCTGATAAGATTTTTGAAATGCATAAAAGTAAAGCAGTGTGCTATTTTCCACCTTTGATTCTTTAATCAGCAGGGTCGAGGATATTGTTGAGGATATTGTGGAGCAAACATTCTCATGTATTTCATGTTAGAATGTAAATATAATGCTTTCAGAAAGGAGATTGACCATTTATTCCCAAAGCCTTACAAATATTTACATCTTTATATTCTTTGACTCTGTAATTCTCCCAGAAATCTAGTCTAAGACTAATATCTTGAAATACAGAAAAAAAGCCTTTTGAATAAAACTGTATCTGAGCATTATCATAATAGCAAAAATTACAAATATCTTAACTATCCATACTAAACAGGAATTAAACTAAGGAATTTAGCAATTAAACTAAGGAAACAAAGAAAAAAAAACCCACAGACCATTTGTACAGCCACTTAAAATGAGGTTTACTTATTTTCTTTTATTACTAACGTGGGGAAAATATTTTTTAAAAGTTAAATGGGCCAGGCATAGTGGCTCATGCCTGTAATCCCAGCACTTTGGGAGGCCGAGGTGGGTAGATCACTTGAGTCCAGGAGTTCAAGACCAGCCTGGGTAGCATGGTGAAACCCCATCTCTACAAAAAAACAAAAATTAGCCAGGCGTGGTGGCATGCACCTGTGGTCCTAGCTACTTGTGGGGGCTGAGATGGGAGGATCACTTAAGCCCAGGAGGTCAAGGCTACAGTGAGCTGAGATTGCACCACTGCACTCCAGCCTGGGCAACAGAGCAAGACCCTGTTTCAGAAAAAAAAAAAAAGTAGGGAAGAAAGGCAAGATACTAGAGTCTGTATATGGAATAATAAAACAATTTCCTTTATTTCCACTTCTATGTAAGGAACATTTGTGTAAACAGATAATAAATTTTATTTGATATAAATACAAAGTTAAAACCTGTTTAAAGATAGCATATCTCTATAAACTGGGAGCCTCTTCATGTGGAGTCATTTTATCAGGCATACAGTTCAGTGTTTTCTCCATCTTTGCCAAAGAGACATTCATAGGCGGGGCGCACCATGGCTCACACCTATAATCCCAACACTTTGGGAGGCTGAGGCAGGAGGATTGCTTGAGGTTGGAGGATTACTTGAGCTGCAGAGTTTGAGACCATCCTGGGCAACATATCAAGGCCCTGTCTCTACAAAAAAAAAAAAAAAAAAGTTTGAGCTCCCTTCATCACTCCCCTCTCTTAAAAAAAGAGAGTGAAACATTCATAACATCATAGGTATTTGTTGCCAATCATACATTTTGTAGTTTTTGTGCAATATTATAAAGTCAAGTAAATAGCCTAATTTGGATTTATTTTTATATAATGGTTTCTATAATGGTGATGCCACTAATTTTAAAAACCATTTAACAGTGTCTTCTTAATGATCCATCTGCTAGTAACTTACCAGTAGAGTGTGTGCATTGTACTTTCGCTACAAGAGAAAGGAGAGAATGAGGGTTATGTTATTTGCGTTGCACTGACAGGTGGACTCAGGTGAACCAAGCCATTGCAGACCAGTTGCAGAAGGCCCAGAGTCTGCTCCAGCTCTGGAAGGCCTATAGCAATGCTCATGGTGAAGCTGCCGCAAGGCTGAAGCAGCAGGAAGCAAAGTTTCAACAGCTCGCAAACATCAGCATGTCTGGAAACAACCTGGCAGAGATCCTGCCCCCAGCCCTGCAGGACATAAAGGTGGGTACAAAGCCCATTTGGAAAACCAAGGCCAAGTCAGCCCAACAGATGGGGTAAGGGACAGCCATGACCTGGGGACCAGACAGACCACAGGGACAGAGTAGTCAGGACAGGTGCTGTGAACTTGCCATGTAGGACATAGGCAAGGCTGGGAGGACCAGGTGGTGGCTCAGAGGTGACGTCTAGGCAGCAAATAGCTGGATCAGGGGGACTCGATATCACCTCGTTCCAAGTCTGTGCTTTCTCTCTAGTGTTACATCTCTAAGGCAAAAGCTTCATATGAAATCTGAAGTAAAAGCAAGTGTCTCAACTGAGTGTGACCCTGTAAGAATAATACATGTTGTATCTCTTGTTTTAGCAGTAATCATGGACTTGGTGCCATGTTGCTAGGCCTTTTCTGTGGGTATAGTAAATTTCAGACTACATTAAAGACTTGCTTAGTTTCCTCTATGGTGTTTTTTCTATTATTGTTAATGAACGCTCAGAAAGTGAATACTCTTTAGTTCTGAACTGAGTGAACAGATGCATTTTGTATCTTCTGCTACTGTAGGTCAAATCAAAACGTGGCAACCAATTTAATTAGGTGAGAATCCAACAGATAATGCTCTGTACATCTGATTAACTTCTACCTGAGCTGATAATTTAAAAATAAAAAAACAAATTTTATGTACACAATATTTCCAGAATAGCCTTAAAATCAGCCTGATTAATAAAATTCTATAGTTTCTGCACGTGAATCCATTTATATCAGAAAGTCTCAGGCAGGGGTCAGAGTTGCATTGATTCTTGAAACAGCATGAAAGCAGATACCTAAACTGTTTGACAACTGAAATATAAAGTACATGAGTACTCAGGTTGTCTCCAGTTTCTATACACTAGAAGCCTCGACTCTATTAGTCAGTGGTCACTTTTAGTTTTGAACTGACAAATTTCGGAAAAGCGCCAGTGATATACATCATTTCAAGAAAGCCCAGCCTTTTCAGCTATTTAAAATAAATAATAACAAAAGATCATGCCTACGTTTTCAGGGCAAATATTCTCCTAGATTTTGATGGAGCAGCAGCGGGTAGGGAATTGTGGTTTGAAAGGAGGAAGAGGTGTTTGCCATCCCTTTTTCTTCTGCAGGAGCTGCAGCATGATGTGCAGAAAACAAAAGAAGCCTTTCTCCAAAATTCCAGTGTCCTGGATCGACTCCCACAACCCGCAGAGTCCAGCACCCACATGCTCCTCCCGGGCCCCCTGCACTCTCTCCAGAGGGCTGCTTATTTGGAAAAGATGCTGCTTGTGAAAGCAAATGAATTTGAGGTTCATCTTTTCTTTCCATTCAAGTTTTAGTCTTAGACATTTGCATTCCATCCTCAATCCCTTGTATCCTTTGAAGCAGTAGTGCTTTACGGGCTGCTCCTTAGCAAAATTACAGACTGAAGCTGCTCCCAAATGTATACGATTCTAGCTTCAATCACATGGGCAGATCTTAAGCAATCATTTCTTCCTTATTGAAGATGTTAGTTCTAGAAGTCATATATGTATTATATTGCATACATTGTTCAGATCTCACAGTTATTTGGATTTCTGAGTCAAGTAATTGAGCCATAGAAGTAGCTGCTTAAAGCATGATGATTTGTCATATCTTCGTGTCTTCATTCACTTTTTTTTATTTTGAGACAGACTCTTGACCTGACACCCAGGCTAGAGTGCAGTGGCATAATCTTGGCTCACTGCAACCTCCACCTCCCGGGTTCAAGCGATTCTCCTGCCTCAGCCTCCCGGATAGCTGGGACTACAGGCACCCACCACCACGCCTGGCTTGCTTATTTATTTATTTATTTATTTATTTATTTATTTATTTATTTTGAGATGTCTCGTTCTGTCGCCCAGGCTGGAGTACAGTGGTGTGATCTCAGCTCACTGCAAGCTCCGCCTCCTGGGTTTATGCCATTCTCCTGCCTCAGCCTCCCGAGTAGCTGGGACTACAGGTGCCTGCCACCATGCCTGGCTAATTTTTTTGTATTTTTAGTAGAGACAGGGTTTCACCATGTTAGCCAGGATGGTCTCAATCTCCTGACCTCGTGATCCACCTGCCTTGGCCTCCCAAAATGCTGGGATTACAGACGTGAGCCACTGTGTCTGGCCGGCTAATTTTTGTATAATTAGTAGAGATGGGGTTTCGCCACATTGGCCAGGCTGGTCTTGAACTCCTGGCCTCAAGTGATCTACCCACCTTGGCCTCCCAAAGTGCTGGGATTACAAGCATGAGCCACTGCTCTCAGCCTTCATTCACTTTTTATAAAGCCTTTAGTGCAGGAGCTGTCAACAAGCTACACAGAAGGCCATGGAGTTGCAGTATCACATCTCAGTACCAGCAGGAAAACAAACAAACAAAAAAGCACATTTAACTAGTGGGACTGAGAGAACGGAGTGCTCACTGACTCTCTATGTGGTCTCCTCAGGCGGGTGATCTGTCCATTTGGGAAGGCTCAAAGGCACGAGTGAAAAATCAGGGGGCTTCTGAATATTTATCTATGATTCTTGAGATAATAGTGAACTTCTGGGTGTTGAAAACAACTTGAATTTACTTTTTTTTATTTTTTGTTTTTTTTTGTTTGTTTGTTTGTTTGTTTGAGACAGGGAGACAGGGTCTTATTCTGTCACCCAGGCTGGCGTGCAGTGGCATAATTACAGCTTACTGCAGCCTTGACCTCCCAGGTTCAGTTGATCCTCCTGCCTCAGCCTCCCAAAAAGCTGGGACCACAGGCTCACACCACTATGCCCAGCTAATTTTTTATTTTTTGCAGAGATGGAGTCTGCCTATGTTGCTCAGGCTGGTCTTGAACTCCTGGGCTCAAGCAATCTTCCCACCTCGGCCTCCCAAAGTGCTGGGATTACAGCCATGAGCCACCGTGCCTAGCCAAAAACATCTTGAATTTTTAGCAGCTCCCAAGCCTGTGTTTAATTCTGTTTTATATGTACATGAAAATAGTTTCTAATGAAAATTTCTCTTGTTCTAGTTTGTTCTCTCACAGTTTAAGGATTTTGGAGTCCGGCTGGAATCTTTAAAAGGTCTTATTATGCATGAAGAAGAGAATTTGGATAGACTTCACCAACAGGAAAAAGAAAATCCTGACTCATTCCTGGTATTGCCAATATTTGTCTTTTCTAAGGGCTTAGACTCACCATAAGGTTAAAAAAAATAAGCTGATTACTGTGAACTTATGGAATGCTTGCATCCTAACTCACTCTTATTTTTTTTTTTTGAGACGGACTCTCGCTCTGTCACCCAGGCTGGAGTGCAGTGGCACGATCTCGGCTCACTGCAACCTCCACCTCCCGGGTTCAAGCCATTCTCCTGCCTCAGCCTCCCAAGTAGCTGGGACTACAGACATGTGCCACCATGTCCGGCTAATTTTTGTATTTTTTAGTAGAGATGAAGTTTTACCATATTGGCCAAGCTGGTCTTGAACTCTTGACGTCAGGTGATCCGCCTGCCTCGGCCTCCCAAAGTGCTGGGATTACAGGCCTGAGCCACTGCGCCTGGCCTAACTCACCCTTGAGCACAGTCATTTTTATGCCATTCATTACTGTCCTATTTTCCCTCAGGCCTAGAAAAAGTAGGATGACATAGGGATCTCTTTTAGTAATACGTCAGAGTAATTTGTAGTAGATGTTTTTTCATAATTACCGTCAGTGAACTGAAATAATCTAGAAATTGGCTGTTGTGATTAATTGAATTTTTCTGGTTAGTTTAATATAAAAAAAATTCTATTATGCATTTTTCTTTACCTTCGTAAGTTTAGTTTAGTAAACATAAATGACTGAAAGAATTAGATCTGGTCTTGTAACTCTCCTAGGAATCAATATTCATAACTTAGATCAGCAGTCAACAAACTGTGGTGCACTGTCCATCACTGATTTTTTTTTAAATAAAATTTTGATGGAACACAGCCATGCCCTTTCATTTACATATTGTCTATTATAGTTTTCACGCTACAAGGGCAGAGTTGACTAGTTGCTACAGAGACCATATGGCCCACAAATGCCTAAAATATTTATGATCTGCCCTTTTACAGAAAAAGTTTGCTTATCCTGACCTAGAATATTACAGCAGAGTTCTGTAGTGGTAACTTCAATATTGTTAAGGATGTTTGCTTGTCAGCTTAGAAGCTGTCGCTGGAATATCTTTTTAAAAATGAAATTTTGATAAGTTTGCTTTCTTGCAATGTCATGTTCTATCAAAATATGGGTGTTTAAGTCCCTTGCTCTGCTAGAGTTATTTTAAGAATCAAATTTTCATCACTCTGTGCTTGACCTGTTTGTTGAAGGCCAGGTTATTGGCAGACTAAATGGGACTTAAAAGCCCAGAATTGGTCCTTTTTTAAAAAGCATGTTAGGCTGGGTGCAGTGGCTCACGCCTGTAATCCCAGCACTTTGGGAGGCCGAGGCAGGTGGATCATCCAAGGTCAGAGTTTTAGACCAGCTGGCCAACATGGTGAAACTAAAAATACAAAAATTAGCCAGGTGTGGTGGCAGGCACTTGTAATTCCACCTACTTGGGAGGCTGAAGCAGGAGAATCGTTTGAACCCAGGAGGCGGAGGTTGCAGTGAGCCGAGATCATGATACTGCAGTCCAGCCTGGGCGACAGAATGAGACTCCATTCCGAAAAATAAAAAATAAAAAAGCCTATTTTCTGTATTCTTCGGTGACAAAATCTGAGATAACTTTCTATTTCCTGGGCTGTTTGGGTGCTGGCCGTGTTGCAGGTTGGTATTCTAGAAGGCACAGCATTGAGATAGCTGAATTCAGGTCCCACTCTAACATTAGCAAGCTGTTTGACTGTGGGCAAGTCATTTGCCTGTTCAGGCCCCAGTTTTCCTTTATCTTTGAGGTAAGGAGGGTTTTTTGTCATCTAGATATCTTATTGGCATCCAAAAACCTGTACTTCAATTTTTTAAAAATAGAATCATGTGCTGGCACTGACAGCCCAATCACCTGATATTGAACATTTGAATGAAGTGAGCCTCAAGCTCCCACTTAGTGACGTAGCTGTGAAGACGTTACAAAATATGAACCGGCAATGGATTCGGGCCACGGCCACGGCACTGGAGCGCTGCAGGTTAGAACATCCCTTCTCTGTCGTTGTTTCAATTAAGGTAAAATTAACGGCTTCAGCTCGGGAATGGCATTGTTAACATGGGTGTGTTTTGTTTTAAACCTTTGTAGTGAGCTTCAGGGAATTGGATTGAATGAAAAGTTTCTTTATTGCTGTGAAAAGTGGATCCAACTTTTGGAGAAGATAGAAGAAGCACTCAAAGTGGATGTGGCTAACAGCCTTCCTGAGCTCCTGGAGCAGCAGAAAACCTATAAGGTAAACCTGTGTTCTCTGCCACCCTTGAACCGCTCATCTGGGGCAGGAGTCAGGGAAAGATAGCTTTAAATAAAACACAGGGAGTGTACCTATCAGTCCCTAAACACAGAATGTATACCTTTAAGCAAATTCAGTTGTCAATTGGTCATTTGTAAAATTCTTGTACGTTTCATAAATTTCAACATTTACTGCTCTATTTTATTAGGGAGAGGACTCCTAGATTTTCTGCAGTACATGGAAGCTTCTAGTACAACTTTGCTTCCACAAAATGCAAACATTATACCATTCTATCAAGAGTATAATAAAATACTTCGACTCATGTTTGTATTTTCACTCAATAATTCTCCATAGTATTAAAGCACCTGGTATAATTATAACTGTAGCGTTAATAATTTCACAGGAGTTTCCTCAGTGCTTATGCTGACATGTATTTGAAAATACTCCTGGTGGTTATAGGCAGATCCTGCTTTTTTTGGTGGGGGGAGACAGAGTCTTCCTCTGTCACCCAGGCTGGAGTGCAGTGGCGCAATCTCGGCTCACTGAAACTTCCACCCCCCAGGCTCAAGCAATTCTCGTGCCTTACCCTTCCGAGTAGCTGGGACTATAGGCATGTGCCACTGCACCTGGCTAATTTTTGTATTTTTAGTAGAGATGGGGTTCACCATGTTGGCCAGGCTGGTCTCGAACTTCTGACCTCAAGTGATCCGCCTGCCTCGGCCTCCCAAAGTGCTGGGATTACAAAGGACACATTTCAAAAGTGTGCAGAATTACTTCACTGCAACTTTTTAATGTAACTGATTGAAGTCTACATTGCTACATTAAGATCATCCAATTAAAATGAAATCACCCCTGCCAAAAAGCTGAGTGGCCTTAAGTAAGTTACTGAACCTCTTTATACCTTAGATTCCTCCTCTTCAAATGGATGTAATAATAGTGCTTAAATCCTAAGGCTGAGAAATAAATGAGACAATGCATGTTTTACAGTGCCTACCAAATCGTAAATGCCCAACAAATGGGTATTAGATGTAATTATTATTAGACCTGTTTGCTTTTAAGAATATATTCGTAGGTGATGTTGATATGATAGTTGAACATTTTTTGCAGTAGGTTCAAATAATATGAAAATTAATTATCCCTCATATCCTTTGTAAGCTTAGATTTTAATAGGAAATGTAGGTTCCGAGATTCATAAAATGAATTTTACTAGCTGATATTTTCTGCTTGGACTCATATACAGATGTTAGAAGCTGAAGTTTCTATAAACCAGACAATTGCTGATTCCTATGTCACCCAGTCCTTACAACTCCTGGACACAACAGAAATAGAGAACAGGTGAGCTGTCTGGGCCTCATGAAGGTTGTGGGCGGATGGAAGGTAATGCATTCAGTCAGGGCAGGCTTTCCACCATGTGAACCTTGACCATGTTGGTGCCCTGTGCCCTGTTGGTTGACAGATCACCATAGGACCAGGCTTCTAACTATGTAGTGGGACTAGATCTTGCTGGGTGACCATAAAAACATCTGTGACAGACACCTTTTCCGTATGGTAGGTGGATGGGGTTAGCAGCCCAGAAGCTTTGGAAAATGCCCACTTCTCAAGTATAGTTAACTAAGTTTGTGCCCCCAAATGATTCTTCTGTACTGTTTCCTTCTCTACCATCATCCTCATGATGTTTTGCGACTTAAAAAATAATTTCTAAAAAATGATTATTCCTAATGTTCCCAGTAGGTAGCTAAATCCTATAAGTCTGAAAGAAGGGCTTTCTCTCCATGCTACATATGTGGGCTTAGGGTCACTGGGCAGTGCCAATCAGGCTGAACAGAGCACCTTTGGCCAGTCTGCTAATGCTGAGTGAGTCTGCTCATGCAGCTGTACACATGGCAGATAGCCTGGAAATGGCCTGGCCATTTAAATACTTCTCTAAATGTCCTAATGGGTATGATTTTTCTTCCACATCACCACCCATACACCTCTGAATCTTCTTTCAGCATAACTAAGAAATGTAAAGCCCTTTTCTCCCTAGCTCTGAAGCAGTAAATGCAAGCCAGTTCCAGGATGATAAGCTAATTTCTATTTGATCTGTACAGAAAAACATGACTTTCCCATAATAAACAAGAGGCCTTATTTCTCGTGTGAAGGATATTATTTATCCAGAAAAGAACTGTTGAGTAGCTGCAATAAAGCATGCTCTTTATTGCTAAAATTATGTAAAGTACACTCAAGTAATCCATAGTGTTACAAAGTACCTGCCTGTTCATCTGTTTCCCTTTGATCCAGTTTCTAGTTTTCCTTTCCACGTTTGGCCTAATGTATATTAAAACAGCTTCAGTTTGTTTAAGGGAATGGTTATGCATGCTGGCAAAATACCAGGTTACGTGCAGATACCTTCTGCTAAACTCAGTCTGCATGCTGCCCTTCCCAAAGCCTTAATCATGTTTAAATTGAATAGCACTCAGGTGTTTAGAAGTTGGGATTTTTTTCATGTAAATTGTACTTATAAAAACTGAATCTGAGCTGCTATTACCCACTGATAGTTATTTTTTCTACATGTCGATGTCTGGATTCTATAACCATTTGTTTTTCCCCAGACCAGAATTTATTACAGAATTCTCAAAGCTGACGGATCGGTGGCAGAATGCTGTCCAGGGTGTTCGGCAGAGGAAGGGTGACGTTGATGGGCTGGTGAGGCAGTGGCAAGATTTCACTACTTCTGTGGAGAACTTGTTTCGCTTCCTCACTGACACCAGCCACCTGCTATCTGCAGTGAAGGGCCAGGAGCGCTTCAGCCTCTACCAAACCAGAAGTCTGATCCATGAGCTGAAGGTAGTGTATGCATCGTAGCAGTGTGAGAACCACAGGGTGGTCATTGTTTGCAAGATGTTCATTCACCTTTGGTTTAATGTTTTTGATGATGATGTGATCCAAGTGGGCTCTCTGCAGTGTGAGGCCAGCAAGGTGCAGTCACCACCCCCCACAGCCCAGTCCCTAGCATTGTGGGGTTGGAAACCCGATATTACCCATTCATCCAGAAATACTAGGGTTCTCTTGGGCCATGAGAGGAGGCATGGAGTGGAGATGGGTGAATAAATTGGGGGAGGTTTAGGGCAACAGACTCAAACCACCCAGATTCTTAAGCCACTGACTAATGTATAAATTGACCATTAGTGTAGTAATGTACAGTGATGGCATTGTTTACTCTTGAAGGGCAAATTCAATGGGTACAAAAAAAATAGAATGAATAAGACCTACTATTTGATAGCACAGTAGGGTGACTATAGTCGATAATAATTTAATTATATATTTTTAAATAACTTAAGGAGTGTAATTGGATTATTTGTAACTCAAAGGATAAATGCTTGAGGGGATGGAAACCCCGTTCTCCATGATGTGCTTATTGGACATTGCATGCCTATATTTAAAAACCTCATGCACTCACAAAATTTTAAAAACTGATTTAAAAAAAATAAAAATAAAGGGGCAAATTCATTCAGCCAACAAAGCTTTCCAAAAGAAACTTGCCTGATGAGCACAGGATTAGCATAGGTGGTTGGCATGTCCCATGGAGCTGTAGAGCTACTCTCCACCTTAGAGAAGCCTCTCAACAAACACCACCCTCCTGAAATCCTGTACAGCCCTCACTCATTATGCAATCATCGCATATTAATTGAGTACCTTCTCTGTGCCAATCACTGTCCTAAGTGCTGGGTGTATTCTGTGGATGGAGAGAAGACCTTCGCTCTCATAAGGGCAGACAAAGTAGTAAACCAGAATAATTAATCAGATAAATTAATAAATAATAAAATATCAGATTGTAATAAGACTTACGTAGATCATTAAAACAGGGCCAGTAGAGATGGGGATGTGTGGCTCCTTTAGATTGGGTTGTCTCTGGCCATGTGACATTTAACCTGGGACTGAATGATGAGAAGGAGCCAGCCATGCAAGATCTAAGGAAAGAGCCTTTCAGACTGAAGGAGAGGCTTACTCCAAGTCCCCAAGATGAGAACAAGCTCAGCACAGAGGAACGGCAAAAAGGCCAGTGTGACTGGCGCAGAGCTGGCAAGGCAGTAGTGGCAGGAGGTGAACTAGAAAGGCGGGTAGGGAGGAGTGTTTTGCAGGTTGGGTGTGGCAGCTGGATTACCTGGTCTGGCTGGAACCAGGGAGCCTTTGAAGCATTTCAGCTGAGGGAGAGGGCAGCATGACACTGTTTGCTTGTTTTTCTTTTTTTTGGGACGGAGTCTCACTCTGTCGCCCAGGCTGGAGTGCAGTGTTGCGATCTTGGCTCACTGCAACCTCTGCCTCCCAGGTTGAAGCAATTCTCGTGTCTCAGCCTCCCAAGTAGCTGGGATTACAGGCGCCCGCCACCATGCCCAGCTAATTTTTGTGTTTTTAGTAGAGACAAGGTTTCACCCTGTTGGCCAGGCTGGTCTCGAACTCCTGACCTCAGGTGATCCACCCACCTCAGCTTCCCAAAGTGCTGGGATTACAGGCGTGAGCCACTGTGCCCAGCCCCATATTTTTTAAAGATCACTCTGGCTGTTCCTGATTGTAGGGGAGCTAAAGGAAAAGTAGGAATCCTAACATCTCACTTACCTATCGCTGCATAATGACACTCATCATTCTGTCTCGTCATTCTTGGGGTTGACAGGAGTTGGTGGTTCCTGCTTGGGGTCTCTCAGGCAGTTGCAGTCAGATGGTGGCTGGGGCTGGTGTCATCTGAAGCTCACTCACATGACTGATGCTTAGGCTGGAACAACTGGAGCAGCAAGGAGCTGGGACAGTGGAGCTCCTCTCCTTGGGCATCATTCTCTGTTGTGTTACCACGTGAGGGCTTCCAGTGGCCAGACTTCTTATATGGTACCCCAATGGTTTCAAAGATTCTTATCCCGAGAACAAGCTGTATTGCCCTATAAACCCAACCTCAGAAGTCACATATATCGCTTCTGCCACACTCTAACAATGAAGGCTATCATATGTGTCCACATGAGTTTGAGAGGAGGGGACAGAGGTGCCACAGTTTGATGAGAATTGGCTGAAATCCCAACACTTTGGGAGGCCGAGGTGGGAGGATCCCTTGAGCCCAGTTTGAGACCAGCCTGTGTACAACATAGTGAGACCCCTGTCTCTACAAAAAAATTCAAAATTTAGCCAGGTGTGGTGGTGCACGCCTGTACTCCCAGCTGCTCAGGAGGCTGAGGCAGGAGGGTCACACTTGAGCCCGGGAGGTTGAGGCTGCAACGAGCCATGGTCACACCACTGCACTCCAGCCTGGGTAACAGAGCAAGACCTGTCTGGAAAAAAAAAAAAAGGTTATCTTTGGAATTTCAGTGATCGCTGGAGGCAGTCATCTTGAAAGAGCCTATTTGGGTGTGGTTACATCTGGGTCTTCTTTTCTGCAATAAGATAATGAGGTAACAGGGAGGGAAAGAAAAAACAATCATTCTCCTTGGTGAGTCCGGGTCTTAGGCAGATAAAGGACTTCAGCTTCTGTAGGAGACGCAGTGCGTTAGGGTAGAGAGACCCTGAGACTTCTTCAGTTCAGCGTGTCAAAACACCGTATTTTGGAGTGTCGGTTTGTGAGTCTGGTAAAGGAAAAGCTAGATGAAGGACGACTCTGGGTTGAAGCTCAAGCATCTTGGTGAATAGTGTGCTGTTGACAGAGTTAGGGAAGACTAAGGGAGGAGCAGGTCTAATACGAGTGGCTCATTTGCGCAGCACAATATGTTGGAGAGATGCACGTGGAGTGCCTGTGGTCCAGTTGCTGTTTCTCTTATTTGTGTGCTGCTCCTGAGGGTGCATTTGGCTTTCCTCCTTTGGGTATGGGTGATCTTCAGGCTTCTCAGAAATGCCTTTGTAAATTAGTGATGCTCTGTTGATGTTTATCAGCTCCCATTTTGGAAAAATGCCCACACTTTGTCTCCTTCAAGAAATTTCAAGGTGAAGGAAATAATATTTATGTATTATTTATTTATTTACTTATTTTTTTAGAGATAGGTACTCACTCTGTCTCCCAGGCTGGAGTGCAGTGGCGTGATCATAGCTCACTGTAACCTCAAACTTCTGGTGAGGCTACCTCGGCCACCCGAGTAGCTGGGACCACAGGCACTCACCAGAATGCCCAGCCAGGAAAACATATTTAGAACAGACAAAAACTATTTAATTTTTCCTCTAAAACCAAATGCCTTTGGGAGTATGGATCAATTTTAAAGTTTTTACTTTATTTTTGTATTATAAATACCTAGTTTCAATCTCTTTAAAGAACGCCCATGTAGCCAGGTGTGGTGGCGCATCTCTTAAAAAACAGGACCTTCGCTACTCTCTGCACACTGCCTGCGGAGCGGCCCTGCTCTGCAGGAGCAGTCACGGAGCTGTAACACCGCCACTAAAATATAGAAAAAAATAAAAATAAACAAGACCTTGTCTCTTAAATTTTTTTTTTTTTTTTTCCTTGAGACAAAGCGTCACTCTGTCACCCAGGCTGGAGTGCAGTGGTGTGATCTTGGCTCACTGCAATCTCTGCCTCCCAGGTTAAAGTGATTCTTGGGACTCAGCCTCCCAAGTAGCTGGAATTACAGGCATCCACCACCATGCCTGGCTAATTTTTGTATTTTTAGTAGAGTCAGGGTTTCTCCATGTTGGCCAGGCTGGTCTCGAACCCCTGAGCTCAACTGATCTGCCTGTCTTGGCCTCCCAAAGTGCTGGGATTACAGGCATGAGCCATCACTTCGGGTCTAAAACTATTGTTTTTAAATTGTTTTTAATTTTCAGAAAGCCTACATGATATTCGGATGAAATTTTTTAAAGCTGCGCCTTTGGGGCACACATCAATGTACATGTTTATGTGCTCATAAAAAGCTTAAGAAATGTATATTTTTTGTATTTTACCCTTTCTCGCGTTCTTTCCTTTTACATTTGTTTAGCGTAATATAAGGTCTGTTACTTGATTTCAGGTCTGTTACTCCATTCACTTTCTTAATACTCTTAGATCCATTTACCTTGCAGGCTATTATTCTATGATGTATATTTTTTTATTTCTCTGTGCTGCTAATCATTACACTGAGAATCTTATCTCACCAATCTTTGGAAATTATTTTAAGAACACCTCACTTAGTGGTATGCTTATCTACTCAGTGTAAAACATTAGCTTTTGATGTGTGTGTGTATGTACATTCTGACCCAATTTGTCTAATTTATATCTAGTTTAACTCTTAAGAAAAGCTCTGAAGGAAATATACACAGGCACACACAATCACATTTTGAACACATCAGAAACCTAAGCAAATTACTTCTCTTTTTTTTCTTAGAATAAAGAAATTCATTTTCAAAGGAGGCGAACTACCTGTGCCCTAACCTTGGAAGCTGGAGAAAAGTTACTGCTCACAACTGACCTGAAAACTAAAGAGTCTGTGGGTAGGAGAATCAGTCAACTTCAGGACAGCTGGAAAGACATGGAGCCCCAGCTGGCAGAGATGATTAAGCAGTTCCAGAGCACTGTAGAGGTAAACTCACCACTTACTTTTCCATTCATGATATTCAAATTCAGTACATAGATTTTCATTTGTGGTGTGAAAATGGAAATGGTTTTAGGAAACTATAGTATCATGAGTTTCCAACTCAAGCTGTAATCTGTAAGTCATGCCAGTTACTTAATGTGAAATGATGATATAGCATTGCAAGAGCTCAATGTTTAGTATTTAAATACTTGAGATTCTATTAAGATACTTACTTTTATGAAACAGGAAACATATTCAATGAAAGTTCAATACATAAAACTAATGTTCCATGTATGGAACAGACAGAAACACTTCATTTTTCTGCTATCATCAGAGAATGCACTTTTCCATATAAGTGAATTTTCCAAATAATGTATGATTATACCTTTAAGAACTACAGTGTTATATTTTGAGTCACTGTTAGGAAAATCATTATTGTTTTGTTATGCTAAGATACCAAGTTGTTCTCAAGGCCTCTGAATTACTTTGAACCTGTGGCCCTCCCTGAACTACTGTGCTCTTTGAGTTCTGATATGGTTTTTATCATTTTTCTTTCTCTCCTCTTAATGTCAAACTGTCTATTTTTACTTTGTCTTTCTCCAAGCTCACTTACTTCTTATAGCCCACTCTCTCTAGTCTGTCGTGTGTGCCAAAACTAGATAACCAAACTTACCAGACATATTTTTCTGAATTAAGAGTAAATATATGCTGAGTTAGGGCTTGAAAATTTCTCCTGTGAATAAAGTATCTGAATTTTATTTGATATATGGACTATATGGAATTCATTAACTAGCAAACATTTGTTAAGCATCTGCCATGTTTGTGAAGCATAATGATAATTGCAAATAACAGTTTGAAGAACTCATGGTTTTGCTTCTCCTTTGCTTTCTTTTGAGTTGAGTTCCAGATAGTTAATATTGCTACACAAGTGGCCTCCCTTCAGTGAGAGGTTACCATAGACTGAGGCCAACCCAAGTATGTTTAGGTATCAGCTGTACTGAATAATAGTGTTTCATTGTAGGTTTGTATAGTTTTAGTAACTTCAGGAAAGAAGTTTATCCTAATGAATCGAATATAAATACCCTATAGTTGAAAATGCAGGCACCTATTTTGTTCAACAGTTAAAATTTGAAGAAAAGAGATGGTTGACCCTTGACTTGGCTTTTAACCCCAGATCCACGGGCTAGTCATTTTTCTCTGAGCCTTAGTTTTCCCATTTTAAATATGATAATACTTGTTTTAAATATGATAATACTTTCCTTGTCTATCTCCTAAGGTTATTATAATTACAATGAGTTAATAAAGTTGAAAATGCTTTGTAAACAGGAAAGTGCTTTAAGCAGAAGGTGGTAGTCAGCACAGTGGTGAGAAGTGGAAAGTGAAGGTTGAATGTGAAAAGGTCACTAAAGCCAGGCTGTAGAAAGGAGAAGACAGCCAGCAGAGGAGAGGGGTGACGGTGGAAAAGAAGACAAGGAAGGTGGCTGAGTGCTTGTGTTCTGTGGTGCTGTCATAGCATATACCAAAGACTGTCAATGCTAACAGTTACTCCGTACAGTAGCCTTTTAGGTGTGAACTTTTCCAAAATTAAAGTAGAAATCACATTGGTTAGATGAGAGGGATTGGGGAGAGAGGAAGAACTTTTTTATTTTTATTTATTTATTTATTTATTTATTTATTTATTTTAAGATGGAGTCTTGCTCTGTCACCCAGGCTGGAGTGCAGTGGTGCAATCTTGGCTCACTGCAGCCTCCACCTCCCAGGTTCAAGCAATTCTCCTGTCTCAGCCTCCCAAGTAGCTGGGATTACAGGCACATACCACCACACCCAGCTAATTTTTGTATTTTTAGTGGAGACGGAGTTTCGCCATGTTGGCCAGGCTGGTCTCAAACTCCTGACCTCAGGTGATCCACCCGCCTCAGCCTCCCAAAGTGCTGGGATTACAGGCTTGAGCCACCATGCCCAGCCCGGAAGAACTATTTTCAAGCAAAGCCTAGCCTGGTGGTTGAAATGAGCCACAGGTAAAGCTGCAAGGAGGGTCGAGTCATATTGGTGTTCCTTCTGCTTTTGGAGACCATAGTCTGCTTAAGACAGGGAACTGGGTGTCTGTGTGATTTATTAAAAACAAACTTAATAGAAAGATTATGTGGATTAAATGAGCTATTCTATTTCTACAATTCATTCTAAAGAGCAAAATACTTACCAGTTTTAATCTTGTTTTCAAATAGACCTGGGACCAGTGTGAAAAGAAAATCAAGGAGTTGAAAAGCAGGCTGCAAGTTTTAAAGGCACAAAGTGAAGATCCTCTTCCAGAGCTTCACGAGGACCTCCATAACGAAAAAGAGCTGATTAAGGTATTGAAATCCAAACAAGTGGCCAAGATAATCACTTAGCTGTTTTCTGAGTACTTTGAAGTGCTTCTTTGCCTCTTTCTGTATTGAAACTGAGTTTTCATTTTCAATCAGAAAATATTTTCCCGATCTGTCTAACATAACATGCTCGTCTCTTAAGGAATTAGAATTGATGCTTTTTACGATTGTTGTTTGAAGACGAGAAAGACTTTTGCAAAAACTCACTTCTTAGGATCTTAGGGGTTTTCTCCTTCAGGTCTTCTTTCTGTCTGCTCCTCCTCTGTAATATAAGATGTGGCCTCTGAGATTCCTGTAAAAGCTGTTCCCTTATCAAATGTCCTCTTCTTTGAAACAAGAGTAAAATATGACTAAAGAATTCATTTTTGAAAGCCAGTAGGTTGGAGTTTGCTCCAGTATAGCATTTTTATAAAACCATCCAAACTATATATTCTTCCTAATGAATACCACACTAGCAAAACTTCCTGGATATTTTAGGCCTTTGCTGGAGACAAGGCAAACTTATGGATAGGAATTGGGGCCAGGAAAATTCCCAGGTCAGCAACTCCCTGCATCTCTTTTCTGTCTGCAGCTTTGATGTTTAAAAGACATTGAGAGACTGTTGGAGTGGTATTTTAATTTTTTTCTTCCTTCAGTGACTTTCGGGGATCAAATTGAAAAAATTAGGAAGAAATGAATAGTGTTATACTTCA
This sequence comes from Homo sapiens, assembly GCF_000001405.40. NCBI lineage: Eukaryota > Metazoa > Chordata > Mammalia > Primates > Hominidae > Homo > Homo sapiens. The sequence goes on from NC_000014.9 coordinate 64,178,191, forward strand.
AATTAGGCCAGAAATTAGTGTCTTTCTCCCTACATCTTTTTTCTTTGTTGTAAAAATGTCTGATGTGCTAAAAGGCATAACAAATAATATGACAAACTGCCATGACACCATCACCTAGCTAAAAAATTAAAAAGTATACACACAGTTCAAGTGTCCTGTATGATCTAACTTCTCCTTAGAGGTGTCAGTAACCCTGGATTTGGTGTTCATCATTCTTACACATGTCCTAATAATTTTAATACATGTGTTTGTAGGTGTCAGTGTTGTTTGTTCGTTTGTTTTTAAGAGACAGGGTCTGGCTCTGTCTTCCAGGCTAGAGTGCAGTGGCACAGTCTCAGCTCACTACAACCTCCAACTTCCAAGCTCAAGCGATCCTCCTACCTCAGCCCCCCCGAGTAGCCCAGAGTACAGGCATGCACCGCCATGCCCGGCTAATTTTTCTATTTTTTGTAGAGACAGGGTTTTGCCATGTTGCCCAGACTGGTCTCCAACTCCTGGGCTCAAGCAATTCTCCTGCCTTGGCCTCCCAAAGTGACAGCAGGCGCCCAGCCTGCTGTCAATGAGATGTAGAATTGCTTTCTGTTTTTAAACGTTATATGGCTAGGCATGGTGGCTCACAACTATAATCCCAGCACTTTGGGAGGCTGCAGCGGGAGGATCCCTTGAGTCCAGCAGTTTGAAAGTAGCCTGAGCAACAAAGTGAGATCCCCATATGTACAGCAAAAAATTTTTTTTAATTAGCTGGATGTGGTGGCACTTGACTGTGATCCTAGCCACTGGGGAGGCTGAGGTGGGAGGATCCTTTGAGCCCAGTAGGTCGAGGATACAGTGACTCATGAATGCACCACTATGCTCCACCCTAGATGACAGAGTAAGACTGTCTCTAAAAAGTAAACAAAATACATAAATTTTAAAACTTTATATAAGCAGTACTATATATAATGTAATTTTTTTTTCTTTTTTTAAGACAGAGTCTCCTTCTGTCACCCAGGCTGGAATACAGTGGCGCAATCTTGGCTCACTGTAACCTCCACCATTCGGGTTCCAGCAATTCTCGTGCCTCAGCCTCCCAAGTAGCTGGGATTACAGGCATGTGCCATCAGGCCTGGCTAATTTTTTTGTATTTTTAGTAGAGATGGTGTTTCGCCACGTTGGCCAGGCTGGTCTTGAACTCCTGGGGCCTCAAGCGATCCACCTGCCTCGGCCTCCCAAAGTGCTGGGATTACAGGCGTGAGCCACAGCGCCTGGCCTACAATGTAACTTTTTTCCCTCATTGTGATTTGGAGTCATAGATGTTGGCACCTAATGCACATTCATTCTCACTGCTGTATAGTATGCATTATAAGAATATACAACAATTTATATATCCCTTCTGTAGTCACTTGGTATTGTCAGATTTTTTTTTAAACTTTTGCTAATCCAGCAGCTGTGAGATAGTATCTCTTTATAGTTTATTAGTCAGTTGCACATTTTTTTCATATTTGCCCTTTTGTGAATTGCCTATTTGTGCCTTTTACTGATTTTTTTCCATTGGGCTATTTGTCTTTTTCTTATTGAGTTGAAGGAGCTGCTTATTTATTCTAAATATTCCTCTTCTACTGAGTATATACATTGCAAATGTCTTTTCCCATCTGAGAGCCTGTTTTTCTGCGTTTTCCTTGGTATTGCTGGCTGAACAAAAGATATTTTGTTAATGTGGATGAATTGGTCAGTATTTTCCTATATGATTTGTATTTTCCGCTTCCTTTGCAAAATCTTCATACTAAAGTCATAAAATACGTGCTTACATTCTCTTCAAAAAGTTTTTAGTTTTTGATTTTCACATTCACATCTTTATTCATTGAGGAATTGATTTTTGCATACGTTTTAAGGCAGAGATCCATTTTCTAATTTTATTCGTATGGATAGCCAGTTGTCTTGGTGCCTATTTATTGTCTAATGTCAAATACCAAATTTCCATAAACGCAGGATTTGTTTCTCAGTTCTCTGTTCCACTGGTCTGTGTATGTCAGCTTTAATATCAAACTGTCTTGATTACTGCACTTTATTGTAACACATCTTTATTTCAGGTGTGATGTATACCCACACCTTGTTCTCTCACATTACTTTGGATGTCCCTGGGTCTTTGATCTTCCGTAACTTTGAGGAACAGCTTGTTAAACCATGAAAAGTTCTGATAAGAGTTTTAATTGAATTGCATTGAATTTTAGATTAACTTGGATAATTATTTTTAGTATTCCTGCTCATGCTCATGACTGTGGTATATATTTCCCTTTGGTCATATTATTTAGTTGTTTTCACTAATGGTTTATAACTTTTTTTTTTTTTTTTGAGATGGAGCTTCGTTCTTGTCACCCAGGCTGGCGTGCAGTGGCACGATCTTGGCTCACTGAAACCTCTGCCTCCGGGTTCAAGGGATTCCCCTGCCTCAGCCTCCCAAGTAGCTGGGATTATAGGCACCCGCCACCACGCCCAGCTAATTTTTGTATTTTTAGTAGAGACGGGGTTTCACCATGTTGGCCAGGCTGGTCTCTAACTCCCAACCTCAGGTGATCCACCTGCTTTGGCCTCCCAAAGTGCTGGGATTACAGGCCTGAGCCACCACACCTGGCTTATTCTTGTTATAATTTTCCTAATCACAAAAGATATATCTTTTGTTAGATTTATTTCTTGGTGCAATATTTTTGAAGCTATTGAAAATACTGCCTTTTTCTAATTATATTTCCTAACTGATTATTGCTGATGCCTAGAAATGTAATTGGTCTTTGCATATTTATGTTTAACCATCTTGTTAAACTCTTATGTTAATTCCAATAATTCGTTTATGTATTTTTTTGGGTGTCTATGAGACCATCATCATCTGTCAATAATGACAAGGTTATTTTTGTTTGTTTCTTCTTTTTAATATACTTTTTTTTTTCCTATTTTTCCTACACGGGTCAATACCTTCAGAACATTGTTAAGCAGAAGTATTAATAGCTGAGTCTTCCATTGTTGATTTTAGAAGAAAATGATTCTAACATTTCACTGTTAAATGTGATATTTGGTGGTGATGTGTCAGTCAGTGGCTTTATTAGGTTAACAAGATTTCTATGCCAAATTTTCAAAGTTTTTATCATCCCTACCTCATTAGGCTTAGAGCAAGACTTTGGTAACAACGGAAATAATTTGGAGTCATGCTCTCAGCTGAAACACAGAGTTTCCTTCCATAAGGTCTAGAAACCTGTGCAGAACATGAAATGTAAACCCTTGAGCAGCCATAATTTTTCTCAAGTATCACACTTCTCAGTTTCCAGTGGGATCTTTTCAGCTTTCACGGTCTCAGCATCCTATTTATCAGTGGAAAGTAATCAGGGAAAGGCAAAAAGCATTGAGTTCGTTCAACCCGTGACCATATTCTGAAAAGATCCCAAGTAACCCAAAGCTTGTCCAGGTCAGTGTGTTTCATCCCTGATTCACCTGGGGGAAATACGCTAGCCACTTGACCAATTTGAGCTTGACTTTCCTCCTCATAAAATTATATTCCCTTCTAAGCACAGCTGCAAAAAGAAAAAGATAAAAGATAAAAAAGAAAAATTATATTCCCACTACAGCCACGTTGAGGAATGGAATAATTTCCTTACATATATGTTTTACATATATTCTAACTTCACTATTATGAAAATTGCTACAATGGACATCTGTGTTTCATAACACTTGTCCAAAGATTGAGTCCTTGGAACAGTTTGGTTTTTAAATAATTTTTGTATAAGTAAAATTTTTCTCTTATCAGTTCCTCTCCACAGAAGCAATCAATGTTACAAGTTTGTTGTATTTTCTTCCAAAGATAGAGTATGCATATGCAGGTCAAATTTTATTTATATACCCGTTCTTTTTTGGTCCTCCTTTACCCAAATGGTAGTACAGAGAAATGGGACTTGACAGTTCCACTGGTAATTGAGTCCACAGGCAAGGCTTAGATGCTGTCCTGATACTGCAGAGTCCAGTCAAATCCTGTGCAACACACCGCTTTTCGCAGCCAAACAACTTGAAATTTTACATCCCATGTTACGTAAAAAATTGGAAATTTTCAGGTATTCTTGTGGTATAGATAATTTATCTGGTTGAATGAAGATGGTGGAAACTTATCTCTTTGACAGTTTGGTTGCAAGTCTGGGGCAATTTAATTTATTTATTTATTTTTTATTTTTATTTTTATTTATTTGTTTATTTATTTATATTGATCATTCTTGGGTGTTTCTCGCAGAGGGGGATTTGGCACGGTCATAGGACAATAGTGGAGGGAAGGTCAGCAGATAAACAAGTGAACAAAGGTCTCTGGTTTTCCTAGGCAGAGGACCCTGCGGCCTTCCTCAGTGTTTGTGTCCCTGGGTACTTGAGATTAGGGAGTGGTGATGACTCTTAACGAGCATGCTGCCTTCAAGCATCTGTTTAACAAAGCACATCTTGCACCGCCCTTAATCCATTTAATCCTGAGTGGACACAGCACATGTTTCAGAGAGCATGGGGTTGGGGGTAAGGTCATAGATTAACAGCATCCCAAGGCAGAATTTTTCTTAGTACAGAACAAAATGGAGTCTCCTATGTCTACTTCTTTCTACACAGACACAGCAACAATTTGATTTCTCTATCTTTTCCCCACATTTCCCCCTTTTCTATTTGACAAAACCGCCATAGTCATCATGGCCCGTTCTTAATGAGCTGTTGGGTACACCTCCTAGACGGGGTGACGGCTGGGCAGAGGGGCTCCTCACTTCCCAGAAGGGGCGGCCGGGCAGAGGCGCCCCCCACCTCCCTCCCGGACGGGGCGACTGGCCAGGCGGGGGCTGCCCCCGCCTCCCTCCCGGACGGGGCGGCTGCTGGGCGGAGACGCTCCTCACTTCCCGGACGGGGCGGCTGCCGGGCGGAGGGGCTCCTCACTTCTCGGACGGGGCGGCTGCCGGGCGGAGGGGCTCCTCACTTCTCGGACGGGGCGACTGCCGGGCAGAGACGCTCCTCACTTCCCGGACGTGGCAGCTGCCGGGCGGAGGGGCTCCTCACTTCTCAGACGGGGCGGCCGGGCAGAGACTCCCCTCACCTCCCAGACAGGGTGGCGGCCGGGCAGAGGCGCTCCTCCCATCCCAGACGGGGCGGCAGGGCAGAGGCGCTCCCCACATCTCAGACGATGGGCGGCCGGGCAGAGATGCTCCTCACTTCCTAGACGGGATGGCAGCCAGGAAGAGGCGCTCCTCACTTCCCAGACTGGGCAGCCAGGCAGAGGGGCTCCTCACATCCCAGACGATGGGCGGCCAGGCAGAGACGCTCCTCACTTCCCAGACAGGGTGGCGGCCGGGCAGAGGCTGCAGTCTCGGCACTTTGGGAGGCCAAGGCAGGCGGCTGGGAGGTGGAGGTTGTAGCGAGCCGAGATCACGCCACTGCACTCCAGCCTGGGCAACATTGAGCACTGAGTGAACGAGACTCCGTCTGCAATCCCGGCACCTCGGGAGGCCGAGGCTGGCAGATCACTCGTGGTTAGGAGCTGGAGACCAGCCTGGCCAACACAGCGAAACTCCGTCTCCACCAAAAAAATACGAAAACCAGACAGACGTGGTGGCGTGCGCCTGCAATCCCAGGCACTCGGCAGGCTGAGGCAGGAGAATCAGGCAGGGAGGTTGCAGTGAGGCCAGATGGCAGCAGTACAGTCCAGCTTTGGCTCAGCATCAGAGGGAGACCGTGGAAAGAAGGGAGAGGGGGCTCGGCATCAGAGGGAGACGTGGAAAGAAGGGAGAGGGAGGGGGTGGGGAGGGGGAGGGGAGGGGGAGAGGGAGAGGGAGCAATTTAATTTAAAGACAGGCATGATTGTTGACATTTTTATACAAACTGATCGTCAGCTCTAGTAAACTTCCACAAGAGACCTCATTCTATATATTGTTTGACTCCCTGCTTTTTTCATTTAGTCTTTATGAACATTTTAAAGCTCTCGAGACATACAGCCAAATTGCTTTCCTTTCAGCCGTACATTTTGGTATCTGAAAACTTGCTGTGCAGCAGCACCATGGCAGGTTCTGGGCACTGAATCCGTGAGCAGTGTTGTCATGGTCCCTGCCATGTGTGGAGCTAATGGTCCAGTCTGCCAGAGAGCCACACTGTATGCATAGGGGTGTGTGTGTGTGTGTGTGTGTGTGTGTGTGTGTATGTGTATGAACATGGTGAGTGTTAGAGGGGAAAAGGGCAGGGCAGTGAGAGTAAAACAGGAGTCTCAACCTTATCCAGTGACTGTACACTTTCCGATTGTCAATATTGTAAGTATTCAAACCAAACTGATTGAAACCTGGCCGGGCATAACTCGGTGGCCGAGCCAGCACCTCTGAGCAGGGCACTGGACAGGCTGAGCTTCCTGCCACCTGACTGGGAAACTCTGTTTGAAGCTCAGAGGTTTCCAGATCTCCAATTTCAAGTCAGTAAGTGGTACACCTCAGCTGGCAGGTGGCCCCCTTTATGTTATGTAGCTTTCCAAAGTGTTCCACTGTGGAATCTGCTGTCATCTACTGGAACCAATCGTGAGACCAAAAGTAGGTAATAAAAATGTTAAATACCTAATGATTTATCTTCTGAGAAAGGTGTTAATTCCTCAATCTTCATGCAACCTTTAAAAAGAATTCTCTGGGCCATTTTATTAAACATAAATTCTTGTTGGTAAGTTATGAAATCATGCCAGTGTAGCTTTTAGAACTCTGAAAATCAATCAGAATTAACATATTGTTAGGGCCTTTCACACTTATCCCTGATTTTAGGCATAGTATCAGCAGGGCATGGTGGCTCGCCCTTGTCATCCCCACACTTCAGGGGGCTGAGGCAAGGGGATCACTTGAGCTGGGGAGTTTGAGACCAGCCTGGGCAAAATGGTGAGACTTCCATCTCTACAAAAAGATATAAAAATTAGCCAGTTGTGGTGGTGCGTGCCTATAGTCTCAGCTACTCTGGAGGCTGAAGCATGAGGATCACTTGAGCCCAAGAGGTCAGTCGAGGCTGCAGTAAGCCATGATCATGCCACTGTAGTCTAGCATGGGAAACAGGGTGAGACCCTGTCTCTTAAAAAAAAAATAAAAATTAAAAAGGCATAGTATCTTATTTCAGATTTCATTTGACAGATAGGAGTGAAGACCCTTAAAATGTGCCAAGTCATGAAGAATTGTAAGCACAATAAAAATCTGGTAGACTCTTGAGTGTTCTGGTTGTTTCCTTTTACCTTCCCTGCTGTGAAAGTAAATCTCTTGAGTAAATCCTAGATTTCAGAAGGTTTCAATTTGACAGATGCTTCTTTTTTTTTTCTTTTTCTTTTTCTTTTTCTTTTTTTTTTTTTTTTTTTGAGGTGGAGTCTCACTCTGTCAGCCAGGCTAGAATGCAGTGGTGCGATCTTGTCTCACTGCAACCTCCGCCTCCTGGGTTCAAGCAATTCTCCTGCCTCAGCCTCCCAAGTAGCTAGGATTACAGGCGCGCGCCACCGCACCCAGCTAATTTTTGTATTTTTAGTAGAGATGGGGTTTCATCATGTTGGCCAGGCTGGTCTTGAACTCCTGACCTCAGGTGATCCGTCCACCTTGGGCTTCCAAAGTGCTGGGATTACAGGTGTGAGCCACTGAGCCCAGCCAATGCTGCATTTTAAAAGATAGATGTTTCCATGGCCAGAAAAATATCTGCTAACTAATCTTTGCCAATTAGAAAAGTTTATTTTTTCTTCCGTTATACTTACTCATTATTTTCAAAAGTTAACCAAAAATAATTCCCTGTGAACAGAAGTTGTTGCTGTTACGTGATTGCCACAATAGCAGCAATGCATTTCTTAGGGTTTTTTTAAATGGAAAATCACACTTTATCTGAAATGTAGTTTCAGGATTAAAAATTGTATGTGTGCATGTGTGTGTGTGTGTAAAGATTATTAGACTCCAAATACACTTTCCTCTAAATGAAGACCTATGTGACTTTAAAATAGAATAAATTCTATCAAAATCAGAGCTACCTGAGGAAATGAAAATAAAGGTAGAACAGAGTTTTCCTTTGATAAGAAGGTGGTGGAGAACTGGCCAACCACAACTGCAGGCGCTCGTCTTGGGCTGTTTCCCATTCAGAAGGTCCCTCCCTCTCTCCTGGCCTCCCCTCCCCCAGAGTCTAATCAAAGGATTAGCCTACAGGTTTGGAAACAACAGCCGCTTGAGTTGAAGGCTTTTTACCCCCTTCTTGTGATTAAATGCAGGAACTAGAACAGTCTTTGGCTAGCTGGACTCAGAACTTGAAAGAACTTCAAACTATGAAGGCGGACTTAACCCGGCACGTTCTCGTGGAAGATGTGATGGTTTTGAAGGAGCAAATAGAGCATTTGCACAGACAATGGGAGGACCTCTGCTTAAGGGTAAGTCAGCTCACTGCAGGGCACGGCTGTTTGGGAGTGGATTGAAATGTCTCTGAAGGCCAGACAAAGTAGAAAGGAGCTTAATTTCATTGAACCGGAGGCCCTTTTCAGTGGGACCCCTGGCCCGGCCGCTGCTCCTTTAGAAGGCAGCAACAGGTTTAACAGATTTGACCCTTTTGTTTCTCCAGCACTAAATGCTAGAACTTTGCACGCTTTTAATGAGCTTTTTTAAAAAGTCACTTTAAGTGGAGACAGAAATTGCAATTCTGATCAGATGTGTAGACTGCTCTCTGGCTTGTGTAGGTGGCAAGTCCTAATCAGTGTATCAGAAGCTGGACCCAGTGAAGAGGTCCTTTACTGGGGAGTCTCTTCTGGGCCTAACAGCAGGAGTCTTACTTCATGCCCACCAGGCATGGGAGCATTTCATATGAGTACTCTGCATTCACAGGAACCTGATGTTTATTTCAAGTAGCTGGTTTCTAAAATCCTGTAAGAGAAATGATCAACTGCTATGTTGTCTCAATGGATCACTTCAACTTATTAAGAATGGGATTGTATTAATAGAGTATTACACGGTATAGGCTTGTGACAGGATCAGTATTGAATTAAGGGGTTCAAATAGTCTTAAAGATCTTTGTTTTAAGAACAGAGAATTCCAACGAAAATAAATTCCTTAATCTCATTTTTGTGAATTAAGAGATGTATTTAAAAAGTTGAAATTCAGACACGTTCTCCTTGATTTTAGTATTTAATATTCACAATGTACCCTAATTTTAAATGTTCTTTTAGAACTTTTCAATTTTTATACAAAAGAAAATGTTTAGAATATATGAAAAGTGTTCTGAAAGTTAAGGTAGACAGGAAGACTGGGGCCCAGATGTTCCTAATTGTTACTATTATGAAATCAATCAGAATGACAATGTGCAAAATGCCAGGATTTTTAAAAGATAAACAGATGCCCCGAGGAATGGAAACACAACACTTGTTTTTCTAGGATAGTTTTTCAAGCCTTTTTAACACGTTTGGCTGGCTAGGATATATAAGCATTCAGTATTTTCTCCTCCGAAAAGAGCAGAGGTTTCTTTATACACAGCAGGAAAATCTCAGAGAATTCACCCTTGGTTTCCTGGTCCATATAGTGGGGTGTCAAAACTTTACCAAAAGAACTCTTAGCCACCCCTTTTAACGCTAAGATTCTGAAGATTCTTAAAACCTGGGAATACTTTTGTACATCTAGTTAGGCTGATTTGCATTATTTAAATTTATATTTAGTGAAATTTAAACCTTTAAGGAGGAGGACCCTTAGCTGATGTCAGTTTAGGGGTTACTTATGCATAATGGGGTATTGGGTATTTTGGGGTCAGCCTGCTTGCTGCAGACCAGCTGTTGATGATACTTTTATGGTTTCCATCCAAAATCCAGTGCATAACGGGCAAGTGGGTTAAATGAGTGATGTACATTGTTTTTGGTTTTGCTTTGTTTTGAAGCATAACACTAAGGACATTTAAACGGCTGTAGTTTTCCTGGTCCATTTGCATTATAAATGTTTGATTGACATTCTATCTGGATTAATAGTTTTTAAGTTAAATAGGACATTGTCCTTATGTTGGTATAAGGATTTGATTCGTTGTTATAAGGGCAAGGATTTGGGTTATATCTTCATCTAGCCTTTCCTGTTTCTAATTTTTACTATAACCAGATAGTAACACACGAGTATTGGATAAAAACAATCCTTCCAATCAGCTACATTTCAGGTACAGTATTTATTTTGTTATTTTTTATGACATTTATCACAGGTGTAAGGAACTTCTGTTGATGCTAAACCCTAGGTTTAGAAGAGGCAAAACCAGACAAGGTTGAGTGCGGAGAGCTACTGATTAAAATGAATGAAACTCAGTTTTTTTGAGGGAGAGAAGGGGGTGCTTTCCTTCCTGGCTATACTCAGCTGCCAAATGTATTTTCATTTGCAGGTGGCCATACGTAAACAGGAGATTGAAGACAGACTCAATACATGGGTTGTATTCAATGAAAAAAATAAAGAGTTGTGTGCCTGGCTGGTGCAGATGGAAAACAAAGTTCTACAGACAGCGGACATTAGTATTGAAGAAATGATTGAAAAGTTACAGAAGGTAAGGGAGGACACCCAGGTGGATGTAGTTATGACTACCATGGAATTGTCGGCCCTCCTCACTCCTAAGCCCAAACAGGGGCAATGTTACGGGTGTTTCCAGTAGCATTTTAGAAATTTGAAGGGACTTCACTATTTTCGATCCTTTTGAGAGAACAGTTGGAAGAGAGGAGGTTCCAGAGAGATGGGAGTGTGAGACCATTGTCAGTGGGCATGGTACCGAGGAGAGTTGCTTTCTCTCCATTAGAAAGTTTCACCAGGGAAGGGGCTTACATATCCTTACATGTCAGCTGATACCCCAAGTGAGTTAGGGTTTCTCTAGTTGTTATTAAGAAGCTCCCCTTGGCCTGGCGTGGTGGCTCATTGCTGTAATCCTAGCACTTTGGGAGGCCAAGGCGGGTGGATCACCTGAGGTCAAGAGTTCAAGACCAGCCTGGCTGACATGGTGAAACCTCGTCTCTACTAAAAATACAAAAATTAGCCTGGTGTGGTGGTGGGCACCTGTAATCCCAGCTACTTGGGAGGCTGAGGCAGGAGGATTGCTTGAACCTGGGAGGTGGAGGTTGCAGTGAGCCGAGATGGTGCCATTGCACACCAGCCTGGGCAACAGAGCAAAAATTCCATCTCAAAAAAAAAAAAGAAGCTCCCCTTGTTAAAGGGGAGAGGCCAACAGCAGTGAGGCTCATAATTTTGAAATGATCAGTGGTCTCCACAGGGAAAAGTAATAACATTCTTGCTGTAGTCACCTAAAACACCACCCAGTCAAACCTCTGGAAAACTGTAACTGATAGCAGCCTAATTAGTTATGCTCAGTTGTCCTCAGCTCCCACGTAGGTTAGAAGAAATCTGTGAGAGGAAACAGAGGGCTTTTGAATTAAATAACTATTAAAAATAATTATTGCCTTACATATTTTGCTTTTGCCTGATGCGCGTTGCCTGACTTTTTAGCTGCTCACTGAAAAGTTAGCTTCATTAGAAGGTATGAGGTTTTGAGACAGTGTCTCACTGTGCTGGAGTGCAGTGGCGAGATCATAGCTCACTGCAGCCTCAACCTTCTTGGCTCAAGGGGTCCTCCCACCTCAGCCACCTGAGTAGCTGGGACTACAGACATGTGCCAGCATACCTTGCTAGTGTTTTTAGAAGTGGGGTCTTGCTGTGTTGCACAGGCTAGTCTTGAACTCCTGGACTAGAGTGATCCTCTTGCCTCGGCTTCCCAAACTGCTGGGATTATTGGTATGAGCCACTATGCCTGGCCAATTTTTTTTTTTTTTTTTAATTTCAAGAGGTAACTCTATGTCTGTGGCTGGAGAAGAAATGAGTTTGGGCTAATTAGCCAGGCTTTATGTTTTGGTGCCTTTGCCAGGACTGCATGGAAGAAATAAACTTGTTTAGTGAAAACAAGTTACAGTTAAAGCAGATGGGTGACCAGTTGATCAAGGCCAGCAACAAATCAAGAGCAGCTGAGATCGATGACAAGCTCAACAAAATTAACGATCGTTGGCAACATCTTTTTGATGTCATCGGATCAAGGTAAGAAATGGGCTAAAAATGATTACTCTCCAGGAACAGTAATTACTTTACAGATCTAGTAAACTGAACCCAGTCTTCCTCTAAGATGATCCAGCAATTTTATAAGTTTACAGATTAAGGCAAAGTTTGATAAAAATGAGTGGAAATTCTTTCAGTGTTACAAAAAGAATTATATGCTAGTATATCCCACCTTAATATTTTTTCTTTAGCTTACAACTTTACATGAATTAGAGTAGTTTTAATGAAGAGTTGGAAACTGATTTGGAAAGGGATCCTTGGGAGGGGGTATTGTTTAGAAATTCTGCCTCTGTGTTAGCATTTGTGTGTCCCCACAGTGGAGCCATGCCCGTTGCTCCTGCCTCAGTATGGCAGATCAGGTAAGGGCACAGGCCTGGCTTCTGGATGCTGGGGGCCCATGACTGCCCCACTACTTGCACTCAAGGCAGGGGCAGGAGTCTACTCTTAAAGTGTGTGGGCTCAGAGTGCCAGGTCTCCCATGGGTGTCTTGTCCTAGGATGTGGATTTGGGCGCAGCCCAGTCCTAAATCAAAGGACCACAAATCAAAGCTATATTGGCCAGTGCAATCTTATCAGAAATAGCGCTGATAATTTTATCTCTCCTCCCAAAATGATGATGATGCCCAAAATTTTTAAATGTCTTCAAATTCCCTCTCTAAAGACAAACTCCAGGTGGATGTTTTTTCAGTGGCCACGTGGCATACAGCGAACCGTCACTTGGCCTTGGGACCACTTGTGCAGCTGTGCTTCCACTGGCCACACGGGTCCTTTCCATAGCAGTGTGCTCAGATGTTTTGAACAACACATAGAATTTGGAATATACAGGAGAACCTATAAGGTGAATAAAGAATTGGGAGGTGATAAAAGTAAGATACTTTTATCTTATTATTTAAATTTATTATTTAAATTAAATTTATTATTTAAATTATTATTTAAATTTAATAATTTAAATTATTAAGTTTGGCATCTTCTTTACCTCATTGTTTACTGGAAACCACAAGTGAACCTGAGTCAATCAACAGAGGCACTGAGCTAAATGCTATGAGAATTACAGGCAGGAAGTAAGTTGAGTCAGTTACATTAGTGGGAGTAGGTATCTGAGCATCTGTAAAACCAAGTGGTTTGAGAGCTCAGATCCCATCTTCCTGGGATTAGGAAGAGCCTTACAGAGGGGCTGCGTTCCCAGATGGTCCTGAATGAGGGATTGCGGTTACTGGTGGCAGAGAGAGAGACACATACATTGAGAGCAAACAGGTACAGAATAGAGCAGCATCGAAGCCGTTCAGGAAGTGATGAGAAGCCCCACTGGCCCCAAGCATAGGAGATGAGCTAGAAAGATGGGCTGGGGCTAAATCTTAGAAGACTTTAAATCTCTGCTAAATACTTGGCCTTCTGAAAAAATATCTGAGTCATGCCTGGTTCCTTAGCAGTGGAGGGTTTGCTGAAGACAAATATTAGGGGGATTTGGCTGGCAACATAGACTGGCCCAAATTCAACTTCTCTCCACAGCCAGTTGGGGGAAAAAAAACAAACCTACAGAAATGCATGATGGAAACCTAAGTAAGGATTAAGAGCACAAGTTTTGAACCATTCTTGACTTTCCCACTTATTCACTGTGGAAACTTGAGTATGTGATTTAACCTTTCTAGGCCTCAGTTGCTAAATCTGTAAAATGGGTCTAATTGGCTTACATCAGAGGCCGCTGGTGCTGTCTGCTGTGAGGATATGTGTCATGCCTTTGGTATGGGGCCAGCACATATGAGCCAGCATTTATGGAGTGGTTGTTTTCATTACTTTTCCATGAGAAGACTCTTAGGTCGTGTGTTTATTGAGTGGAAGATGATTCTGTTGGTTATGTCTAGTGATGAGAGGTCTTTCCCTAGTGAGGCCTGCAACTGGACTACCTAATTCTCAGAGCTTAGAATAGCGCGTCAGATGTTTGTTGAAATGAGTAAATGTTTCAGTGCATTCGTTAAGAATAAGATAATTTCTGTGGGATAAATTGTGTCTTTGTGGTCGCCTTTATAGCCTAAGTCTTCTCGGGCCCTTGGCACTAGTCGAGGGTATGATGGCATCAAACCCATTCATGGATCATACAGGATCAAGATCTAGCTAATGTTTCCTGAAGGTTAGAATGACAGTCCATTTTTAATCGTTCATGCTCTGCTTGTATCACTTTGGAGTTTAACAGGCTATTTGCTTTCCTCGCTCACTCTTTGCCTGTCTTCAGCCAACCTTTTGGTGGGAAAGAGATAAAACAGTGGGTAAAATTTTATTGATCTTTTTGGAAAGAACAGCTGGGGGAAAAGGAGTTGAAATAATAGCAAATATATTGCCAGCTGCCTATATTCTTAACAATATGCCTTTTATGTGTGATTTCACTTAAACTTCACTGTGATTCTGTAAAGTAGATACCATTGTCCCATTTTACATACCAAGAAGGAAACTGAGGACTGAAGCTAAGCAGCTTACCCACAGTTACATAGCCAGCATGTGACGTAACCAGGATTTCAACTTAGGCAGTGTCACTTCCCTGACAGCCCAGACCCTCTCATTTGAAACACTGAAATGAGCAGTACGTGCTGAGTGCTAATCCCTTCAGCACTAAGGAATTTGGGAGGGAATCATTTTTCTTATTTTAAAGCAAGGGCCAGGCTGAGACAGACAGCTAGAATCTAAGAAGCTCTTAGCTGAGTTTATTGTTCAGGTGAATCTGTGGGTTGAGGCAGCAAACTTGGACCTGTCATAATCAGCCTTACATAGAATCAGCCTTACATAGAATCCCTGATGCTGACTTCACCCTGGGCCTTGTACAAAGGAAGGGAAGGGTTGGAAGCACAGGCTGCAAACTTTACATTTGAACAGTGGCGACAAGAACCTGCTCTGCGGGATGCCCTGATGGCTTCATTTGCCCACAGGATCCAGGACACCATGTAGCCTCTTCCATCCTTCCCACAGTATTCTGCTTTGGCCCTGTGGGCAGGGAACAGCAGCTCTTGTTAAAAATAAGATCGGCCAGGCATAGCGGCTCATGCCTGTAATCCCAGCACTTTGGGAGGCTGAAGCCAGTGGATCACCTGCAGTCGGGAGTTTGAGACCAGCCTGGCTTACATGGCGAAACCCCATCTCTACCAAAAATACAAAAACTACCTGGGCGTGGTGGTGCGCACCTGTAGTCCCAGCTACTCAGGAGGCTGAGGCAGGAGAATGACTTGAACCTGGGAGGTGGAGGTTGCAATGAGCCTTGATCACACCACTGCTCTCCAACCTGGGTGACAGAGCGAACTCCGTCTCAAAAAAAAAAAAGATTGGAAGGTGATCCTACATAGGTACCCGGCCTTGTTACTGCAAGATCTTAACTATAAAACTAACTTCAAGGTTAAGAATGGTTTTCAGAAGTCCAAGGCCTCAATAAATCAGTTTTAATTCACTGGAGGAAAAAATGGGATTTAGGATAGGCTTCCTTAAAAACCACATTAGATTTCTGATCATTTCAGGTGGTAGCCTCCATTGTTGGATAGATAGGAGAGGAAACCAACATTGCTTATTTTTTAAGTGCCAGGCTCCTCACATAGATTATTTCATTTGAATTCTTAAAACAACACTGCAAAGTCAGTGTGATTCTTCATTTTACGGAGAGGGAAACTGCAGCTCAGAGAAGGTAAATAATTTAGCCAAGGACAATGGGAATTCTGCCCGGGACAGGAATGTGCACATAAGATTACTTGGGCCCTGGTGTGGGTATAAAGAGGCCTGTGATTGGCTGTCCCTCCTTGTTGCTCTGGGAGCTTTTAAAAGTCCTCATGGGCCCTCAGGCAGCTTCTTACAGTGGTGACATCTACACTCTTATGAAACATGCAGGTAATTTCATCAACACAGGTCATTTAAAGCACTATATATATGTTTGGTGATTGTAACTATGTAGAACCCAAGTTGATTTGATGACAAGAAATATTATATGCTACTACGTTCATTTGTCAAATTAAAGGAAGAGTTAAACTTTTTTTATCTGTGTCTATTAGCCCCTCTCCCTCCTCTTTTCTTCTTTTTTTTTTTGAGACAAGGTCTGGCTGTATGGCCCAGGCTGGAATACAGTGGCACAGTCACAGCTCACTGCAGCCTCTACCTTTCAGGCTCAAACAATTCTCCTACCTCAGCCTCCCAGGTAGCTGGGACTACAAGCACACACCACCATGCCCGGATAGTTGTTTGCTTTTGTTGTTTGTTTTTTGTAGAGATGGGGTTTCACCATATTGCCCAAGCTGGTCTTGAGCTCCTGGGCTCAAGTTATCCTCCCACCTCTGCCTCCCAAAGTGCTGGAATTACAGGCATGAGCCACCTGCACCCAGCCTTTGATAACGTCTTTGAAAAGTGACTCAGCAAAACTTCTGAATGCAAGACAGACAACTAAATTACAGAAGGTGTCCTTCAGAACTGCCAATATGTGTGTTCCTCTGTTTTGGAGGAATCTGGATTACCTAAGAACAGTTGAGATACAAATTGTTGGGTGATAGACAGAAAGATGCAAGGTTAACGTTCACAGCCAGCACGGGCCAAAGCTCTGAAAAGACGGTCCTTGGATCTCATCCCCTCAATAGGACTGATGCCAGAGAAGGAGTTGACCTGCCACCTGATCTCACCTATGCCTCCCCTTATTTTTAAAAACCCAGTAGTTGAACTCCTTAAAAATTCATCTACTTTTGTTTCCCAGAACTCCCTCCCCATTTCCTTAATGAGAGAACTCTGCTTGTCCTATGAACCAGAGCTCTGTAGACACAGGTGGGGCTGTGTCTTCAGTGAGTCCCTCTGGCAGGTTGCACATCTTGATGAATTCTTTTAGAGACTTGGGATCAGGGTGAGGAACTCTTTAAAGACTCTTTCTAGCAGCATGTGTGAATAATCTGATGAAAGCGTTCAGTATCTGATACAGGTTGGACAGCGAAGTGGAAAAGCATACCCTCCCAGAAAGTTTACATTGGTTTTTCTCTTGGTTGGAATCATTTTAATGAAAATGATTGTAATTTTCTTTTTGCTTATCTGTACTTTCTAAATGTTCATTATGGAAGATGTCATGTTATAACATGTCATGAACAAATGTCATCAATTTTATGTTCTCTCCTGAATTTCTCTCTGATGGTAGCACCACTAGCAAGGCCTGTCGTCCTTATTAAGCCACTGACAAGGAGGGACTTTCCTAGTACCGTATGACCTTGAAGATTAGCTCCTTCCTGTTTACACTGAATTGCTCTCACTATCAGAAATATCAAATCCATAAAAGGAACTTTTTAAACCAAGCATAACTTCTAAATTTTGCCTACCAACCTGAAAAGCTCACCTACTTTATAGTAGTGGCAATTAAAATGTTACCGTTAAACTCAGAAGTTACGACCGTGGCAGTTGTGTGTTAAGATTGTTTTCCATGCCTTGCAGAATGGGCAGGAATACGTGTGCCTTTTTAAACTGATAAAGCTTTTCATTGCTCTCCTTTTATCTGTATTTTCTCAAGGTTTTCTGGAACACCAAACAATGCTGCTAGTCACGAAGTTGACTTGCGTTGGTCTTAGCAGGTTGCCTGATCCAGTGGGACTGGAAGGATTTAGGGATTATTTTAGCACAGGGAGAGCCAGATGTGAGGCTCCTCACTTCCATTTTCCTTCCCATCAGCCTGATCCTTCTGCCTCTAGAATGGGTGGCCGCTGTTCCCAGACCCTGCAGAAATGCCTTCCTGAGGGTTGGGGAGCTCCCCAAAGGAAAGAGGATAATGAGCAAGCGGCCTGATGGCCAGCATCAGGCAGGTCCAGTGTACTGAGCCTCAGAGGTTCACGTTCAGCAGGTTGCAGGAACAGCCAACCACGTGGGCCTGAGTTAGATGCAGCATTTTGGGAGAACTATTGCCAGATCTGCACTTCTGATTCCACTGGTATAGCACGTGTTTGCTACGTTTCAAGGTGGGGATATAATAATGACTAAATGTTGGTCTTTAGGGACTCCTGAAAAATGATATCAAGTCTCAGAATAAGGCTGGGAATGAGTCTAAGGTAGACTAGACACAAACCAAGCACTGCCACTCAGGATTGTCCGAAGAAACTGAGGCTATAAATAAGGAGGAATTTTCAGACACATTATGGTAAACCCTGGGAGGAGCTAGCAAGGAAAATTACAGAATTTCTTCCTCTGCAATAAATTCCCTTTATACTGCAAAATAGAATTTTTTTGCACAAAGCAGATAAACTAAATGACCCTCCTAAACCAGGATGTTCAGGACCAAAAGGGCAGAGCAGAAAACCCCCACAGGGATATTTCTTCTTTAAGAGGACAAGAGGAAGGCATTCCTATTGGACTCAGGGGCTTCAGATTTTGCTGTTTCTTTTAAACCTGAAACAGAGAAATTTAATTTGAGGAGGACAGAAATCCTCTTTTGCATGCCCCAAATCTAAATGTTTCTTCTCTCTGTTTATAGCACTTCATAAATAACCCATAGCCAAGATAACAGTGTGACTTTCTTCCCCCAGCGTTGCAATCCTGTAGCGTCAGAACAAAGACTGTGTGTGTGAGGAAAAAGCTGGAGATATTTGTTTACTGGAAGGAAGAAAACTGAGATTAAAAATTGCAGTTAGCAGGGGAGAAGGTGTCTTCCTTCCCGCTGGCATTGCCCTGTGCCTGCGAGCCAGCCAGCCGTGCTCACAAGGAGCCTTGGAGAGGGCTGCGTCCGCCTCTGTGCAAGATGCTGAACCAGTGAAGAGGGCACGCTGGGCAGGGGGAGGGGCTGCCTCGGCCCTGGGAGGTGGAGGTGCAGCCGGGAACTTGGAGCTTTCGCTTAAACATAAGGAATGATTTTTTCTCATCAACAGTAAGTGCCATTTTCGTCATCAGCTCTGCATTGGGCCGAGGCGCCAGCTGCTGTCCCTTGTGTCTTGCTCTCTGGCTGTGTCGCTTTGGTTACAATAGAAATCACCGATGAGATGGTGGCTGCGGAGTGTTTGTGCTCAGCCATCGGGGGATGGGTTCTTTCCCAGCGTCAGCATGCGTGTGGTGTCTGCAGTCTGCCTCTGACAAGCAGGGCAGAGGAGTGATTATGCCGTGTGGAAAATGGAAGTCCTCTGGTGACAAAAATGCTTTAAAGAGGCAATGAGCTCAGACGTGTATTGTAATGCCTCTGCCCCTAAATCAGGGCTTCAGGATCTTGGAGTAATGCATTATTTTGCCATAAGGATGTTTAGTCATGTGAAAAGATACAATTGTACAGGATTTGTACAGTGTTTTTTGCAACTGACAGCTGCCCGCAGGTTTGACTATTTGTTTATTTCAGTACAAATTCAGATACTTGAACCATCTCAGTTTTCCTTAGTATTTTTTAAATTAGGCATAGGAATTTTTTTGTTCACTTAGACTGATTTAGGGCTTTTATAATTTAACTGTAGACTCCTGAGCACAGAGGATAGGACTAAATGGTAAATTATTCCATATGTATAAATTTGACATGTAAAGCCTTCATCATACATTGTTAAGGCTTAGGCTTGGTATATAGAATGTTGCTAACCTGACTTGATTTTGTTTGTTTGGAAGGAGAGCAGTGTTCATCAATGTTATATTCTCATCCATTGCTAGTTAAAAGAAAAACTTTATTTGCCTTGATTGTTTTCTGCATTTTTACCCATAATCACTGCAAAAGAACTCTTCTAATTTAAAGCGGCTCTTAGGCATAATTCTTTTGTTTGGTTTCATAGAAAACATTTTGCTTTTGTTCAGGTCTCCCAATAAAGAGCCTATGCAGGTGGAAGACTTCGCTTTTGTACCTAAAAATTTTGTTTTTCTGATTCTCATAACTGGAATTTAATTCAGGAAATCATGCTGCTTTTTCCTGGAGAAAGGTTATTTGTTGAAATGTCTATGTGAGAAATGTTAAGAGCACCTGGGTCAAAACCTGGGCAAGTGCAGAGATGGTGGCCACGGCAGCAAAGCGCTCAGGTGGTTGATGTCAGGCAGTGTTGTGGTTGCTTCTGTGTGCCAGCAGTCTGGTTTCTGAATAGGTTTTCTCATTTCCAGATATTAACTTGAGATTTTAAATTTTTCAAGAGTAGTGTTAACAAGGCCCAACAATGTGGAGGTCAGTTGCCTGGGTTGGCAAAAGACAAATACTTCCTGACCTGGGACAGGTGATAATTAGATTACAGTGTCTGTACAGAACAGAACGATACACGCTCAGCAGTGCACCTGATGAGTCCCAGGGTAAGTTGTTACCTGATGATCAGAGGAACAACATTTAGATTCCCAGGCATTTGGAGGTATTAGGCCTCTGGATGGAGTTTGGGATATACCGGCTAAATCCTGGCTGGATGAGTGCTTTGTCACTTGGTGACCTTCTTTTCCTTCCCTCCCACCTTCCCCCCCTCTTTAACTTGCACTAAGTATGCCTGTGATGTGAATGTCCGTCACTGCTTCATTGGCCCTGTGTGAAACCAGGGCTGAGGAGCACGAGTGGCTCCTAGGCTGGCAGCACACTGCTTTGTGGCAGAAGGGCTCTGATATGCTCTGGTCTTTACCTCTTTTCTTTAAAAATCTAATTTGGCCACCTCTTTATGAAGAAGACAAATCAGACAAATTGGAAGGTATGAGTGAACATCATTTACTCCTTCAACAGCTATTATTGAGCAACTCCTATGTTGTATTACAGTGTCAACATTACATCTAAATTAGGTGATGACCTCTCTGGGAAGAAGTCCTATCTTCCAGCTATCTCTGAATCCTCAGGGTCTGTGCAGGATCCAAGACAAGGCAAATGGTTAAGTGTTTACTGAAAGAAAATCATGGAGGGGAAACGTGGGCAGCATGTATTGAGCCTTCCAGCCTCCTCCCCAGGCACCTGCTAAGAGCCCAGGTTGTAGCATCTACTATATCAGCTCCTACCCCTCAGTGTATCCTGAGCTATGAGTCCAGACTTCTGGTCATGTTCTCTGACTGCAGCAAAATGATCCTGTATCTCCAGTATGTGCATGTTAGTGTGTGTGGGATTATGTGAGAGGATGGGTAGTGCTTAAGAACAGCAGCTCCAGACCAGACTACCCAGGTTAGAATCCTGCTTCCGCTATTGACCATGTGACTTGGGCAAGCTCTTTACTCTCTGTGCCTCGGTTTCCTCATCTGTCAAGTAGGGATAATAATACTACCTATCTCCTAGCATTGTTATGAAGAGGAAATGATGCCTGTAATCCTAGCGCTTTGGGAGGTTGAGGCAGGTGGATCACTTGAGGTCAGGAGTTCGAGACCAGCCTGGCCAACATGGGGAAACCCTGTCTCTAGTAAAAATACAAAAATTAGCTGAGCATGGTGGCAGGTGCCTGTAATCCCAGCTACTCAGGAGTCTGAGGCAGGAGAATCACTTGAACCTGGGAGGCGGAGGTTGCAGCGAGCCCATGTCGCAGCACTGCACTCCAGCGTAGGCGATAGAGACTCTGTCTCAAAAAAAAAAAAAAAAAAAAAAAGTACATGAGTTGCTAACATGGAGCACAACAGGCCTAGCACATGTGGCCATCAGCGTGGGATATAGATGTTTTATTTTAATAATTAAGTTTATAATTTTAAAGCATACACATTGTAGAAATTTTAAAAGAATGGGATGACAGTAGACAGTCTCATATTTTATTCCTACACCCCATTGGTTTGTTCTGAGCACCCCATTTTGGATACCACAGCCCTGGGGAAACCAAGCAAATTATTCCCCCACCTTCTCCATACCCCCTCTGCGTGTTGCACACCTAACCCCCAGGGTTAACAGTTCAAGATCACCACAGTCCTGTGGATCTGTACCCAGGCTGTTGTGTTGCTAGTTAGCTCCTTTCATTTAACCAGTTGAATTCTTCCGGTGTGTTAATTGCTTTAAGTTAGAAGAGAGGAAACAAGGAAAAAGAAAAATATATATAAATAAATACTTGGATTCTAGCCCTCTTCTTTTCAAAATAAGAAAGAGGCTGAGATTCTTAGGGTGGAATAGGGTCAGGGGCTAGATGAAGGCCGTGGGAGATTTCATTCTGGGAAGAGGGAGAAGTGGGGAGGGCAGGAGAGCTGTGCAGAGGTCACGAGCCTGAGCCCTTCCCCCACCCCCGGGAAGCTCTCGTGGCTGGGCCTCTTCTCCAGCAGAGCCTTCCAGGAGGGCAGTCCCTCAGGAACTGCCTGGAGGACTCCTTGTCCCACAGTGCCAGGGGTTCTCAGCTACCCTGGTAGTTGTCTGGAGTGTTCTTTTTGGAACCAGGGCAATCAAGGTGGCAAGATACTGGGGTGAGGAGGGTGTACCTCTGAAGCCATAGGAATGAAGGCAGGATCTAGGTTACAGCTGTATCCAGGCCTGGTCCTGGATTCTGTTACTTTCTTTTTAATAAATCATCTGTGGCTTTGAAGGGAACGTATCCTTGTGGTGTTTGCAGTAAGAATGTAATTTGGAAAACATGGCTCCTTGAAACTTATCACAACTGTAAGTTGCTGGGCATTTATCTCCGAGGCATTCTGCCTTTCACATGTTATATCTCATTCAGTCCCCTCAGCTACCCAGTGAAGGAAGGTACTACTGTTAACACCATTTTATAGATGGCATTAAACATGGCCAGGACGCAAACCCAGGCCCTGACCACAGAGTCTGTGTTCTTCCACCTCCAGACCACATGTCCTTCTTCCAAGCTTGCCCTTGAGAATAAAACACTGATGAAAGAACTTTGTGAGGTCCAATGCCTTGTAAATAAAGCGTGATTGTAGCATCATGTGGTCCAGCATTCACTCTGTGCAGCTGACTTTACATGCAGCCTCTTATTTCAAGCTCACCGCCACCTGCAAGGTGGATAATTTTACAGATCATGAAGAAACTCAGAGTCAGCGGTTAGGTACATTGCAGGGTGCAGAGCTCTTAGATGGGAGAATGGAACTTGGGCCCAGGTCTGCTTGCCTCTGGAGTTCCGGCCCTCACCTCACCCGATGCTACCACTTCCCTGAAGCTTAAGCAGCTTTGCGGGTGTACTTGAAATAAGGGGGCTGAGGTGAAAGGACTTTCACTAAATCTTAAAAGTAGCTGGTAATGGAACTAGAAGTCAGTCCCATGGAAGTGCCTGTCCGTATTTGTCCATTCACCAAGCATTTGTGGAGAGCTTCCTGCCCACCAGGCCCTGTGGGAGGTGCTGTGAGTGCGGCGGAAACTGGCCGGCTGCAGCCTGGCCATGGCACTCCCTGTCCTGGTGGGTGCACAGTGTCTGAGAGAGTGCAAGGTTAGAGGCAGAGTGGCCCCTGAATGCTTGAGGTACAGAGATCAAGGGGCTGAACCGGTTTTTCAGGGTAGGGCAGGGACTATTGAAGGCTTTGAGCGTGGATCAGACTTGCCTTCTAGAACTTACTTACACTTTGGCTACAGAACCAAAGGTGGGCAGGAAGTCTAGGGGGCTGAGAGGAGGTTGTTCGGTCAAGTAAGAGGTGATGGTGGCATGGAGCACAATGCTTCCTGAGAGTTAGGGTCAGTGCACCCATTTATCTCTCTAGTGCTCCCAGCTATGGGGTGCAGTTCTGACAGCATCTCCCAACGTAAGTATTGATAAGTGGGAACTTTCCATTGGAGCCATTACTTTTAAATGTCTGAAATTAACTACAAATCCCACAGAACGCCAGGACAGATCCTGGCTCACCTCGCTCTGCTTTAGGACTTTAAGGAAAGCGGTTTATTGGAGCATTTTATTTTAGTATATATGTCAGAAAAAGATTGTTTTCCCCCAACAGCTACATCACGTCCCCTTGACAGCATGTGGACGTGCACGCCAAGTTGTACTCATGCCATGCGTGTGCTTTCAAATCTGCTCCACGCCGAGTTGGGCCGGATGGGAGCTGAGGCAGACTGGCGAGGGAGATCACATTTAGAACTGCGCTTGCGTGCAGATTTCCTTTGCCCCCTCCCTTTTAGACGGACAGAGATGCCCCATAATCTACCCGCATGGGCTGGTTCAATGTATACGGCTGGGTGAACCCCTCATACTGAAGCGGTAGGGCTTGGCACATGTTCTCTGCTTACTCAGAGAGGAGGGTCCCATGAGAGGCCTTGTGGACCAAATACCACCAAGTGAACCAGGCGTGTAACATCTTTAATCTCCCAGGGTAGATCACCGGCTGCTGCAGTCTCAGGCATACCCACGGCAGAAACTGGGCAGAAGTCAGGAGTGGTTATTTTCACTTAGGAAAAAATGGCATATCTTCTCACCTCTGGAGCCCCAGGAAGATGAACTGGGTCTCAGGGGCTCTCACTCTGGGAATGATAGGACTTCCATTTGCATGGGTGGATTAACTCTCAGTCCTTTTGAAAATCAACAGAGGCAACAGCCTTGCAAAGCTTCACATATTCTCTGAGAACTCGTATCTGGTGACATGAGAGTTGTTCTGATATAAAATCAAAGCAAAATAGATTCTTTTTTACCCTGCAATGCTCTTACTGGCACATTCTTCCACCACTAAGTATTGGGCTTTTGTTTTCCATCACTGGTTTTTTTTTGTTTCGTTTTGTTTTTCTGCAAATATGTGTAGGGTGAAGAAGCTGAAGGAGACCTTTGCTTTTATTCAGCAGTTGGACAAAAACATGAGCAACCTTCGCACCTGGTTGGCTCGAATTGAGTCTGAGCTTTCCAAGCCTGTTGTTTATGATGTCTGCGATGATCAAGAGATCCAGAAGAGGCTCGCTGAGCAGCAGGTGGGACAATCAGAAATGAGCTCTTGCAAGAGTACGGTGTCCGCGATATGCACTGACTGAGGCCTTCCCCGTATATCTATGTGTTTTCACGTGCTCACATTCCATAACATTGGTTTGCTTTTTCCAGAGAAAACTGACCACCTTTCCATGTTCTTATATCTGTCTCTTGAGTGCTCCCTCCCACATTCATGTAGCTTTTTGTGAAACTGTGTGAATACTGTTTAAGATGCAAACCTTAATCTTGGTGGTTAATGAGATTTTTTTAATTATGTCTTTTTTTAACTGATCTTTGTTGTGTTTTGTTAATATAGTTTTGAAAGGCAATGAATTGAAAGAAAAGCAACTTTTCTAACCAAGGAAGGTTTTTATGGGATTATATTCTGTGTGTCTGGTACAGCTTTTTTAAAAAATTAAAACAAGAAAAGGTGTGATAAGGAACATGCTTGGACCAATAGTTTAGGAAGCCTCTTAAGAGCTGCAATGCTCTGTGCATTTTTGTTATCAGATATGCATGCTCTGAGCCAACCCTGGAAATTGGGCAGTTTGAAAGCTGCTGAGTTCTGCCAGTGTTTCTCATTGTACCCACCTGACAGGTGCTCTTTGATGTCACTGGTTTATCGAATCCACTTTCCTGCCTTCCCTGGTCTCATGGCCACATGCTCATTCTCACTTGTAATGCCTGGATATGTCTTTACTTTTTTTTTAAATAGCTAAGTTTATCTTATTCTTTCTTTAGCTTTTGTTCACCTGTTTTTCTCAGACCTATGGGCAGATTCTGTTTCAACCATAGAAGCAGTATGATTCTCAGACTTGAATCTGTTTTCTTCATGTTAAGCCTCCACCACACACCACATACCACAGGTGCTTGGAGACCGGATTGGGGGTGAACCTTTTTCACCAGATTTAATATTTGATACTACTGTTGACATTTTTTTAAGAGATGGAGTCTCACTATATTGCCCCGGCTGGTCTTTAACTTCTGGGCTCAAGTGATCCTCCCACCCCAGCCTCCTGAGTAGATGGCACTGCAGGCAGGCGCCACCATGCCTGGCCCTCCCTGCTCTTGACTTTTCTAAGTGCTATTACAATTACTGTTTAAAAGATACCTGTTATCTGGCTTTCAAAGTGATATGATTTAGTAATGCTACAAATTAAAAATACTGGTTTTTCCACTTAGCCTTGGAACTTTAAGCATGTCTTTTTCATGGAGGTCATCTAGGCTCTGTCTTTGCTTTGTGCAGAAAAGAATATTGATATAAGTATTATGGAATTTTAATGGACATTACAGAGATTTTAATGCGTCTCTCATTGGAGTCACAGCTACTGAACACATCAGTTTTACTTACAAGTGTGATCCACTAGGATGAATGTCTTTGAACAGACTGTGAAAAGGCAAGGCCTTGCAAATAACAATTTACCCTGAGTGGTGAGTTTTTTCAGGTAGATTATATGGAAGCTGTCAGTATCTTTCCCCTTAAAGAATGGCTGGCTAAATTTTGCAGGGGCTGTTGATTGTGTGTTAATTTTTTATAAATCCGAAGTGTGACAGAACATTAAATTGCAGAGAATTTGTTCCCAAAAGCATACAGTTTGGAGCCACTGCTATTCTCTTAGCCTTATTTCTTCCCATCCTACAATGGCACATAATTTCAATCTGGTTGATTTGAAAATTCTGTCTTTATAGAATTCAGCATCACCTTAGTGACATTTCTATCCCTTGGTTACTTAAAAAAAAAAAATTAATGGAATTGGTGTTCAGGACTACCATTATTGTAAAGAAGTTAAATGCTGTGTTAGTTTTCTACTACTGCTGTAACAAATTACAGATTTAGCAGCTTAAAAACGCAAATTTACTATATATCTGGAGGTTAGAGATCTGAAATGGATCTCACTGGGCTAAGATCAGGGTGTCATCAGGATTACGCTCCTTTCTGGAAGCTCTGGGGAGAATCCATTTTTTTGCTTTTCCTGGTTTTTAGAGGCCACCCACATTGCTTGGCTCACATGCGCCTTCTTCTGCCTTCAACGCCGTCAACATTGCATCTCTCTGTGTCTGTCTTCCTAGTCACATCTCCCTCTAGCTGACTCCTCTTCTGCTGTTAAGGACCCTTAGGATTACAGTGGGCCCACCCTGATAATCCAGGATAATCTCCCTATTTCAAGGTCAGCTGATTAGCAACCGTAATTCTCCTTTGCCGTGTAATCTAACATATTCACAGATTCCAGGATTAGGATCTGGATGTCTTTGTTGGGGGGTTGGGGGGTGTCATTGTCATTATTCTGCCTACCACAGATGATCTCAGGATACTTTCAGTATTTTTGTTAAAAAGAATAAGTTACAGTGTGTTTATATTATGCTAAACTCAGACCTTAAGTACCCCATCCAAAACACTGGAAACAAATGTGTCACACAAAAGAATTATGTATGGGCCACTTTTTAAAACCTTACCTAGTGACCATTTTTGGTCTGGGTTAAAAAAACAACCACCTTACCTATGTTTACTTTTCAAACTAAATATAATAAATTAATTGCTTCCAAAAATAAGACCTAAAAACATGGCATCACCTAGTATTGCCTTCTGCAAAAGCCCTCAGCCCCCAAAAGTAGCTAAGAGCCATGATGTCCCCGGATCCTCACTGTAATATACCTGGTTGGGGAGGGGTCAGACCCTATAGGAGTCCTTTCTGTTTCACCTTTCTTATATAGAACACCTTTAAGTATAAGGTAATGGGGGTTATTCCTACGGAATATATCATCTTTAAAATGCACAGGAAGTAGTGGCAATTTTGTGACACTTAAATCACGAACCACTTTCATTGAATCTTTAAGATCCCTGTCCTAGTTTGTTCATTGGTTGGTTGCTTGTTTCTCTGTGGGGTGCCAGATGGTGGCTTGGAGTTGTTGTTAGTTACCCTTCCACTGGCTAATTAATAGCCCCTGCCGTGGGCCAGTTGAGCTTCACCTCAAACCCCCTGAACCATCCCAATACCATCCTGTCCCACTTGCTACCCAAGCCCCTCCCACAGACACATTCAGGAGCTGGCACTGGGGGCTTCACGCTATATGATTTTCTGTCTTTTCAGCCTGTTTTTCTTCTCCTCAGCCACCCTTACCTTCTGTTTTTGGTTCCTTTTTATTCTCATTCTTCTGGCTGCATTCTCTTCTCCAGTTTCATGTCTCCCCTTCTCCTCTTGCTCTGTACCCCCTGGCCCCCAAGTTCCTCCCCAACCTCAGGGTTATGTGTCACCTGCCCAGGGGCAGAAAAACGAAATGAACAGGAGCCTGTTAGAACTGTTGGCAAAAGTCTTTCTCATTGTTTTATGTTGTTTCTTAAATCCACTTTTTCTCTAGGTTTGGACAGTTTCTAAAACCTGATTCTTGTGCAGACTTAGGTCTCCGTGGTTACTAGCGGTAGGATTATTTCAGCTTGCAAAATGTTCTTGTCTAGCACTTAAATGGTCTGCATTTTAAAATGTAGTCTATCACTTTATTTATTTTTTTTTTGTACAAGGTAACTAGTAGGCCATTGTGTGGTGTTTTACATGGTTTTTAAAAATTTTTTGAAAATGTTTTTTGAAAAGTTTTGAAAATGTTTGGGCTTTTTTTTTTTTAACCAAGATGTTGATGGTCTTTTATAAATTATTGTAGAGTTCATTTCTTACGGCCATTTACCCTAAATATTAATCAGTTTTCTTTAGCCATTTGATTCAATGTAAGCTGAATAAATAATGTAGGATAATTGCAGAGTTTATTAAAATACAGAGCATTCATATTGTCCATAAACTAGAACTTCTCTCGGCTTTTCAACTAGACCTTACCCACCTGGAGCCAGATGAGGTCATGGGCATTTTTCAGTTATTAATGATTAGTATTATTTATTTTAATACCAGTATTAGGGTTCCTAATTTATTATTTTAGTATTTACATGGGATATGTATCTTCTAATTTTAGAAGGGCCCATGACAGTTCTGTGAACCGGTAAGAGTTCTTAAAACTGGAATTTTATTTAGATGTAATAACTTTAAAGTTAGTCCTCAAATTGACTCCAGGGAGACTCCCACCATTCGAGCATATCAGGCATTCTACCCACACTGCAGAGCTTTAAAGAAATCACCCTGCACATTCTTCACAGTGCACACAGGGTGGCCAAGTGGAAAACACATCTCTTCTGAATATAACCTGGTGGTGTTCATTTGTACTCGGGATCAGTGTTAGGAACTGCCTGATTTAAAATTCAGTTGGCGGGTTAGCATTTTATTTTCTTATATCAACCTAAACACTCAATGATCGGAATTGTGTATTTATATGAAGAAAAGTAAGAGAATAGGGGCTGGGCGTGGTGGCTCACCCCTGTAATCCCAGCACTTTGGGAGGCCAAGGAGGGTGGATCACTTGAGCTCAGAAGTTTGAGGCCAGCCTGGACAACATGGTAAAACCCCATCTCTACCAAAAATACAAAAAATTAGCTGAGTATGGTGGCCAGCTGCTTGGGAGGCTGATGTGGGAGGATCACTTGAGCCCGGAGGTAGAGGTTTCCGTGAGCCAAGATCGCACCACTATAACAGAGTGAAACCCTTGTCTCAAAAAAAAAAAAAAAGAGAGTATGAAAATAGTGGTCCCATCTAGTAATATAGTAGTAATCTCAAGTTATTTAAATATGAAAGTGACCTGGAATGAAGCTTATATTGCCTTTCTGTAGATGGTGACAGCTACCATTTATAGTACAGTCCTCTTATTAACTGAAATTTGTTGAGTCCTGGGAACTGGATTTAGTCTAGTTAATAGTGGTTAAAGTAGTGTAGATTTTAGAAATTGGTATATTATCAAATAATTAAAATAGAATTTAACTTAGTGTTTGCTTTCTCACAATGTAATTTGGATATTAAAATTAATGCTGTGGTCTCATGTCACTTGTCACACAATTTGGACATCAGGGATGCCTAACTCTTCCAGAATGGCAAAACAGGTTCCTTATCTCTCTCCCTCCCCGCAGCCCACCCATGGGGTACAGCAGAAATATTATCTGATGATGACTAAAAATGCCATGTTTATTCGTGAAGAGGTTTTCCAGTTTTTTCCTATGACCATGCATTTTCTCTTCATAAATGTTATTTTTCCCAAATTGGGGAACTGCATCACTATCATCATCAAAGGACAAGACTCCAGAGACCCCACCTCTCTCCAAGCCACCACAGCTTTGGCTGGACTTTATCAGTTGGGGAGGCAAGGTCTGTCTGCCAGAATTTCTCCCTTGGGCTCATGAAGCCCTTGAATGGGCTCACGGGGAAGCTGTGGGCATCCACACTGCTGCATGCACAATTTGGTGTGTGTTTGAAGAGTTCGGTAGCTGATAAAAGATTGAGAGTTCCTGCTGAAGAGACTCAGTTTCTAAAGACCTCCCTGAAACCAAGTCTAAACTGGAGCCCTTTGGGGTTGGGTGGTATGGAGTAGATCCCATGCATACCCGAAGTCTGTGGGGCGATGGGCTCTCAACAGTAATGGCGCCACCTGTCAGTGCGTAGAGGACACCCATCACCGTGGCACCCCTCACATGGTTCAGCGCATAAGTCCTAGATGTTTCCAGTGTTTAAACTTTGTGTCAGGTGCTGACAGCACAAGGGTAGCACAAAGATGAGAGGGATTCCATGTGTACTGCCAAGTTCATGGTGGAAATCCACCCAGGGAAGTATCCCCTGAGCTGGGAGAAGGGAGGGAGGAACGGAGGTCCTTTGATGCTGACCCTCCTGCTGCCACCAACATCTCAAGAGGTTTCTTACTCTGTTGTAATCACAGGATCTACAGCGAGATATTGAACAACACAGCGCAGGGGTGGAGTCCGTGTTTAACATCTGTGACGTCCTACTGCACGACTCCGATGCCTGTGCAAATGAGACCGAGTGTGACTCGATCCAGCAGACCACCAGGAGCCTGGACAGACGCTGGAGGAACATTTGTGCCATGTCCATGGAGCGGCGCATGAAGTAAGAACTAAGCTCCCCCAAATGCCTTCAGCGTGGTCAGCCGAACTCAATACACCCTTCTGACCTCATTCACAGTAACTATTCTGTTCATTTCACTTAGAAATGCGCCAGGTATTGGCAGAGAAGGCCCAACGCTTATCAAAGGATTTATTCAAGAAAAATGTAACCGGAGTAATGTCTCTCCCCAGCTGTCCTGTGTGGGGTGTGGCTGTGGACTGGCCGCTGTGCTTCCGTTGACCTAGCTGGGCAGTAGTGGAGGCAGCCCTGTCTCCTGGTTTTTTAACCTCTGTGAAGCAGGAGCTCTGAGCTGCTTGGCGCTCCCAGGCAGGAGGAGCACAGACAAGAAGTGGCGTCCCTCTTATTTCCCAGAAGGGGTAACAGGGTCTCCCCCACTAAACCGTGCGGGTGTCAGGGGATAAAAGAAGTGCAAAAGCACAGGCTTGGAGGGGATGGCTTGTGTTAAGTTGCTTTGCTCCCATCAGAATCGAGGAGACGTGGCGCCTGTGGCAGAAGTTTTTAGACGACTATTCTCGCTTTGAGGACTGGCTCAAGTCAGCTGAGAGGACGGCAGCCTGCCCAAATTCCTCAGAGGTGTTGTACACGAGTGCCAAAGAGGAACTGAAGAGGTTTGAGGTAAACACCTTCTCCATCCCGGTCTCCTGATCATAACCAAGCCTGCAGCGAGCCTGGGGGCTGCTGAAATGACTTCCTCTAAGTAGCCAGCTTCCCCTCACCTCTGGCAAGGGCTGCCTAAACCACAGCCTGCCCCCAGCTGCTGAGACAGCTTTGCAAGACATTGCTGATGTACTCCAGCTGCTATGTAATGAACTTGAAAGCCTGTTCTGTAGCTGGCATCAGGACTGGTGAATTAGGCCCTCTGCTGCCATTGCAGTTTGGGGATGAACCCCTGGCAGCAGGTCGCTTGGGATGTAGAAGGGAAGGAGGGCGTCCTGGCACTCTGCATGCTTTGGCTCTGACCCCTCCCATGTGATGCAGGCCTTTCAGCGGCAGATTCATGAGCGGCTCACTCAGCTGGAGCTCATCAACAAGCAGTACCGGCGGCTGGCCCGGGAGAACCGCACAGACACGGCCAGCAGGCTGAAGCAGATGGTCCACGAGGGCAACCAGCGCTGGGACAACCTTCAGAGGCGGGTCACAGCCGTCCTGCGGAGACTCAGGGTGAGCTCCTCTGCACCTGGCTCGGGTGTAGATTTTCCAGGAGACATAACGCACGATACGCAATGGCAGGCTTGTGGCACAAAGCAGCAGGTAGAAGGTTTCACTTCAGGCCTGAGCTGTTTTAACAGTCCTCCAACACAAAGAAGCCCAAAGCTGCCAACGTTCGTTTTTTAAAAGGGGGATTTGCATGTGGGGCTTCTTAGGCAGGGCCTGTTGATGAGATTTGCGTTACCAACGCACAGCTCTTTTTACAACTTCTGTAACCCGTGGTGGTGTGCATGTTAGCTCAGAGTCCAGGGCGCCGCTTCGCTGGGTCTGGAAAAGGCAACACGTGGGCCCCTGGAAGGAGCCCCGCTTTGCCCATCTGTCTGTTTTTATGGGACCCCCCCCAGCTCTCGCACTGAGGAGGATGGACAAGGCACGTGAATGCAAGAGCCCCTGTCTGCACTGGGGGGTTGGGGACTGTGATTATTCTCTGAATTTCAGAGCACACAAAGGTTTGGTTTTTGAAGGTAAATATTCACCTTAGATTTCTGTCATTCAGAAGATGTGCTGTGTAAACCTGTGTGAATCCAGTTATAAACTGAAAGGACTGTCACAGGCAGGGACTACAGGACACAATTTTAATTTCTGCGTCTGTTCTCAGGGCAGAGCATGGTTGAACCCATTCTAGAAAGATGTAAATCTGGGCTTTCTTTCTTTTCTTCCTTTCTTTTCTCTCTCTCTCCCCCTCCCTCCTTCTCAGGAAGACATTGGCTTTTCTAGTAACCTAGACAACTCCCTTGCATTTCTTTCTGTCTCTCTCTCCCTTCCTGTCTCTCTCTCCTTTCCTGTCTCTCCGTCTTTCTTTCTCTCTCTTCTCTCTTTCTTCTTTCTTGACAGGGTCTCACTCTGTTGCCCAGGCTGGAGTGCAGTGGTGAGATCATAGCTCACTGCAGCCTCAAACTCCTAGGCTCAAGGGATCCTCCTGCCTCAGCCTCCTGAGTAACTAGGATTACCGGCGTGCATCACTGTGCCTGGCTGATTTTAATTTTTGTGGAAATGGGGTCTCACTATGTTGCCCAGGCTGGTCTCAAACTCCTGGCCTCAAGTAATCTTCCACCTTGGCCTCCCAAAGTGCTGGGATCGTGGGTGTGAGCCACCATGCCCGGCCTCTTGCATTAATTATCTCCTGCCGATCTGGCTGTGGCTAATCTGCCTTCGTTTGGCACTGAAGCTATACTGATCTGAACATCAGCTGCCTATCTGTGAAGCAGTAACCTGAGAGGCATCCTTAATTGGAGATGATACAACTGCTCTGAGTCTTCTTTCTCTGGGAAGACACATTCAGAATTCTATCAGTGAAGGCAGAAGGGGGCACCAGGCTGGCCTCAATCCTGATATCAAGGCTTTTCCATCTTGAAGCTACTAAATCCTTCCGTCAAGCAAAAGCTGCAGAAGGCCAATGTGTAAAACAGGCAGAAGGCCTGGCCTGGCCCCTCAGGGGGCTCTTCAAAGGACAGAGGAAAATCACTGATTTGGACTAGAGAATTTTAGAATTTCAAATGCTTAAGGACCTCAGAGACCATAATCAACATTCCCACTCTCTCCCCGACTTGCCAGCGTAGAAGCTGGGGCTCAGAGAAGTTGAGGGGGCTTGTTTGGTCTCACAAAGCCAGAACCAGACCCCAGCCTCTGAACAACATAGTGCTTCTGGGGCTTTCTGGGTACCCTAGAGGCAGATTTCTCCCTGAGTATTCTGGGTACCCTTTTCTTGTGGCCGAAGGTGGCCTTGCTGTCTGTCTGAACTCTTGTTCCGTGGTCAGTAGAAATGTGATTTCCTCCCCACTTTTGCAGCATTTCACCAACCAGAGGGAAGAATTTGAGGGCACCAGGGAGAGCATTCTGGTGTGGCTCACAGAGATGGACCTGCAGCTGACCAACGTGGAGCACTTCTCAGAGAGTGACGCCGATGACAAGATGCGCCAACTGAATGTGAGGGCTGCTGCTTCCCTAGCTCTTCTCAAAAGAACACACCTTTGCGTGGGAGAGCTGGCCAAGTGCAAATTTCACACGATACTCTGAGAGCAAATTTCAGAATTCTTAAAGCAGCCAGGCTACATCCCACCTGTGTACTACCAGATTATCACGTGCAAGGATACTGTTCTTTACGGTCCAGGAGTATGGGTGTCACCAGTGGGGCCAAGAACAGAGGTCCGCTCTCCCATTGTTTCTGATATCTGTATGACAGGCTAATCTCACTGTAATTCTCTCCTTGGCCAGATTTTGGAAGAGGTTGAGAAATGGAAATTTGCCTTCCCTAGTATAACAGCACCAGTGAATATTATTGTGTCAGCAAAAGCAAATGCCCATTCGTGGCTTATTATGGGAAATGTTCTGTTCCCAACAAGTTTTGCCATGGCAAGTTCTTTCTCTCACACCTAATAACAGTAAATGTCCACCCGTGTCAAACTTTTAGAATTATTTTAATTGGAAAAGCCAGTGCCCGTGAGGGGGAATATAGACAATCACTTAAAATTCTTAAAATGTCATTGTCACTTAGTTAAAAACTAAAGCTAGAGTAGTAGGTGAAGGAAAACAACAATAATGACATTTGGATGCTTTTCTATGGCCCTGTTAGAAGAAACAGGCAGTGGAAGCTCAGGGTAACTTTCTTTGAAATCCTTTCTTTCTCCTCTCTCAACAGGGCTTCCAACAGGAAATTACATTAAATACCAACAAGATTGATCAGCTCATTGTGTTTGGGGAGCAGCTGATTCAGAAGAGCGAGCCCCTGGATGCTGTGCTGATTGAGGATGAGCTGGAGGAACTCCACCGCTACTGCCAGGAGGTGTTTGGAAGGGTCTCCCGGTTCCACCGGCGGCTCACCTCCTGCACTCCGGTACGGGCACTGCTGCCTAGAAATGGCACCTGGGCTGCTCAGAGTTTACGTGAGACCAAATTTTTAAAGAATTAGGGGACCTGTCTTATAATGGTTAATTATGGTTTATTTTTTGGTTGAAAAGAAAGGGCTATATCAAAACATTTTAATTTCCACTTTTATTAATATAGAGCCACAGTAACTTACAAGTTCCCATTCCCCAGTGGAAAGCATGGCACTTCTGAGGCGCATGCTCCACGAGTCGCTTTTAAGTATTCCTCAGGGCTGGGCTTGTCTGGCATGCGTCACTACCCCTAGAATTCTTGAAGAACTCTTCTGGCTTTTATTACATTAGTAACTTAGGAATGTATTTGCCCTTCCCTCTTTCTTAGAGGCTGGAAGCTTTTAGTATTTGTGCCTTTCTGATGCTTTGTTCTCACCTTGGAAGAGAAAACACAAGAGTTTCAAAAGCAACTTTGATGTTTCCCCAGACGAAAGGCCCTTTTGGGAAGTTCAGGTGGAGTTAAGGCCACTGTTCAAAGCGTACTGCCTTTGTGTGCCTGAAGCTTGAATGACAACCATTGACCGATACGACTGGCCACTCTTTCTTTTTTTGTGTCTCCAACTGGCCACATTCAAATGTAGTTATTTCATCAGACACAGCCTCAAAAATTACCCCACAATTTCTCATTTTTAAGTACAGCCACTTAGAGTCATTTTTCTTAGACTGAAAGAGACGTTATGACACAAGCAGAATACAGACACTGAGCAATTAAGTTGGAGGATAAGAAAGAAAGAACCTGGTGCATCTGGTTGAAGTTTGAGTCTTACCCAGAACATTCAAATGTCCTTTTCAAAAATAGTCTGATTCTTGGAGGAACCTGCCATTAACCATCAATGAAACTTTGGCCACCATTTCCTTATCTCCTAGATAAAGTTGTTTAACTTAGATTATCAAACTTCAGCTTTTTTTTCCTAAGAAAAAATAGCTGGAGGTTTGGGAAAATAACAGATTTTAGGCCCCACTCCAGATTGTCTAAACTGGAATAACCAGAAACAGGACCTGGGAACCTGATCTTTTTAAAGCTGCCTTAGAAATACTATTGGCAGTTATTTTTGGAAACTGCTAGATAGGCAGACTTCTCATGCTCTTCTAATTGCAGAAGCCTATGAGTTGATTAATTCTAACAACTGGATACTGTGGTTTAGGGCTTGGAAGATGAAAAGGAGGCCTCTGAGAATGAAACAGACATGGAAGACCCCAGAGAAATCCAGACTGATTCTTGGCGTAAACGGGGAGAGAGCGAGGAACCGTCATCTCCTCAGTCCCTGTGTCATCTAGTGGCCCCAGGGCACGAGCGGTCTGGCTGCGAGACCCCTGTCAGCGTGGACTCCATCCCCCTGGAGTGGGACCACACAGGCGACGTGGGGGGCTCCTCCTCTCACGAAGAGGACGAGGAGGGCCCATACTACAGCGCACTGTCAGGTAACAGCTGGGTTCCCAGCACCCTGGAAAGTGACCCGTTTGGCTATGTTTTTAGCCCCTTAGCAACACGGCCAGCTCTCAATGACCAAGAGTCCATCTTGTGGCCGACCCTGACTTCTGTGGTTTCCTGTGCTCTATCCTGCCCATCTCTTAACTTACCTGAGAATTGGCTCACTCTCATCACAGGTGGAATGAAAGGGGGAAAAAAAATGAAATTCACATTCAGACACTAAGGTTACTCAGTGATGGCTCTGGCTGTCTGGGAGACTCATCAGTGATTTTTTTTTGATACAGGGTCTCACACTGTCACCCAGGCTGAGGTGCAGTGGTGCGACCACGGCTCATTGCAGCCTCAACCTCCAGGGCTCAAGCAATCCTTCCACCTCAGCCTCCTGAGTAGCTGGGACTATAGGTACACGCCACCACACCCAGCTAGTTTTTAAATTTTTTGTAGAAACAAGGTCTTGCTATGTTGCCAGAGCTGGTCTTGAACTCCTGGGCTCAAGAAGTCCTCCCGCCTCAGCCTCCCAAAGTACTGAGATTGCAGACATGAGCCACTGTGCCTACCCTCCCTTTCAGTTGAGTTTCTCAGAGTGTCTGCAGACTGAGCTTCTCCCTTTGATACCCAGTGTCCTGCTTTGGACAGTCAGGAGTTGGCTGGAAAAAAAAATCTTTCTGGTTTTCAAAATCCTTTTAATTAAAAAAATAAAGGGTAGTTTTCTCCTTCCAGCTGACAATGTTTCTACTGTGTGTTAATACTTGGGCATTAATCTTCAGGCACCTCCAGTGAGGCAAATGACATTGTTCTTTTTCAGATGTAGAAATCCCTGAAAATCCTGAGGCATATCTTAAAATGACCACAAAAACTTTGAAAGCGTCTTCTGGTAGGCCCCCGCCCATGCATGTGTCAACATGGCAGCATCCTGTGGCGCACACTGCATCCTCAACCTCGCTCCCATGTCGTGTCTACCTCTGCCTTCTGTGGACACCATGCGCCTTGGTCCTTGTGTCATGGTGTATTTACACTGCCGTACTCACCCATAACTGCGTGCTCCTTACAAAACCCCATCCAAGCCAGAGCCGTCTCGATGCCAACCCCCTCTCCTCCCTTCAGGCCTGTGCAGAGGGAATTTTTCATGGTGCCTGTTTTGATGATTTTTTTCTCCATCTAACTGAAGTCCTTTGGCATGGGCCAAGCTTTCTTCATGGTGGCTTGGTTTGGAACTGTTTCCTTGCTTTACTGGGATCCCCTGGTGGAAAGGGGTGGGGGGTTGGGGCGGTAAAGGGTGCTGATGATTTGCCACAGGAGGGAAAAAACCTTCCTTTCCTTGATTTGCAGCTCTAATCCTCATCCTTAGCCCCATCCCTATCTGCCATGGTGGGTCGGGGAGAGCCCTGAGGAGCCTTTTGGTTCCCAAGTCCATCTTGATGTTCACTCTTCCCCTCACTCCTGAGAGGCCTTCTGCCATCTTGGTCCCCAGACCCGGCCTTGCCACTCAGTGTCCCTACCACTCGAGACCCTGGCTCCAAAACGCCACTCATCCCACAGCAAATCATGTTGGTCGTGCTCCGTTGTGTACCCATCTAGTGAAGGCACAGTGTTGCTGAGTTGCATGACTCATCTCATTCTCTTCTGGGACATACTGACATTTTGCAAACATGCATGCTTTGCAAGGAAAGCTGCAGAACTCATTTTCATACTGTAACCTGATGCCATGTCACCCGTGACCCGTTCAGTAGGAGAGAATAGACTGTCGCTTGCTGTCTTTCGTTTCAGGTAAATCCATTTCGGATGGCCACTCGTGGCATGTTCCCGACAGCCCTTCCTGTCCCGAGCATCACTACAAGCAAATGGAAGGTGACAGGAATGTTCCACCTGTTCCCCCTGCGTCCAGCACCCCTTATAAACCACCCTATGTAAGTCTTAACTTCACTGGGAGTACAGCCTATGTCTGTGAGTCATACTTACATTTGCAAGAGAGAGAGATTTTGGTGTAAACTGCGTGTATTCATTCCCCAGGCATATTTTGAGTTGGTTTTCTTATGGTGACAGTGTCTCTGTTGAGCTGTCCATACTTCATTAGAACCCCGGCAAAACCGATTAGACTTAGAGATAGGTTCTGGCCAAAAACCATCTTTCTGTATGTTGGTGTGGTGTAACAGTCATTATTACTGTCGAGTCAGGTGTCTGTGCAAATAGTGAGCAAGCAAGGTGCTGGCTTTCCTGACTGCTCCTGAGCTCTCAAGCCTTTGTCTTTTTGTTGTTGTTGTGGAGACGGAGTCTCATTCTGTCACCCAGGCTGGAGTGCACTGGCACGATCTTGACTTACTGCAATCTCTGCCTCCTGGGTTCAAGTGATTTTCCTGCCTCAGCCTCCCAAGTAGCTGCGATTACAGGTGTGCACCACCATGCCTGGCTAATTTTTGTATTTTTAGTAGAGATGGGGGTTTCACCATGTTGGCCAGGCTGGTCTTGAACTCCTGACCTCAAGTGATCCACCTGCCTCAGCCTCCCAAAGCGCTGGGATTACAGGCATGGTCCACTGCATCCAACCTTCAAGCCTTTGTTATGTTAACCTTTTGTCCATACATCCTATTCCAAAAAATCATTGATGGTGTGCTGCAGTGGACACGGATTTGATTCCTAGCCCTGCCAATCCATTGCCATGGTACCTGAGGCACTTCGCCTTGCTTCTGTAAGCCTTTCTCACCTGAGGCTAAAGCTATTTCACCTAGTAGTTGTTAAGATTATTGTGTATAAAGGTAAAAGAAGGTCCTCAGAAGTAATGGTCGTGATTATTATTCCTGTATTGGTCGTGATTATTATTCCTGTATTGGTTTGTTGTTTATAGCAATGGCTGTTTCTTCTTAGTTACATTTCCCTCAGCTGCCTTGAGTTCTTGGCATGCTCTGGCTAGGCAGCTCCTGGGAGGGCAGCCTAGGGCAGCAGCGAGAGAAATTAAGGAGAGAATATTGTTACATCATTGGAGGAGATTCTGCCTTTGCATGCTCAAATCCAAGTCAGCTGATAATGGGCTGTTTGTGTCCAATTCAGAAACACTTCCTCTTGCTTAACAAGCAGGTGTCATTTTTAAAAAGAATAATAAGACAGGGGAAAGACCGCAGTCCCTGACCTCTGCTTTACATCCTTGGCTCATGTGGCTTGGCTATCCCTTCCTGTGATGACGCCTGTGTTCCTCACCTGGCCGGTTTCAAAATCTCAACCCTTTTGTTGTGTCTGAAGCCAGATGTATCACCACAAATCTGAAGGTTTTTTTTTTATTATTTTCATTCTGCACAAATAGGCCATACAGACAGAAGAAAGACAAAGAAAGCAGGGCTTTTCTAAAAGGGACACATTTATTTTTGGAGAGGCCCGAGATAACAGCCCAATCGGCTGTGTGATAACAGAAGAGTCAGTATGTGCGGTGAAAGATAAACACTTGGTAACGAATGCCCCTGGGAGGCAGATTCATCCTCTGTGCATTTCTGATTCTGTGATAATGATGCCAACCACCTCTACAGAGTGACAGGGATAACTAAAATTCTGTAAAACACTATGAAAATTCAAAGTGCTAACGCAGTAACCGTCTGGTAAGCTCAACAAATTGTTCTGATTTGTTTCGTGTGGATCATTTGAGGGGTGTTTGGAAGCATGCCAATTGAAACAGACCCTTTTCTTCCCATCACTGACATCTCATCTGCTTCCCTCTCCCTGGGCCTTAGCTGAGGCTTTATTTCTGCCATCAGCTTTGCCAGCTTATAAATGCTACCTAGACACTAAAGCACCACTGTATTCCTAGCAAGATACCCTTCAAAGGAAAGGGGCCCATCTCATTTCTTCACTGTTAATATGAAATGAATCCAGTTGTTCTTCAGATATCCTTCATATCTACAGATGGTAACTTAAAAACTGGCTCATTCTAGGGAAAGCTACTATTACCTCCAGGCACGGATGGTGGCAAAGAAGGCCCGCGAGTCCTGAATGGCAACCCACAGCAGGAAGACGGGGGACTGGCCGGTATCACAGAGCAGCAGTCAGGTACTGCCTGTAACTGGCAGTCGTCCAGAGAGGCAGAGTATGGTATTTAAGTCCTTGCTCAAGAGAACATTCATTAGATATTAACCAACTATACGATTCGCCAGAACTGGGGGACTTACCCTACAACAACCAATGTTATTTTTAAATCAGCGATTGGCATTCACGAACAAATTCCTAGGCTGTTCAGTGTAATTTGAAAACTATTCTTTAAATGTTGGTAAAATAAGCCTCCTGAGGAAGTGCAGGTTTTCACTTTCTATATTTGTGTGTAAAGATCAGACTTGAGGATGATGATCAGTGTTATCTCAAGTGTCTCTTCATTCGACCAGCCCAGTAATTATAAAAGTAATTACTCAACTAAATCTAAAGCTGACAGCATCGACCTGGTCATTTGTGGACCAAAGGAGAAAACTGAAAAAATTCAGCAGGAACTGAACTGTTGAGCTTGAAACTGTAGCACATAGACCTTCCACTTCATTCCAGCCTCTGTGGGAGTGTACGCCTCAGATCATGTGCTATTCCACATTCCAGGAGAAGAGAGAACTCCCAAAACCAGACCCTTCTGTCAGGGGAATCCCCTACAGTTTTTTTGTTTTTTTTTTTTTTTTTTTTAACCACCCTGACCCCTAATTAGCTGGAGGCAGAGAAATCTGTTGCATTATTGCTTTTTTTAATTGGCGATTTTTTAATTCCAGGTGCCTTCGACAGATGGGAGATGATTCAAGCACAGGAGCTTCACAATAAGCTCAAAATAAAACAAAATTTGCAACAGCTGAACTCTGATATCAGCGCCATCACTACTTGGCTGAAAAAAACTGAAGCAGAGCTGGAAATGTTAAAGATGGCAAAGCCTCCCTCTGATATCCAGGAAATAGAACTGAGAGTGAAGAGACTGCAGGTGAGTTAGAGGTGTGGTGGGGAAGAGGGATTCAGAATGTGCATGTGAACGCATTGCTATGCTGGACGAGCAGATCCCATGTATTCGTGGCATAGGCGCAGCTTGCAGATGGTGTATGTAGAGGTCACTCTCTTCCATTTCAGTTCCATAGTTGGCAAGGACATAGATGCAGATTTTTGTTTTCACATGGAAGAGTATCTGCAAATGATCCTGATCCCAGAGTACTGGGGAGGTGTGGCTCAGATCTCCAGAGATGGAAAAATCTGACATCCGAGGCATTTCTAGACTTTTCTGGAGGTGCTAGTGGACACTGTCAGGCAGTGTAAAACCACTCTTCCAAACTGTATGCTGCACAGTTACACGAAAGACTAGTGGTGGAATCTTCCTTGAAAGGGCTTGGGAAAGGACCGGCTCACCTACTGATGAATCCCGTGGCCTGACCTCATTACCCTTTTATGCAATTAGGATGTGTCACTTACATAAGTCCTGACCCCACTGGAACTAGCCCAGGGAGCTGCAAAGGGACAGTTTGAGCCCTGCGCTTTAAGGGTGCCATGAGCAGTAGCCTGAGACCCAGGGCAGGGGTTTTGGAGGATCCAGGTACCTTTCATATTTGTACTTTTATTTTACTATCTGTGTTAATATATTAGGGGTTACCATTCCTCCTAAGGAATAACATTTCTGGCATTTCTAGGAGCAAATGCAGAATAACCACATATACTTTATCTGGAAGACCTTTAGTCGGTCCAGAAACATTAAGCCAGTTGCAGAGCGGGGCCTGTAGAGGTCAGCAGGGTCTCCTCCCTCCAGCAGGCCTCTACTTTGGGGCCCTGTTGGCCAAGTTCACAGACCTTAAGGCAGCTCCCTCACCTGATGCTTTCCAGCCAGTCCCAGGCGAGGTCACTCTCATTTCTGTGGCCGCAGCTTGGAAAAGTGTGTGGAAAATTTGTTCCCTACTGAGGTTCAAAATGAGCCCCTCCTCCCTACTTTCAGAGCTCCTAACCTCATCTTTTCTCTCTCTGGTAGGAGATACTGAAAGCCTTTGACACTTACAAGGCATTAGTGGTCTCTGTCAACGTGAGCAGCAAGGAATTTCTGCAAACCGAGAGCCCCGAATCCACAGAGCTCCAAAGTAGACTCCGCCAGCTGAGCCTGCTCTGGGAAGCAGCACAGGGCGCAGTGGACAGCTGGAGAGGGGGCTTACGACAGTCGCTCATGCAGTGCCAGGTACGCTGACTCAGCAGCCCGCCTCCCAGAGCCGGTACCCAGGCCCACGTGGTAGGAGCAGCAGATATTTTTATCATCATCAGGCTGCTTCCGTGCAGCCAAATGTGGCTGGTGTCAGGAAACATGTGCTTTACCATTTGTTTCCACAGAGGCTCACCGGCCATCTCAGAGACCTACTCCCTGTCCCAGGTCTCGTCTCTGTTGCCCAGGCCCAGAGCCACTCCTGGAGTCAGGGTTCCTGCAGGCGACCTGTAGGTTAGAGATGCCACCCCACAACTCCTCTTTTTGTCCTTTTGCCAGAGTGATTAAGAGACCTGGCCTTGAAGCAGAGGAGCAGTTACTGCTTAATAGCCATGTGACTTTGAGCAAAGCATTGAACCTCCTAGACCTCAGTGTTCTCATCTGAAAATGGGAATCATTCCCATTTTCTTTTTAGAAAGAACCTTAAAAAGGTTCTTTTTAGGAGTAAATGAGGCAGTATGTATAATCCTAGCCCAGTACCTGACACAGTAAATGCACAGCGGGTGTGAGCTCTGCACCACTGCCTAGCTCTGGCTGTGTCTCAGGGAACGTGAGCCCACCCCAGCCTGTCCTGTTGGGTTGTTTCCCTCTGCCACTGGAACCCAGCAGAGAACCCAGCAGATTGGCTGAGGAATGCGTGTGGCCTTCATATATAAAATCAGCTGGGCATCCCAAAGCCCTACCTTCATAGTGGCACTTTTATTCGCGGCCTCCTGGCACTGTGCTGAGTGTCTTCCTTCTTTCCTCTTCCTCATTTTGGGGCCCTGGCATTTAGTTTAAAGCTGGTCCTCGTATTCAGTGGGTAAGGCCAGAAAAGCAAATGACTGTGATGGATTGGAAGCAGTAAGCCATGTTCCTGGCACACCCTCTTCCAGGGCTCTAAGACACGGCCGCGCTCTGATGTGTTGTTTTTTAAGGACTTCCACCAGTTGAGTCAAAATCTGCTGCTGTGGTTAGCGAGTGCCAAGAACCGGAGGCAGAAGGCTCATGTCACCGATCCAAAGGCAGACCCCCGGGCTCTCCTAGAGTGTCGGAGGGAACTAATGGTAAGTTTCCTCCCAAGGGCTCTGTACTGCCACCAGCCTCTGTCAGCCCCAGAGAGGCAGCACACTCAGGTAGCCTCGCCTAGTATTTCAGGAACTGTGCCAGTGGTGTTTGCCTGTAAATGCACGAGTTCAGCCCTAGTGTTCCTCCAGTTGGTGTTTACCGAGCTGCCCTTTGTAGTTCTGAAGCCAAATGACTTGCAGGAATGGAGAGCCACAGTCCACAG
The DNA here is from genome assembly GCF_000001405.40 of Homo sapiens. NCBI lineage: Eukaryota > Metazoa > Chordata > Mammalia > Primates > Hominidae > Homo > Homo sapiens. Next base: position 64,221,929 of record NC_000014.9, read on the forward strand.
AACTGAGGACATAGGTGCTCTCGATATCCTGAGGAACTTAAGGCCATTTGAGTGGAAGTATTTTTCTCTCGTGAATCCTGCTCATTGGGGAGAAATATGGTGCTCATTTGCTTCACACCTGTGATGAGCTGAATGGGTTTTCTGTATCCACTATGGAAAAATCTTTCTTCTTGGAGGAGAGTCGTGTCCTGGTGTATTTGTCACTAACACACCAAGATGAGATTTCTGTATTCTCACTGGTGCTCAAGGTGACATTTTCATCCATAAATCTGTATGTGGTTTAAATATTTTAAATTTTAATCAGAGTGCTAGCCATTGTTTAAAAATACAGCTTCCTAAAATGTTTGCAAAGCAAAGCAGTGGCGTCCAGTAGAACTTTCTGAAGTGATAGAGATGACCTGTGTCTGCACTGTCTAATAACCTCATGTGGCTTAAAGCACCTGAAATGTGGCTATTATGACTGAAACTGAATTTTTAATTTTAGTTAATTTAAATAGCCACATGTAGGCCGGGCACGGTGGCTCCCAGCACTTTGGGAGCCTGAGACGGGCGGATCGCCTGAGGTCAGGAGTTCAAGACCAGTCTGGCCAACATGGTGAAACCCTGTCTCTACTAAAAATACAAAATAAAATAAAAATACAAGAAAAATTAGCTGGGCATGGTGGCAGGCGCCTGTAATCCCAGCTACCTGGGAGGCTGAGGCACGAGAATCGCTTGAACCCAGGAGGCGGAGGTTGCAGTGAGCCCAGATCGTGCCACTGTACTCCACCCTGGGCGACAGAGTGAGACTCCACCTCAAAAAAATAAATAAATGAATAGCCACATGTGTCTAGTGGCCATATTGCAAGCAAGATAACCACCCTTAACAATTAAAGCCCGTTTGCCTGGTATGAACCTCTATGGTTACGCTGCTGTTTCTCGGTTGATTGACTTTAGAGTTTCCCTTTACTTCCTTCCGTGGTGGATGAGGGACCTGGTCTTCCCACACCACTTGCCTCACTTCTTTCTTCTAATTTCTCCAGCATCACAATTGTCTTCAGAGTGAAAAGAAATTAAAAATAGGGGCAGGGCATAATACACTTGCTATCTAAATAGTGCTGGGCTGGAGGACACAGGCAGATATGAGAAATAGAGGATTCTCGAGTTGAGTACTACCCATCATTCATTCTGGAATTTTTCTGGTACTGAGAAAAACCTCCTGTGTCCACACTCGCTTCCCTTTGGACAGGTCACTGTTTCACACACTTTATCTGTTTTCAGCAACTGGAAAAGGAGCTGGTAGAACGTCAACCTCAAGTGGACATGTTACAGGAGATTTCAAACAGCCTTCTCATTAAGGGACATGGAGAAGACTGTATTGAAGCTGAAGAAAAGGTGCATGTTATTGAGAAGAAACTCAAACAGTTACGGGAGCAAGTGTCCCAAGATTTAATGGCCTTGCAGGGAACCCAGGTGAGTCTACTTGTAGCTTTTAACTGTAAAGATTGCCGTATTACATGCAGACAGGACAGCAGTGTTGTAGCAATGCTCTAAGACAGAGGCCAGAAGCAAGGGCCAGGTGGTCCGAGTGGGGCCTCATGTCGTGCCCTTTTTCTAGCTGTGTGGACTTAAAGAGCTGCATGAGCTCTTTGAATCTGTTTTGTCATTTTTAAAAGGGAGTGGCGGGATGACAATTTTTAAACTTTTTTTAAAGGAAGTGGCTAATTTTTGTATTTTTTGTAGAGAAGGGTTCTTGCCATGCTGCCCAGGCTGGTCTTGAACTCCTGACCTCAAGCAATGCAAAGTTCTGGCATTACAGGCATGAGCCACCATAGCTGGCCTACTTTAAAATGGGATCCAACTCAAAACAAAGGGAATACCCAGACTGTGGCCTCACCAGACTTAGGGCAGGTCTGTTTTCTCCTAAGCAGCCAAAACTAGACTCTCTTGATGGCCACATGATCTCATCACCGACCTGTGATGAGCTCACCATCTACTCAAACTGCTGCTGCTAAACTCAGTCTCCCCAGCTCTGTGCTATGGGTTGGTTTTTAATATGGGTTGGCTTTTCCTTGTTTACATTCCTTTTTGTCCGAAAAAGTCTGTTGTTGTTGGGAGTGAGAGCAATAGAAGAGCCCCTTCAGGAAAGATTTAAGGCTGGGCACAGTGGCTAATGCCTATAATCCCAGCACTTGGGGAGGCCAAGGCAGGTGGATCACTTAAGTCCAGGAGTTTGAGACCAGCCTGGGCAACATGGTGAAATCCCGTCTCTGCAAAAAAAAAAAAAAAAAAAAATACAAAACCAGGTGTGGTGGTGCATGCCTATAGTTCCAGCTACTCAGGAGGCTGAGGTAGAAGGATTGAGTTTGGGAGGTTGAGGCTGCAGTGACCTGTGATTGTGCCACTGCACTCCAGCCTGGGTGACACAGTGAGACTGTCTAAAACAAAACAAAACAAAAAAAGATTGATTTAAGGTAGGGGAGGGTGAGCTATATCATGAAGAATATGCATGAAACACATTTCTGTGCTCAACCTTTGGGGTCTGAATTTCAGAACCCAGCCTCACCCCTGCCCAGCTTCGACGAGGTAGACTCGGGGGACCAGCCTCCTGCAACATCCGTGCCAGCTCCCCGAGCAAAGGTAAGAAGCCCCTTCCTTCTGTGAGAACCTCACTGGTTATTTTTTAAAGTCACTAAGATGAGGGAAGCTTGGGATTCCAAGAGCCCATTAGCCATTTCAGGACAGCACAGGTCTCTGCTGACCCATAGAGAGGCTTACAGTCTGCCTCTAGTCACTCTTCTTTGGGATCACAGTAGGTTGTGAATGAGAGCTCTTATAGTGTCGCTAAAGGGGTTCCCTGATTTTGCCATTAAAAACTTCAACACACTTGACCCTGAAACTGAGTAGATTAACCTAATTATTTCCTACTTCAGGTGACGTTTAATCTCAATTGTATTACTCTAGTCTCCAAAGTTTGGCTGTAACACAACATAAAGGTGGTATATAATTTAAGGGAGGATTTTTTTTTTTTTTATCATTGATAGGACTAAACTGTCTTCAACTTACTAACTGGAGTTTCTTTACCCAGCAGTTCAGAGCAGTGAGAACTACAGAAGGCGAGGAGGAGACAGAGAGCAGGTAACGGGGCTTTACCGTGACAGCAGTGCGTTCCCCTGCTCCACACTCCCACTGACTCAGTCTTGCCAATGCCACTATCAAGGTCCTTGCAAAAATCTGGTTTTCTTTTGTCTGGAAAGGGCTGGTTTTCTCCTCTGAAACTGAACCCCAACTGTTGGCCCTATTTAAATCTCAGGTCTTGGATTTCTTACTTACATAAGCAGGGGCTTAGGTAATAGAGTGGGTTGTGCCTGTGGAGCCTCCCAATCAGCTCTCAACCTCCTCTGTTGGCAGGGTCCCCGGCAGCACACGGCCACAGCGCTCCTTCCTCTCAAGGGTGGTCCGGGCAGCCCTACCCCTGCAGCTGCTCCTCCTGCTGCTGCTGCTCCTGGCCTGCCTGCTGCCCTCCTCCGAAGAAGACTACAGCTGCACTCAGGCCAACAACTTTGCCCGGTCCTTTTACCCCATGCTGAGGTACACCAATGGGCCACCCCCCACATAGAGGGCATAGCTGGCCACAGTGCTACACCACCTGCCTGATTGCCAAGGGTGCCCAGCACGTGGCCCCAGACCAATCTGAGTGACTTAGTGTTGGCAAGGTCCCGGGACCTGTGCAGACTTCTTCTGGGCTTACCCAGCACGGGCTCCCTGGAGCCCAGGGCAGCTTTCAGATTGTGTTCCTCCCCAGGAGCAGGGAACCTGTGTGGCAGGTGCCCCGGGTATTTTGGCAGAACTAGTTGATTAGTTTAGGGATCTCTGGAAATGTCAGTTTCCTGAAGAGCCAAGCACTTTGTGAATTCTGGTTTGTTTGTAAAACAGCATTATTATAATGTAGGTATGGTCAATGAGCAGTGGTGTCCATCACATATATTATAGAAGCAAGCGAGGACATTCCACCCTAGAAATGGTTCAGAAACTCATAGGCACCCTTAGCTGATGGAAACAATCAATCATATTTAATACGCTTAGAATCAGTTTTACTCCAATCAGCTGGCAATTTTGAGCTGCCGGTTATACACCAAAATGTTCTGTTCAGTACCTAGCTCTGCTCTTTTATATTGCTTTAAATTTTTAAAGAAATTGTATTGCATGGATGTGGTTATTTGTGCATATTTTTTAACAATGCCCAATCTGTATGAATAATGTAAACTTCGATTTTTTTTTAAAAAAATTAGATTTTAGCTGGAGCTTTTGACTAATGTAAAGTAAATGCCAAACTACCGACTTGATAGGGATGTTTTTGTAAGTTAATTTTCTAAGACTTTTTCACATCCAAAGTGATGCTTTGCTTTGGGTTTTAACTGTTTGGCCACGGCGGGGGTGGGGGCGGGGGGTTGGTACAGAAACTTGAAGCTGTTTGTGATATGTACAACTCAGATGTTTCTCATTAAAAAACAAAATTAGCCAGACTTCTGTTGTACTGAATTCTGTAACAAAGCAGTTCAGTGGTATGCTTAATCTTCCAAAAAACAAAAATTATTATTTTTAAAATATTTGGAGAGGGCCTTTTATTCTAAGTCTTATTTACAGAATTAACTTAGCTCTGGACCCTCGTGTATGTGTAAATTAAATTATTCAGCGTGTGACCCTCAGCTATTGTAGGGAATGGCAAAGGCAGCATGGCATGAGAGGTGGACGCAAAGGGAAGGATCTTATACCCAGTTTACTCTACTCTTTTTTTTGACAGAGTCTCACTCTGTCAGTCACCCAGGCTGGAGTGCGGTGGCCCAATCTCGGCTCACTGCAACCTTTGCCTTCCAGGTTCAAGCCATTCTCATGCCTCAGCCTCCTGAGTAGCTGGGATTACAAGCACACACCACCATGCCTGGCTAATTATTATATTTTTAATAGAGACGGGGTTTCGCCATGTTGGCCAGGCTGGTTTCAAACTCCTGACCTCAACTGATCTGCCCACCTCGGCCTCCCAAAGTGTTGGGATTACAGGTGTGAGCCACCGCACCTGGATTCCCAGCCCTCTCCATGGCAAATGAACAGGCAAAGCCCCTTGTTGCCCATTTAAGTCCAGTAGCATTTTACTTTCTACCTAAACAAAGAGGATAGGCATCGGCATTTCCCCTTTCTTATTGGAAGATACTGAACACAGTTCCTAACCTGCATCTGTTGGCAGGCACAGCTGACCACACAATCCCAGTCCCCTCCTCCCCTTCTCTGCCAAAGCACAAACCTCAGGGGAAACCAGTGAAGCTCATCAGTAGATGAAGCCTCAGCTTTCTACATTGGTGCCCCTCATGGGTGAGACATCTGCAAGCCCTGGGCAGTTAAGGAGACCATCTGAAGAGAATCCGTCTTCACTTTAGCGTTTACAGTTATCAAATTGTTGGATTGATAATAGAAAGGAAGGTGGTTTTTAACCACATAACTAACTTCAAAGTATTTTAACTCTTTCTTTAAAATTATTTTTTTCATGGATTACAATGATCCCAGAGGGAAACTGAAGTGAAAATGTTACCCAAGATTTTTCTTTAGGCCACCGAGTTGATTAGAGGGTCACTGCTCCATCGTTGCTTCAGGCAAAAGAGTCTCCATCTTCATTCCAAATGAGGTGAGTGTTTGAGAGGCCTTTTCTGCCCTTAAGTAGAGATGCGGGACAAGTCAAAGTTGCAGTGAAAGGAAGTGTGGTCTGCATTTCAAAGCTTAATATTGTGCATGTCAATTTTTGTCTCTTCCTCAGGATAAGGGCCTTTAAGCTGGTTTGCTCCCCATCTCCAGGGAGGCCACTGCAGCTTCTTTCACTCAAAGCTCAGTGTATTCCCAAAACTCTTTTATGAGGTAGTCTGGGTTTTATATCGTCTGCAAATCTTTCATTGCCCACATGCAAGGGACATTTTCACATGACTCTTGGCACTAAGATAACTTCAAATGAATGAATTGCTTTTCTCCCCATCTGTAAAGGATATAATTCTAATCAAACTCAGAATGATTACAGAAAATCTATCCAAATAATCGATGCACTGGATACCAGGACTTTTGTGAGCTGCATTTTACTTGTATACACAGGACCTGTGGTCATAAATCAATCACAAGTGTGAGATTAGCTGACTAAAGATGAAATTGTTCTTTTTAAGAAGATACATTAAAGCAGAGCTTCTTAACTCTTCTGAAATTGTACTCAAGCATTTGTGTTCAGGTGCCCTTTCCCAGGAAGACTAGCCCTGGTTTTCATCAAATTCTCAAAGGACTCTCTAACCCCACAATAAGAATTCAGAATAGAATGTAGACACTACTTAGCCTAATTACTGTAAGTTCTTACACTCAACCCCCAACAAATACATTTTTAAAGCCAAAATAATGAAACACTTTATTTATATCATGTTAAACTCTCTACGACAGTGCCATAGACATTAAAGGGACACAGTAAGGAAAACACTCCCTGGAGGAAGGGAAAGCAGGTCTCAAAATCTGCTTTCACAGAGCAGCAAACATTCATTTCTACAAGGCCCAAATGTAAAGCCTGCAAATGAAGTCAACAAATTAGTGTAATGATACAAAGCATTCGTCTGAGAAAATGGCAAATTATAGCCAACCAACAGGCTCTGAAGTACACATTGAATGACAAAAGGTATAGGACCAACAGTTAAGGCATTTAGACACCCAACAGAGGAAACAAATGCAAAAACATCCATTGTACAGTTAACAGGAACTGTTCGCGGCTGGTATCACCACTCCTTATGTGCTTCCCATAGAGGAAACCCACCACCAGTTTACCAGTGGCTGGCCCTACAAGTGAATAGGATCCTCGGAATTAAAAAACAAACAAACAAACAAACAAAAAACCTCCCTGACTCCAAAGCAACAAAAATGGCACTACGATCATACATCACAGACAATGCACATCTTAAGAGCTGCCACTGGAGCCAAAATTCCAGCAAGTTTGAGAGCTATAAAGAATAAGTGGCACGTGTTTTCACACTGTAGTATATCACACTCCACAGGGAAGCAGCAGTGCCTAAAAGATGTGAATTTTACATGAGTACACTTCCAAGGAACATATTCCACGTGTTTGGGGAAAGCAGTCACAGACAGGAGGTGATCACAGTACCCACTAGAGCTCATGAACCTGAGATGGGACAATGGGAATAACAGATTATGCATCTTATTTTTCCATCTGTCATTGCTGCTGTTGTGTAAAGGCTCATGCAGACCCATCTAAGCTGAGGAGATGGGATCTAAAGGTACAGCAGAAGACAACCCTAACTTCACCGCCCCTCCATTCTGCTGCGACTCAGCTCACAAAGCAGATTCTCACAGAAGCAAGTCCTGGGGCAGGAGCAATACTGGCCCGCTAGGCAAGCAGAAGACTTGCGTGCCAGTCCAAGCTTTGCCATGAGTAGTTTTATGACCTTGAATAGGTGAATTTGCCCCCGTGGGCTTTAATTTACACAGATATGAAAGGTGGAGTTGAACTTTGATGTGAGAGGTTTACAAACTTACTGTGTCTGTAGGGGTGTTCTGGACATTGTGGTGGGAGGTAAGGGGGTATCACAAGGGGGCCCCATTTAAATCACAGCAGCCGTGCATGTCAGGTTGCACCTGATAGATTCTGCAGTTTTAAAATATTTTTCTTTAAATTTTTAAACTGTTTGAAGTGCATGGTCACTGTCAGCACTGGACTTGGACTGCCTGTGTTCAGCTCAATCACCTACTCCCCACGTGACCTTCAGCAAGTTTGCTTAGACCGTGTCTAGTTCCACAACCAGAAAATAAGGAAATAGCAGTTATTATAATAAGGATTAAATGTGAATGTCTGAGGCACTGAGAACTGTGTCTGGCACAGATATTATCTTTAGATACTAAATAATGTGTTTTTATCTTTTTAAAAGATTTTCAGCAACTTAAAAAAAAATGTGGCGGGGCTGGGCACAGTGGCTCATGCCTGTAATCTCAGCACTTTGGGAGGCCTTGGCAGGCAGATCGCTGGAGCCCAGGAGTTCAGGACCAGCCTGGGGAGCATAGTAAAACCCCATCTCTACAAATATTAAAAGAATTAGCCAGGAGTGGTGGTGTGCACCCCAGCTACTCGGCGAGGGCGGGAATGGGGTGGGATGGGGCACTGTGGTGGGAGGATCGCTTGAGCCCAGGAGGTCGAGGCTGCAGTGAGCCATGATGGCGCCACTGCACTCTAGCCTGAGCAACAGGAGTCAGACCCTGTCTCAAAAAAAAAAAAAAAAAGGTGTCAAATCTTATTAAGTGAGGATACTTTGTTTCAAAATAGGCCTATAAACAGAAGGTTCACTTTGAATTTGAAAAGTCCCTTAGCAGACGTAAATAAGAACTAAACCCTGCTTTCACATGCTAGAAAATTCTAGAATTGCTTCAATTCCACTTATATACATAAATATATATGGATATATAATATGGCTCTGCCAAGTATTGGTAACTGATTTTTCTTCCTTACTGAAATCTAAGATAGTTGCCCTTCCAGCTGAGTTAGCAGGGGGAGTATTCCAGACCAAGACTCGCACTGTACAGCTCCTGCCGATTTTGCACTATTTTTAATGCAGTTGAGTCTTCAGATTTGTGACTAGGCTGACAGCTTTGTCTTGTGTTCCCGCCTTAATTTTTTGAGAAAAATCCCTTCAAGACTATTTTAGGGTCAAGTCTTTTGTAGTCAGTCCTGGTGGGCAGTCACTATGAGACAGGCCTGACAGAGGGGTGCTGTGAGAACAGAGCGAGATTCGGTGAGAATAGCTCAGCTGGAAACTCACTGTGCGGCGCTCCTGATACTGCCCACTCGAGGCTCTAAAGGGATTGCCATTGCCAGTTCACTCCCAGGAGTAGAAGTGATCTCTGTCTTAAGATCTACTCTCAAAAAAAAAAAATTATATATATATATATATATATATTTCGTGGCAATTTTTTTTTTTTTTTTTTTGAGACAGGGTCTCCCTCTGTCACCCAGGCTGGAGTGCAATGGACTGCAGCCTTGATCTCCCCAGGCTCAGGTGATCCTCCCACCTCAGCCTCCCAGGTAGCTGGAACTACAGGCCTGCACCACCACGCCTGGCTAATTTTTGTATCTTTTGTAGGACAGGGTTTCCATGTTGCCCAGCCTGGAGTCAAACTCATGGGCTCAAGTGGTTCGCCCACCTCGGCCTCCCAAAGTGCTGGGATTACAGGCGTGAGCCACCACATCTGGCCTTGTTTTGGTTTTTTATGTTTTTGTTACCTGGTAATCTCTTTTAAAAATACATTTAATAGAATTTCACTGGCAGATAATGAGTTGCTGAAGGCTGCCTTCTTTGCCTCTTACTTCCTACTCTCCAGCTTCCAAACCCCTCTATTGGGAGTGGGGGATTCTAGGCTGACCAGGAGGAAAGAAGCTGACACTAACACTGGTTCCCTGGTTCCTATGAAACCAAGCTTATCCTGCCTGTACTAAATCTTACTAAAGCTGTAACTGAGTCTCTAAGAATAACTTCAGACTGCCTCAGAACACAGACATCAGTGTGTTCTCTAGGTACTTGTCCAAGCATTTCTGAAACAGCTAAGCTCAACTTATAGTAAAATTGCACCAATATCAAAATTATGGATTATTCGAGGTCTTACTAGCAAAAACCAGTCTTGGTAACACTGAATGCAGTCTTCCTAATGACTTAGTAAATACAGGATGTGCTACCCAAAGTGAACATATTTTCAAAAAGAAAATATATTTAATATCATATCACAAGGTAATTGTTTAAAACGTTACTGCAATAATGAAACATGATTATTTAATTGCTGGCTTCCATAGTATGCTGTTACTCATTTTACATATTCACCGTGTATCCAAAACTGGAAATTTCACATCTTTTAAAAGGTGAGTTAAAGTTGTCATTTCAGAGGTGCCCTTCTTCATGTCCTATTTATGTTCCACTTGGAATAAGAACTAATATTTTTACTGTTTCTTTTTCACCCTGCCCACCATATAAATTTTCCAATAAGAAAATATTTTTAAAAGAGCTCTCAAGTGTAAAAGAATTCTTTCTTGCTATAAATAATTATCCCTAAATATTTCTCTTTAAGGAGAGTTCACAAACTGGGTCTTGTTCAAGGGGCGTACTCATCAAGGCTATACAGTGTGGCCCCAGAGCTGACACACTGGGGTGCATAGCTACTCATCCATCCATAAAACAGCACACTGCACACATCCACAGCCCAAAGTATCCCTGACTACTTGTGGTGACTGATGGGGCAATTGTGGCTGCTACTTATGAGGTTGTACAAGATGGAAACTGCATCCACATTGCCCCAGGGAAACACTGTGGCTGTCACCCACACCCACAGGAGAGAACCCCATTCCTGCAAACACGGCCTTTCTCCAGCACCCACGCTGGCCCCATGGGACAACAGGTTTAAGGAAGAGCAGCTCCAGAAGCAGCGAGATTTGTATCTCCCACAGTCCTGCATGAAAATGATCACACGCTCATACACACATACCCCAAATTATTGGCAGGCTCTGTGAATACAAATCGAGAGGGACAAATCTGTGTGCAGCTGGCAGCAAGGTCAGGGAGAGAACATGACTCACATCCCAGCTTAACCACAGTCCCTCTGGCCTTTGACAGAATAAGCATCATATGATATGATCAGTCCCCACAGGCCTGGGAGGTAAGTACGCAATTGCCACAGGGGTTTTCAATCTTACAATGGAGTGGTCCGGAAAACAGCAAAGGTCAACTCTCAGAGGGAAGGGTAGTGTGTGCCACACAAGAAGGGTTAGCCCACTTCTGTAAGCGTGTCACTTCCTCTCCCCTTTCTGATTCGCAGCCCTTCCAAGTCAGATTTCCACCATTCATTCCAAAACCTTTAAGATGTTTCACAAAGGGGAGGAAGGAAGAAGGAAAGTAAGAAAGACCACACTGAGATCCTATGAGGCCATTGAGTGTGGAAACGCTGCATTCAAATGTGCCCTCTGCTAACAAGGGAAACTATGGCTTCCTCACACCGACTCCTGAGAGTTGGGAAGGTGGAGGGAAGGATGGTACATGACCAAGCCTGCCATCACCAAATGAGGGACCACACAGCAGAAAGATGAAGCCCAGGCTCCTGACACACTGGAGTTCACGCTTCAGCCTGTGACCTCTGTGGGCCAGTTCACCTCAGGGCCAGGCGTCACTGAGACTGTGGGTTCTGGGAGCCCTCTTTGCTTTTACTGTCCTCTGCCGGGCTGCACTCGGACCCCGTGATGGAGGACTTGCACCCGCGAAGCACGTGGGCATTCAGCATCTCCAGCAGCAGGTCATACACTGGGACCACATTTTTGCACTTCATGTTGAGCAGATGTTCCATGCCCTTGTTACTATGGGGACAAAAAGGTGCTGAGATTCCCTCCTCCGAGGCAGCCACAGGAACCCCGAAGCCTTCCCCGGCTCTCTTTGCTCAGAGCCAGTCTACCCCACCCCTAAACCCACTCTTCCCCCAGCCCATTTATCCATGGCTCGTGCATCCAGCTCCCCCTGATAATTTAGGCTCAAGGGCAAGGACGATGTCTTGTCAGCCTCTGTGTCCCACCACACACCTACAATGGCCTGACACATAGGACAATCAATCCTCATTGTTTGCGGTAATTATGTTCCGTAAAGTCACTGTGAACACTGAATCCTCACTCATAGGGGAAATACAGGGTTAGGTTCCTGCAAGCCTCTGGCCACATCTTCATCAGCTGATCAATACAAAACCTTGTTTTATGTGTGTTTCTTTCTAAAGATGCCTTATGTGATAAATACCATTGACTCATTAACATTGAACTCATGGCCAGCAGCACTATAACTCACACCCGAGCAAAGCTTAACACATACTTTCTCCATAAGGCACATCACAGCTTTTTCACACCGAGGAACACTAGACAGGTCTTCAGCACCACACCAGGGGGGCATTTTAAACAGTGAAGTCACCAAAAGCACAAAAATGTAAAACCATGGCACTAAGTAGACCAAGTAAAGGACACTTGTTGACAGTATGAGAGCAGCTGCTTGTTCCATCTCAGCTGGGACTGTACATAAAGGGCAACTCAAAATTTCTGCCACTCTGTTCATGACCTCAAAAACACCACAAATATTGATTTTGGGGTTACAAATAAATTTTAGCAAGCAGATAAATTCACAATGAAGGAATCTACAAACACAGGATCTGTTCTGCAAATGGCTATGTGCTGAGCAATCATTAAAGGGGAAAGGCAGAGGTCTTCATCTCACTTAAGATTCTCGAGGTGTATATTGTCCTTCTCCACAGCCTCTAGACTTGCCTCCTCAGTGACCAGTTAATTACCTTCCACCCTCCCCTCCCCTCCTCCAGCTCCAGGGCAAGGCTACCCTCATCGTGGGTGACACCAAGCACTGAGCATCATTGTACCAACAGTAGCCACCACTGCACACCCTCTTCATCAGCACACACAATTACGTTTCCTGATCAGAAACATGCCCTACCTACAGCCCTGCCTTCCTAAATCTGCTGGGTCCACCACTTCTCTTAAGTCTTATCCTTAATTTCCTGATGCCACCGAAAGAACAACTCTTAGGGAAGCATTTGTGCACTTCTTCGCATCACCAGCTCGAGGGGCCATCTAGGGGAGCGGGTCTTAGCCTCTCCACAAAAAGTGGCCTCAGGGCCTCAGCCCTGGGTGGTGTAAACAGGGGTGGCAGTTCGTGTTAGGGGAGGAACTGCCCCTTTTAGGACTCCATAAACAGGCTATAAACCCCAGCAATTGAAAAACCCATGAGCCACCACTGGCTGCCATGCAGAGCCTGTAAGATACCACATGACATTCCTTCCATGCCCACTCTGTGCCCATCTTTGCTTACAGGTGTGTGAACTGACAAATTCCCCATTCCCTTTCAGGCATTCATTTTCCTTAACTTGCAGACACTTTTCCCAAATCACTTCACCCTCCGTGGAGCACATAATCCCATCCCAAGCCCAAGCAGAGCAGCTCCTTAGGGCGCGTACCTCGCATGCCTGACGTGGGACAGGAGCATCAGGAGGTTAGCCAGGCGCATGGATTGCTGCTGGGAGGAGATGCCGCTCTTGGCAATCACCCAAACCAAAGCATCGGTCACGGCGTTCAGCAAGTGAGCCAGCTTCCGGCTGCTGTCAGCATCCTGGGTCGCTGTGACCAGAGGGTACATACCTGGACAAAGAATAAAAGCCAGAAGTCATTGCTCTGAGCAAAGGAGCAGAAGTCGTGTGCTCAGCTGTTCCGTGCGCCTGCTCCGAGGTGATCTGGGTTGCTTTGACAGCTGCATGTGTGGCAGGAGCTTATAAGCATGGTCTTACCTCCCCCAGGGGATCTTCCCTGAGAGCCAGCCCCGTCACAGAGCTAGAAGAGAAGCCTGGCCTAATGCAGACAGACTAAATTGCCACCTGAAGTGTCCACCAGGCCCATAATTGTGGCCTTGCCGTGGCGAGTATATCTAGTCTCCCGAAATCATTACGTGGTGTTTCTCATCTGCAGCAACAGATACAGAGATGGTCAGAAAGTGAGATTAATTCTACTTTTAGCCCCACGGAGGGCTCCCCATCTAAAGGGAGTTTAATAAACAAAGGAATGGCCAATGTGATGAAGCCTCCTCTGCCACCTCCTTGTGTGTACCACGTGCCGCAGCCAGCCATGGCAGGGCCCCTGCTACCACCTCTGCATCTCGCTTGAGTGGCACCTGGCTGGGGCAGGAAGACCACTGATTTGGAGTCAGACAGACCTACTTTCTAGCCACCATCTGGAGCTCTCTGAGCCTCAGTTCCTCACTGAGCAACGCATGCAGGAACACATCTGCTTAGGTCCCCACAGCCACGTCCTGGGTAGGCTGCCTCCCCCATCCTGCCCTGCCCTGTGTTTAACTCCCCTCCAACTCTAGGATTGAGATACTGTGGCATCCCAATGGCAGCAAAGTAACAGCTCAGATAAATCTCCTCCCCCCGACCCCTGCCTGACTCCTTGATTCCCTTTAATAATTAGCTTCTCTTCCAGGCTTTCCATTTCAAAGCAAGAATAAATATGTGAAATCAACCAGGGAGCTGCTGAGTCTTGGCTGTCATGAGACTGATGATGGCTGGTGCTCCAGCAACCACAGAATTTGTTTTGGCAGTTTTTGTTCTCTATTTTTATTGGCACTTTCAGTTCAATTAAGGCAGCTCAATTCAACTAAGTTTAACTCAGGTAAGGCAAGGGACATTCTGAAGCACAATTACGTAAGTGTAGTGCTTTGCCACATCCCTAGGGACCTCCATAATGTCTGATGATACGAATTTAAAATATTCATCTTTTCAATAGCCCTGAAGCTGCTTCTCCAATCCCTGTGCTCACTTTGTTCTCCACATTGGTTCTTCCAGAATCCCCCCACAGCCTCAAACCTCCCACTGTCGCCCCAGAGATGACTTGCCCTCCCACCGCAGGGGAAACAAGACCCCACCCTTGGCCCCGTGTGTCCCCTTCTGAGAGGCCAAAAAGCAGATCTGCTCATGGGGCTCCGTTTAATGACTTCCCAGCTCATAGGATAGAGTCCAAACCACCTGGTGCAGCTATCAGAGGTACCAGGGCCCTCCCCGCTTCTCTCATCTGCAGTTCCCACCACACCTCGCCTTGAGTCCCCCTCTCAACTCCCTGAATGTGTGGTGCTCCGAACATGCTCAACTTGCTGCTTGGAAACTCTCTCCTTCCTCTTTCTCTACCCTGATTCTTTTGCTCATTTATACCCATTCCTCCTGTAGATTCCAACCTGGTCAGAAATTCCTTCTGGAAGCTTCCCCCAACCTCCCTACCATCCCACCCTAAGTCTGGTCTGAGGTGTCCCCTGATACTCTGACAGTGCCCTGTTCATCCTCAGCAGAGACACCATGTTGCCCCACATGCTGGATGTCTGCCTTGTCCCCACACACACCCCACAGCCACCCTTCTGCCCTCAGCAAGACTGGACATGAGTGCTTTGAGGGCACAGACCTTTTTTTTTTTTTCTTTTCTTGAGACAGAGTCTCACTCTGTCACCCAGCCTGGAGTGCAGTGGTACAATCTCAGCTCACTGCAACCTCCGCCTCCCGGTTTCAAGCAATTCTCCTGCCTCAGCCTCCTTAGTAGCTGGGATTACAGGCATGCGCCACCATGCCCAGCAAATTTTTTGTATTTTCAGTAGAGACAGTGTTTCACCATGCTGGCCAGGCTGGTCTCAAACTCCTGACCTCGCAATCCGCCTGCCTCAGCCTCCCAAAGTGCTGGGATTACAAGCGTGAGCCACTGTGCCCGGCCAGACCCTTATTTTTTTTAGCCAAACACACATCATATTTGAAATGGTAAATATGCATGCTAATGTATGTTTTAGGTACACACAGAAAATTATCAAAAGTACAGAGAAAATTATTTCAAGCTTACTTTCCCTAAAATTAACCCCATCTGCATAAACAAGTACTTCCTTTTAACTACCCCGTAGTGTGTTCAGCTGCATGACATGTGCTCCATGGACTTCCGCTGCCATCAAGCAATACTATGTCTGGGAATTCCAAAAGGAGCCAAAATTGTGTGCCTGTACATGTCTCAGTTCAAAGTGACAAAGATTGAAAATATAAAAACAAATCCTCAGATTATAAACAAATGTTCATAGCAGCATAACTCAGCCTAAAAGTGGAATGTCCACTAACTGACGAATGGCTCAACAAAATGTGGTCTATCCATACAGTGGAATAGTATTCAGCTACGAAAAGGAATGAGGTACTGATACAGATGAACCTTGAAAACATCAGGCTAAGCAAAATAAGCCAGACACAAAGGACCACATGTTGTATGATTCCATTTATAATAAAATGTCTAGAATAGGCAAATCCATAGAGTCAGAAAAGCAAATTAGTGGTTGCCTAGGGCTGTGGGTGGGATAGGGAGTGGGAAATGATGGCTAAGAAGCATGGGGTTTCTTTTCAGGTGATGAAAATGTTCTAAAATTGATGGTGGTGATGGTTGCACCACATACCGTGAATAAACTAAAAACATTGAACTGTATACTTAATATGGATAAATTATATGGTAAATGAATTATATCACAATAAAGCTGTTACTAAAAATAATAGTAATAATAATAATAAAAGAACGCCTCAGAACCAAAGTTACAATAACATAAATTCCCTGGGCTGTGTGCAACGAAGTTTCCCCTCAGAGAACACGTATGTGTCATTGTGTTACCCACTTCACGAACCACAGTCATTGCCAAGGCCAGACCCTGGGCCTTCTGCAGGCTGTAGGGGCAGCACAGCTCCACCTGGGGCCCAGAGTCCATCAGCCACAGCGGTTTGGGGAGGTGAGGCACTGCAGTTGTGGAAAGGCATATGCGAAATCCATTTTACATATGGTGGGGTAGGGGGGCAGTGTATATACAAAAAGACTGACTTACATAAAATTATCCTGGAGACTCCTGTTCTCATTGATCACATAGAAAAGAAATACCCTCCCAGAAAAGAACTGTGCTGAAGAATACCCATGCTGCTGCCTGGCTCTCCAGTCAGCAGTGCGTGCCTGCACCTCAGACATCCATGCTCAGGCCCTTGCTCATCAAATACATATCTACAGAGTACTTGCTAAGTGGCAGGCCCTGGGCAGCATGGGGCAAGGGACAAGATCCAAAGCTCTGCCCAGTCAGGCACAGAAAACCACAAAAATATAGCACCCTCTCCATCCCCCAAAAGTAAAAACATCAGTTAGGATTCACTGTAAAACAAAATTAAATTACTTTTGATGAAACGGAAGAAGTATAGTTTAAAAAAAAAAAACAAAAAAAACCAAGATCTTGGCACCATGCCTCACACATACCAAAGAAAGTGAAATAAAATCAAGGACACAATCTTCTCTCCCCTTTATCAGCTGGGAACAGCTGTGTGCTCCTCTCACCAGCCCACCTGGTGACATTCTGAGCAGCACAGTGGTGGGGGACAGCCACCTCTCCTTCAAGATTTGCCACGTCTGATTTGTTCAAAGGATGAAAACATAAGCTTTCCTTGACTGAAGGCAAATAAATGAGAAAAATCTAATGTGCTAATAGAAGTCCCAGAATACTGACCAAAGGGAAGAAGTCCTGGCTTTGGGGAGCCGTATGTGGCGTTTGCTTGTTTGCTTTGAGGAAAGGAACCTCTGGCCATGACCCACGCCCTCTGTCACCACCTCCTGCCCCCAGCACATGAGGGCAGATGGGACTCAAAAGGTGCCATGGTGTGAGGCTGCAGGCTGCTGTTCAACTGTGCTTTGCCCCAGTGTTCTTGGTCAACAGAAAAGGACCCCCGCATCTTTCCTCATCAGCATCCATCTATGTCTTTGTCTTCTCCACCCACCCACTCCATGGGAACTCTCCCTATAAACTCAGAGGGAACTAGGGTTTAAGCCAGTGTCTCTTAATAATTTTCTTAATGTAAAATAGGATTTCCTGGCTTAACCCCTCTATTTCTTTCATTTAATGAAAAGTTTCATCCTTTGTAAATCTTAAAACTGTTTAAATAGACTTGTTTCTAATTTAAAATATTTTAAAGACTATGGATAATCAATGTAATTAATTACACTCTAATTCCTAAATTCCATACCCCCTCTAATTCTATCCAAGGGAGGATTTGGGTGGCAAGATGGCCAGTCTGTCTGTTGGGTGTTGGGTAGGCTATTTTATTAACTATGACACTTGCATAACACCTTAGAGTTTATAAAAACACTCTAACAAGCATTGTAACAGGTTGTTAAATGCAACATTTTTCTGTTGTCTCTTACTCTCAAGAGCCATATCAAAGGCTAAGTATGATACAGGAATTCCAAGTACCACACAACCTATATATGCATAGTGGAAGAGGATTGGCTGAGAGAGTTAGAATGTTGTGGTCCTTTCCCTTGCCTCCCCAAGAGAGAAATATGTGCCTCTCCACTTAAGCCCACCATGGATCAGACCTTTGATTAACTATTTGAGTATATATCCCATTCTAGACCAAAAGCATTATATCTAAATCATTTTGACATCCTTAGTATTTAGAAGTCATTAATATACATACCAGAAACTGAGCTGAAATTTAGCTGGATGACACAGTTAATTTCCATTCCATATTATAGCCATTATTAGTAGATATGCATAACCCAGAAATGGGCAGCTTTTAAAACATGACTACTGACAAACCGCGACCTGGCCAGCTAGCGTGCTGTACCACTGCAGATGTGATTGAGTGACATAATCCTAACTTAAGCATGTCACATACACAGGAAAACAGGAGACCAAACTATGCAGGAGACCATCGTCAGACAGCCCAATGCTTATCTAGCCTGGCAAGGCCATCTAGCAGCAACCAAATGCAGCGCTTGGAAACTCTGCTATCCTAACATGGAATAGAGAAGTTCGCAGCCTTTTGACTTAAGAGACCTACCCCCATTTCTCCTCTCCTGACCCTTATCCTCCAGGGCCTCCACCCTGTGATTTGGTTCCCCGCTTGGTGGTATTTCTTTTCCATTTAGCCTACAAACTTTGCTCTCTTAATCTTTTTGTTTTGCTTTCATTACATTGTTTACAGATTCATCCAGGTATACCTGACATGCAATAACCTGCACATATTTTGCGTGTACGATTTGATGTACTTTGACATACATATACATGGTGGAGCCATCACCACAACCAAGATAATGAACACACTCAGCTGCAAGTTTTTGCATTCAGTAGAAACTGTACTTCCAGTACACATACAACCATTGTGTTTTTTCGTTTTTCAGTACAGTAACTTTCAGTATTCCATAAATTACATGAAATGTTCATTACTGTATTATAAAATAGGCTTTATATTAGATGATTTTGCCCAACTGCAGGGTAATGTAAGTATTCTGAACACATTTAAGATAGGCTAGGCTGGCCGGGCGCGGTGGCTCACGCTTGTAATCCCAGCACTTTGGGAGGCCGAGGCGGGCGGATCACGAGATCAGGAGATCGAGACCATCCTGGCTAACACGGTGAAACCCCGTCTCTACTAAAAATACAAAAAAAATTAGCCGGGCGTGATGGTGGGCGCCTGTAGTCCCAGCTACTGGGGAGGCTGAGGCAGGAGAATGGCGTGAACCCTGGAGGCGGAGCTTGCAGTGAGCCGAGATTGCGCCACTGCACTCCCGCCTGGGCCACAGAGCGAGACTCCGTCTCAAAAAAAAAAAAAAAAAAAAAAAAAGATAGGCTAGGCTAAGCTATGATGTTCAGTAGGTTAGGTGTGTTAAGTATATTTTTGACTAGCAATATTTTCAACTTAAGATGGGTTTTTTGGGAAATCACCCCATCATAAATTGAGGAACATCTGTAGTTGTATAGATTATTTCTGGACTCTCTGTTCCATTGATCTATTTGTTTCTGTTGACATCAATACCACATTATCTTCTAAATCAGGTAGTGTAAGTCCTCCCAGTTTGTTCTTTTTCAAAGTTGTTTTGACTATTCTATGTCCATTGCATTTTCACATGATTTTAAGAATCAGCTTATCAATTTCTACCAAAAAGCCTCCTGGGATTTTTATCAGTTTGAATCTATAGATTGAAAACAATACTGAATCTTATGATCCATTAACATCTCTCTCCATTTATTCAGGATTTCTTTAATTTCCTTCAGCTATATTTTGCAGTGTTTAGTGTGCAGGTTTCATGTCTTTTGCAAGTTTATTCCCAAGGTTTCACAATGTTTGATGCTATTGTAAATGGTAGTGGTTTTTCATTTCAATTTCCAATTGCTCACTGGTGCCACACAGAAATACAATTGATTTATATATATTGCCCTTACACCTTACAAACTTGCTAAATTCACATTTTTTAGACTCCTTAGGACTTTCTACATAGATTCTCATGTTTTTAAATAAAGACTTTCACTTCTACCTTTCCAATATTGATGCCTTTTACCTCTTTTCTTGCCTTAATGCACTGGGTAGAACTTACAGTAAAATGTTGAATAGAATTAAGGACAGTGGACATACTTGCCTTGTTCCTGATTGTGATTAAGTATAATATTAAATGTAGGATTTTCATAGGTGCCCTTTAATGGATTGAGGAAGTTTCCTTCTATTCCTTGTTTGTACAGTGTTTTTAGCAGGAGTGGATGTTGGATTTTGTCAAATGCTGTGTGCATCTATTAAGATAATCATGGCTAGGTGCAGTGGCTCACACCTGTAATCCTAGCACTTTGGGAGGCCAAGGCGGGTGGATCACCTGAGGTCAGCAGTTTGAGACCATCCTGGCCAACATGGTGAAACCTCATCTCTACTAAAAACACAAAAATTAGCTAGGCATGGTGGCAGGCACCTATAATCCCAGCTACTCAGGAGGTTGAGACAGAATTGATTGAACCCAGCAGGCAGAGGTTGCGGTGAGCCCTGAGATAGCACCAATGCACTCCAGCCTGGGCGGAGAGTGAGACTGTCTCAAAAAAAAAAAACAAAAAAAACAAAACAAACAAACAAACAAAAAAAATATATATATATATATAAAATCATATGGTTTTTCATTATTATTCTGTTAATATGAATTTTGATTGATTTTCAAATGTTAAAGAAACCTTGTATTCCCAAAAATTCTGCTTGTTCATGATGTGCTATTCTTTTAATACAGTTTTGGATTCTAGTTACCAAAAAAAAAAAAATTTAGAGAACTTTTGCTTATACATGCATGAGGGAAATTGGTCTGTTGTCTTCTTTTCTTCTAGTGTGTTAGTCTGAGTGTTCTATCAGAGTAATGCTGGCCTCACAGAATGAATTGGAAAACATTCCATGCTGTTCAATTTTCTGTAAGAGTATGTGTAAACTTGGTGTATTAGTCCATTTTCACACTGCTGATAGACATACCCAAGACTGGGCAATATACAAAAGAAAGGTTTATTGGACTTACAGTTCCACATGGCTGGGGAAGCCTCACAATCATGGCAGAAGGTGAAAGGCACATCTCATGTGGCGGCAGACAAGAGAAGAGGGCTTGTGCAGGGAAACTCCCATTTTTATATAACCATCAAATCTCGTGAGATTTATTCACTATCATGAGAACAGCACAGTAAAGACCTGCTCCCATGATTCAATCATCTCCCACCAGGTCCCTCCCACAACATGTGGGAATTATGGGCACTACAAGATGAGATTTGGGTGGGGACACAGAGCCAAACCATATCACTTGGTATTATTCCTTCCTCAAATGCATGGTAGAATTCTCCCAGAATTCCAGATGGTGGTGGGGCCACCAGTTGGTGGAGCAGTCAGAACACACAAATTTATAGGTTAAGTTTGCCAGCTTATATGGGCATAGTTTGTGGCACCCCAAAACAATTACAATAGTAACATCAAAAATCACTGATTACAGATCACTGTAATAGATATAATGAAAAAGTTAGAAATATTGCAAAGTGTTATCAAAATTTGACACAGACATAAAGTGAGCACATGCTGTTGGAAAAAATGGTACTAACAGACTTGTTCAATGCAGCATTGCCACAAACCTTCGATTTGTAAAAACATGCAGTATCTGTGATGCACAATAAAGCAACATGTAATGAAATGGGATGTGTCTCTACTCTTGAGCTTTGTGCTGGGATGCAGTTAAATCACTTAGCAATTGTTTGATCCTCCAGGCTTGCTTTTTTGTTTGGTAGGATCATAATGGCTTTTAGTCTAGGCCCACTACTGAGGCAATACCCTTCTGAATACTATAGGAAGGCTGAGAAGTGCCCAATACCCAGTGAACTGCAAGGTTTTTCCCACTGGCTGGTGAGAATGTGAACTGTTCCTGGCCCTGTGTGAACTCTAGGGATTGTTTCGCCCGCTCCTTTCTGATGGTTCTTTCCCTGTCCTTGGTATCCTCATAAGCATGGGCAGATTAGCACTCAGCTGAAGACTTGAAGAGGACTCTCCATAGATCTCCAAAATTCTTTGTGCAGCTCTTTCCCACTCAGTACTCTCCCCTCCAAGTCCTAGCTGCCTTGCTACCAAGGGAGACCACTGGTGTCTATTTGGGTTACCCTTTGTGATGGTTAGTCTTAGGTGTCAACTTGACTGGATAAAGGGATACCCAGATAGCAGATAAAGCATTATTTCTGGGTATGTCTGTGAGAGTGTTCCAGGAAGAGACTGGCATTAGAGTCAGTGGACTAAGGCCAGGCACAGTGGCTCACACCTGTAATCCCTGCACTTTCGGAGGCCAAAGTGGGTGGATCACTTGAGGTCAGGAGTTCGAGACCAGCCTGTCTAATGTGGTGAAACCCCATCTCTACTAAAAATACAAAAAATTAGCCAGGCGTGGTGGCAGATGCCTGTAATCTCAGCTACTCTGGAAGCTGAGGCAGGAGAATCGCTTGAACCCAGAAGGTGGAGGTTGCAGTGAGCCAAGATGGCACCACTGCACTCCAGCCTGAGTAACAAAGCAAGACTTCATCTCAAAAAAAAAAAAAAAGAAAGAACAGTGGACTAAGTAAGGAAGATCTGCCCTTAGCCAATGTTGGCAGGCACCGTCCAATTGGCTGAGTGCCCAGATAGAACGAAATGGCAGAGGAAGAGAATTCTCTCTCTCGGAGCTGGAACACCCATTTTCTCCTGCCCTTGGACATCAGAACTCCAGGTTCTCCAGCCTCCAGACCCTGGGACTCACACCAGTGGCCTCCCAGTTTCTCAGGCCTTCAATCTCAAACTGAGGGTTACACCACCAGCTCCCTAGTTCTCAGGTCTTTCCATTTACACTGAGCCATGCTACTGGCTTCCCTGGTTCACTAGCATGCAGACGCATATCATGTGACTTCTCAGCCTTCATAATTGTTCAAGTCAGTTTTCATAATAAATCCCCTCTCATTTATCTGCCTACCTACCTATCCATCCTATTGGTTCTGTTTCTCTGGAGAAACCTAACACACCCATCCCTGCTTTGCAACCTGGAAACTGGCTCCAGGCAGTAAACTGGACAATCAAAGGGCTCTCCTCGTTTGTGTCCCTCCTCCTGGGGATCACTGTTGTCCAATGTCCAATATCTGTTTTATATATTCTGTCAGGGTTTTAAATTTTAAGGCGGGGAGGCAGATTCCATCCCTATTTTTTTTTAAATTTAAATACCACAAATAATCCAGAAGAAAAAAGCCTGTACTTACAAATCCTTAAAACCTAGCATAGAAAAGACTCACTTAACCTAGCAGTGAAAATTGTCCCATTTTCGCCATAGCAATGCTGAACAGGATCAATTTATTTTGACAATTGTTATGACTACCAAGAAAGGAACTTCCTTAAAAGAAGATCTCTGGCCAGGCGAGGGCCCAGCACTTTGGGAGGCCGAGGCAAGCGGATCACGAGGTCAGGAGTTCGAGACCAGCCTGGCCAACATGGTGAAACCCCATCTCTACTAAAAATACAAAAATTAGCCAGGCGTGGTGGTGGGTGCCTGTAATCCCAGCTACTCAGGAGGCTGAGGCAGGAGAACTGTTTTAAGCCAGGAGGTAGAGGTTGCAGTGAGCCAAGATCGCACCATTGCACTCCAGCCTGGGCGACAGGGCAAGACTCTGTCAAAAAAAAAAAAAAAAAAAAAAAAAAAGATTTCTTAAACTTGGATTTACAGTAAACAAATTTTACTCGTTTACTGCCACAAGTGGTAATTACATCACATGTCTCCCTCGCCTTCTGTAATTATCTCAATGTGGCAGTTCTGTCATGCTGCAGGGGAATGCTGTAGCCTTCATCTTTCCCATTTGCACAGATGCTGCGTCTAGCTTTGACAACAACACAATATGATGTCTGGGAGGCTAAAATGCCTATAAGGAGCCTTGCCAAACAGAAGGCTTTATACTGTAAAGTGTTGTAACAACAAGCAAACAGTGCTTTCCGAGAAGCACTTTCCTGCACAGAAAAGAGATCTAAATTATTTCTGAAAGTGAGAGAAGCCCCATCATCTGGCATTTGATGATCTTCCATTGCCAAGATGGGAAGGTACTCTTCAAGCAGATCCTCCCTTTGACAGAAATGGCAGCACCTATGTGAGGTAATGTTGGTAGGTGGTTTGGAAAAGGTCAGAAAGGGTTGATCTTATTCCATGATCAATTTCAAATATCCTGGCTGGTGGGCCGGATGTGGTGGCTCACACCTGTAATCACGGCACTTTGGGAGGCCAAGGTGGGCAGATCACTCGAAGCCAGGAGTTCAAGACCAGCCTGGACAACATGGTGAAACCCTGTCTGACATGGTTAGGCTTTGTGTCCCCACCCAAATCTCATCTTGAATTGTAATCTCCATAATCCCCATGTGTCAAGAGAGAGACCAGGTGGAGGTAATTGAATCATGGGGGCAGTTTCCCCCATGCTGTTCTCATGACAGTGAGTGAGCTCTCCCAAGATGTGATGGTTATATAAGGGGCTCTTCTGCCTTTGCTTGGGACTTCTCCTTCCTGGCACCTTGTGAAGAAGGTATCTTGCTTCCTCTTCACTTTCCGCCATTATTGTAAGTCTCCTGAGGCCTCCCCAGCCATACTGAACTGTGAGTCAATTAAATCTCTTTCCTTTATAAATTACCCAGTCTCAGGTATTTCTTCATAATAGTGTGAGAACAGACTAATATATCATCTCTACTAAAAATACAAAAATTAGCCAGGCATGGTGGCATGCACCTGTAATCCCAGCTACTTGGGATGCTGAGGCATCGCTTGAGAATCACTTGAACCTGGGAGGCGGAGGTTTCAGTGAGCCAAGATTCCACCACTGCACTCCACTCTAGCCTGGCCAACACAGGAAGACTCTGTCAAAAAAAAAAAAAAAAAAAAAAAAAAAAAAAAACACACCTGGCTGGACTTTCCTTATATGCACATCAACATAATCATCAGTATAAGCTGGGCCCTCATGTTATTCTGTAAAAGGTGAATGGTAACAATAAACAGGGAAGGGTGTGTTGGGTGCAGGGGAAATGACCTGTTAGGCAGGTAAGGCCAGATTGAGACTTAACTAGGAAATGCTCAAAGGTTGTCTTCCAGGTCTCTGTACCTTCACATGGCCTTCAGATTCCTTCTTCATTCTCCCTCACCCAGTTCTTCAGGGGCTAACCCCACCCTCCACCCTAGATCCAAGCAACTCTTGGACAGTATCCTGTGCTCTCTCCAGAGCTAATGTATGGTCTGTTGCCCATTTACAAAGAGATGGGTAGAAATTGAGTGTAAGCATTTAGGAACATTTTTAGCAATCGACAGAGTAATTTTAAATCAGTTGAATGTGATAACTAATAATATTATAAACTAGGACTTGTATTTTACACTTTTATTTTTCTCATAATTCATTTTTGTTATATTTTGCAAAAGTAACTATCCTTAACACTCCAGCCTGGTCAACAGAGTGAGGCTCTGTCTCAAAACAAACAAACAAACAAAAAAACTAGTGCCAATATCCAAGAGTCTGTGAGAGAAGACACGTATGAAGGTCAGCTGGCCCCAGATCAAGAGGCAGCTGGAAACATGTGACCACAGTGAATTCTGCATTGAATCTTGGCTTCAGGAACTGCTACTTTGGCTGATTTAAAGACCGTAGTATAATATGATCTGATATATCCCTGTTGTTTCAAGTATCGAACTCTAAGATTGGATAAATAAGGCCCAATATGTTGTCTAAATAGAGATATCTGTAAGTCTTCAGGTGAACATTAAAACCTGGATATACAGTGTTTGAGGAAGAAAAAAAGTCAATAACCTAAAGGCTCGACAAGAGTAAATGGCTAAGCAAAGCCATCAATATCTGCTAGAGCGGCTGGCTTAGACACCAGGTAGATCGTGAAATGACCAGTCTTGACAACCATCCAGAAACTTAGAAATTCATACAAAATAACACATCTCTATTTATTGCAGTAATGTTTATAATGGTTAAAAAGGAAGAGGAACTGGATATTTAATAACAGAGAAATGGTTGAACAATTTAGTATAATGCCCTCATATCAAAGATTGTGTTAGATCTCTCCTAGTTGACCCAGAATGGTTTCACAGCATTTTGAAAAGAAAAACAAAAATACAGGAGTTTGAGACCAGCTTGGCCAACACAGGGATACCTCACCTCTACAAAAAATACAAAAATTATTCGGGTGTGGTGGCAGGTGCTTGTGGTCTCAGCTACTCAGGTGGCTGAGGTGGGAGAATCACTTGAGCCCAGGAGGTCGGAACTGCAGTAAACCATGATCGTGCCACTGCATTCCAGCCTGGGCAACAGAGTGACACCCTGTCTCAAAAAGAAAAGTGAAAAAACAAGATACAGACTGTGCACAGTGGCTCACGCTTGTAAATTCCAGAACTTTGGGAGGCTGAGGTGGGAGGACTGCTTGAGGCCAGGAGTTCAAGGCCACCTCTGGCAACACAGCAAGATTCTGTCTCTACAAAAAAAAATTGTTTTAATTAACCAGGTCTGGTGGTATGCACCTGTATTCCAAGCTACTTGTGAGGCCAAGGTGGGAGGATCACTTGAGCTCAGTACTAGGTTACAGTGAGCTATGATCATGCCACTGCCCTCCAGCCTGGGCAGCAGAGCAAGATCCTGTCTCAAAAAAAAAAAAAAAAAGAAAAAAAAAAAGAAAGAAAGGAATGGTCACCAAAGTTATGGTGGTTATTTTGAGGGCAGGTATTCCTGATGATTTTATTTTCTTCCTTGTATGTTTTTCTCATTTGAATGTTTATTAACAATAATCAGATATTTATATAAGATAAAACCAACAAAACGAAACCATCTGCATATCCTAGACACCTTATTTCCCTCCTCTACCTCCCACTTTTCCTTCAAGTCAAGTCCTTTGCTCCCTGACCTCACGCCATAATGTCAGTTCAGGCTCTCATTGCCTCTAATGGGCCCCCGGCTTCAGTCTCTGCCCTTTCTAGTCCTCCACATGGAAGCCAGAGTGACCTTTCTATATCGCATATCTGTGCATGACACTCCCCTGCCTGAACCTCTTCTAAGCTGCCCAAAGCCTGGGCAGCAGTTTCTAATCTTCAGCACTGCATTTTAAAGTCATACCTACTTCCCTCTGCTCTTTCCTGAAGATTTGTTCAATCATTCCCTTCTGCAACAACTCCAGCATCTCTCCTCCTATTTTCCCGTAGTATTTTGTGTAGACTTTATCATAGCACAGAAATCATTATTTTTAATGATTTGTTTTCTCTCTCTCCCTGCCTAAACTATGAGCCATTTGAGGGTAGGATTGTATCTTTACTGAACGAATGAATCTGTAAAAAAGGAGGACCCCAGACATAAGTATAAATGCATGCCAACCATGTAAAGTGTCTGTGTGAGCACTGAAAAAAGTTTAAAAGATAAACAATTTAAAGTTCCTTTTTTTTTCTTTTCCAGCAAGTGGCTTGAGCTACTTTTAAATTGATTGCCAGTCATTCACTTAATGAGTAATTTATGTCCAAGTTACCAAAAGTTACCTACAGTTTAAATCGCTATCAAAATAAAAACGAAGTCCAAAAGGAAACCATTTTACCCTTTCAAATAAAATAGAAGTTCAACATTCTTCTTAATATCACGCTAGTTGTAGAAACAGCATCTCTCCCCGATAAAACATGGCCCAGCTGTGTGATTACTTACTGGAATTGAGCAGGATCATGGCCTTGACACAGAGATATTCTTTGTGTTGGAGTTTTAACTCTCGAAACCTTGAAGTAGTTGCCAGGAGCATGTCAAAGATTTCCAGAATTCCTTCTACGCATTTCCCCTCATCCCTACAAAAGTTCGTTTGGAAATTTAAGGAACATAGCTTCAGGAAACCATCAAAAAAACAATAAGGAATGTTTTATTTTTAATCTCAAGTTTCATCTTGTAACATGTTCATCTGATAATATCATTTTAACTACAACAGGGTGTTAATGAGACCACACCCAGCAATATGAAATTACTAGAATTGTCTTCATATAAAGAAGATAGGCCATTTCCTATAAATCCCTGAAGTAAATATATGAATAAATATTATTTAGGCAAAAATGTGCATTGGAATATTTTCCTTCTACATTTTCACCAAATGTTTTCTTACAGCAATACCACTCCTATTGATTGTTTTCAATCAAAACCATATCAGTCAACCAGCCCCAGATATGACACGTATTTCAAAATGAGACACTTCATGTTCCCATCGGGAAGTATTAATGAGGAAGACCGTGTGTCACAGAAGCAAATATCCCAAGAATAAAACTCCATATCTAGGGCTTAACTCTCACTTCCTGGTGGTCACTTAGAAACTTGTGTAGCAACTAAGACATTTACCTGTAATTTGAAAAAGCTGACTATGAGAAAGAAATCGCAATTAGAGAAGATGGATTAGAATCAGGAAAAGAAGGTATACATGGAGGTGGGGAAAAATTTTTGACTTGCCAAGGATTATCTTCAAGCAAGGATTATCTTTAAACTTTGAGCCATCTAATCAAAATTCTTTGGAGCACTCCTTGTAGAAATAAATGTTTAAATATACTTTGGAAGTAAATTACTTGAACTTTATCTGGAAAATACCAGCTTCTATTCACTCCAGCCAGACACACATTATTCCACCTCACTGCTCCCCCAAAACACTCTATTATTGTCAGTCACAGGGTTATTGGAAGTCCTTGACAAGCAGTTAGATGATTTTGTCACAAAACCACCCTTTGCTCCCAAAAGCCTGCAGCACACAGAAAGGGCAGTGGGTTTATGCGAGTTCCATTTTTAGTCTCTAGCAGCCCCTGAAGGGGCCTTGAGGTCTTCAAAGAGCTGGCTGCTCCCCTCCTCCTTCCCCGAACTCAGGGCATTTCCAGCGATGGCAGTATTTCAGGGAAGAGCCTCTGACACCACTGGATACACCAGTCCTGCAGAAGTCTTTCCCATTACCTGCCGTACATGGCACTCACCGGGATCCTGCATTCCGAAGCACTCACACTCTCCCACCCAGACTCGCTCACACAGAGCTACAAGCATGCAAATTGCTCACTTTGGTATATGAGCATTACTGAGTTACTAAATTTACTAAATCATAAATTCTGTAAACACCTGCAATTTTCTATAAGTACACAGGTTAAGTGACAAAACACCAGTGCCCCCTGGAAGTCACTCATAGGAAAAGGCCGTCTTAGAGAATCCAGAGCACTGGGCAAAGAGTGCCAAATCTACAGGAAGCCTCATCTTTCCACCTCCCCAGCTCTAGGCTCTCCCAGGCAACCTGATGCAGGCATCCAGTAAGGACAACACAAGCCCTGCACAGAGATAACACAAAAAACACCTGAATCACCTTGCCTGCGGACAATTAATTATTGGAAATTGTAACTGTTGGACTTGGGGACATTTGATACTAAGGAAAGCTAGTTTGAAAATATCTCTATGGGGCAAAAAAAAAAAAAAACAAAAAAACCCACCAACTCCTGCATTGATATTTGATTATCTCTTTATTCTTCTGTGCTGATGTGGGATTATACACACATGCACAATACATACACACACACACACACACTCACACACACCCCTCCCCAAGTGGTATGGTAAGGGAACCCACCTGAAATCAATCCTATTTTCCAGAAGTACCTGTGCCTTAGTTCCTCAATATTGAAATTGGTATCATTTCCTCATTAAAATATATGCCATTTTCACTGCAAATTTATGTTCCAAAAATGGGAGGAGGGTTGGCATACTGAGGTATTTTAAACCCTGATAAAGGCTGTCCCTCACAGTAATCAGACCATACATAACTCATGGAGAAAGTTAATTTCTAAACAAAGTCTAAAGAACTAGGTCTGATTGCTTTCTTTTTAAGCAGGTGTGACAGTCAACCATTTCATTCAAGGGGTGGCAAAGTTAGAATATTTTTATTCACTCCACAGTCTGCAGAAACCAAATACATTTCAACAAAATAAATGAGAAATGAAGAGGCAATAAAGTATAAGACATCGTAAATGACAGCCCAGTAAAGGTCTTTCAGATGAGTTACACAGAACAAAGTTAGTAAAGACTCTAAATTAATGACATCTATTTTATTTATTTTATAATTTTAGATTGAAACTGAATTATGAGTAAGAAATTAGGACAGGGTTAAAAGAGTTGAATTAAAGACAGGGCTGGCTGGGTAAAGTGGCCCATGTCTGTAATCCTCGTGCTTTGGGGAGGCCAAAGTGGGAGGATCACTTGAGGCCAAGAGTTCTAGACCAGCCTGGGCGATGTAGCAAGACCTTGTCTCTACAAAATAATAATAAACCAGGCATGGTAGCATACACCTATAGTCCCAGTTCCTCAGGGGGCTGAAGCAAAAGATCACTTGAGGCCAGGAGCCCAAGGTTGCAGTGAGCCGTGATGGCACCACTGCACTCCAGCCTGGGCCACAGAGCGGGACCGTCTCTAAAAAAAAAAAAACAAAAACAAAAACAGGGCATATGATTTGAATGTTAAAATATTGAAACAATGTATCAACCAAACTGACCTACTCAGGAAATTTATTTTTGCACACTATCTGTCCATAAACTACTAAATAAAATCAGTAATAACATGGAATATCTTTGTATTAGTCCATTTTCACATTGCTATAAAGCACTATCTGAGACTGGGTAATCTATGAAGAAAAAAGGTTTAACTGACTCACAGTTCTGCATGGCTGGGGAGGCCTCAGGAAACTTACAATCATGGCAGAGAGCAAAGGGAAACCAAGGCACATCTTACATGGAGGCAGGAGAGCGAGTGACTGAGCAAGACAGCCGGGAGCTGCCAAACACTTTTAAAGCATAAGCTCCTGTGAGAACTCACTCACTCTCATGAGAACAGCATGGGGGAAACCATCCCCATGATCCAATCACTCCCACCAGATCCCTCCCTTGACACGTGGAGATTACAATTTCAGATGAGATTTGCTGGGGACACAGAGCCAAACCATATCAAATTTATTACTTGACAATCACTTTTTTTTTTTGAGACAGGGTCTCACCCCGATGCCCAGACTGGAGTGCAGTGGCATGATCTCTGCTCTCTGCAACCTCCTCCTCCTAGGTTCAAGTGATTCTCCTGCCTCAGCCTCCCATGTAGCTGGGATTACAGGCACACACCACTATGCCTGGCTAATTTTTGCATTTTTAGTAGAGAAGGGGTTTCACCATGTTGGCCAGGCTGGTCTTGAACTCCTGACCTCAAGTGATCCACTCACCTCAGCCTCCCAAAGTGCTGGGACTACAGGTGTGAGCAACCGAGCCCGGCCAATAATCACTCTTTATAAAATAAGAATATTGCTTTTTATTTTTTATTTTTTTTAAGATGGAGTCTTGCTCTGTCGCCCCAGCTGGAGTGCAATGACGTGATCTTGGCTCACTGCAACCTCCACTTCCTGGGTTCAAGCAATTCTCCTGCCTCAGCTTCCCAAGTAGCTGGGATTACAGGCGCCTGCCACCACACCCAGCTAATTTTTGTATTTTTAGTAAAGAAGGGGTTTCATCATGTTGCTCAGGCTTGTCTCGAACTCCTGACCTCAGGTGATCCACCCATCTCAGTCTCCCCAAGTGCTGGGATTACAGGCGTGAGCCACCGTGCCTGGCCTAAAGAAGAATATTGTTTAATACAACAACAAAATGTTGAATGAGTGGGCCTCCCTTAGGGGTACACTATTTGTGTGTGTGTGTGTGTGTGTGTGTGTGTGTGTGTGTGTGTGTGTATGTATGTGTGTGTATATATATATATATATCTCTGCTCGCAGCACACACCTGGGTACAGACCATGGTTTACCTCTGTGTGTATGGCAATGGCAGGGAGTGTTTAAGGCTTAGAATTGGGAATTGAAAATTCGGTGGTTATCTTGAAGGAATTTAGCATACAAATAACTAATGTGAATGTAAACTCAAGACATTTATACATATACAATTCCACGGACCTATCTGCAAATGTCCACAATGGGATCCAAGCCAGATACAAACTTCCTCTGACTAATAATTTAACATTAGTCAGTTGCCTGTTGATACTAAGGACACAAAAATGTCTTTGCATATGTGACTTTTTTTTGAGCAATTAGACAGTCAGGTTCTTTAGATCTTCACGTGAATTTATGATGAATTTAGTGGTTAGTAAAAGAAAAACTAAATGCTTAGAAATAAGCTGAAGTAATGAGATTTTCCTCTCATCCTCAGTAGACACAAGTTTTCTTGTTGTGGACACCTCAACAAGAATAAAGGGAAACAGAAATTATAGTTTCAGTATCCACAAATGGGCAACTGTTAGTTGTATTCACTGTTTATTCAGCCATATTACCACTTGAAGAAGCTCTGCTAGGACAATCCAGCAGAAGACAGTTATTTTCAAATGGTGTGAAGATTCCCTTCACTTTGCAAAAAAGAGTCGTAATAGAAGTCTTTATGGAGCATGACTCCTGACTTTTTGAATGAGCAACTCCTCTACAAATATACCTATTACATAAAAGTATATTCATTTGTATAAGAGAGGACTAAGTAACTGAACTATCTTAGACTTCAAGTTCCAGACTTCAGAAAGTTAATGTGTTAAAAATACTAGAGACTGTAGGCTGGGCGTGGTGACTCACGTCTGTAATCCCAACAATTTGGGAGGCTGAGGCTGGGGGATCACTTGAAGTCAGGACCTCGAGACCAGCTTGGCCAACATGGTAAAACCCCGTCTCCACTAAAAAAAAAAAAAAAATACAAAAATTGGCCAGCCGTAGTGGCACATGCCTGTAATCCCACCTACTCAGGAGGCTGAGGCACAAGAATCACTTGAGCTTGGGAGGCGGAGATTGCAGTGAGCTGAGATCATGCCATCGTATTCCAGCCTGGGTGACAGAGCGAGACTCCATCTCAAAAACAAAAAACAAACAAACAAAAACTACTAGAAATTGCAACAACAAATAAACACCAGTAGTCATTCCAAAAAAAAAAAAAAATGCCTGCTCAACATGAATGCATTTACAATTCCCAAGAATTCCTCTTCTATACTCAATCAAATATACTAGATTTATGTTTTACAACATAATACTTTCACTTAAGTTATAAAGGCAGTGTAAGTCTATTAGAAATAATTTGTAAGAAAAATAACTTTTCTTCTATTAACTAAAAGGTAGGCCTAATATTTTTCCAGGATTTGTGTCCACTTATAGTAATGTATACACACAATTACAGGAATTAAAGAACGCATACAGAGAAATGGGAGAGTGGAGAGTTAATTGTACTAAAAACCAGGAATGAAATAGTCACCAAAAATAAACACTAAATTTGGCATCAATTTAGAAATCAAGACAAAAGATAAAATAATCCTAAAGTCTGCAAATTATTTGTCAAGGGATGGAATGTGTTCCTAGGACTAACTTCAAGGAAAATTATATGTGTATATTTATACATATGTATATTTGGCCCCAGTTAAAACACCAAGCAGAATACAATGAATGAATGAGAGCAATGGCTTGGCTAGGTGCTTGGCTTTTCAGCCTGCCTTGCGACATGGTACCCTGAGATGACAGTGGGGAGAGTGGGTTTCTGCAGTGTGTTACAAGTAAAACAGGGCTGTTCTCTACCAAAACATCTCTGTTCTGCAGAATGTGCTCTTTGTCAACATTGTCACCCATAACAACAGGTAGAATAAAGTAGAGAGTTAGTTTGCCATTTGGCAACCCCCCAAGTCCAGCTCCACCACCTATTATCCTACCTGTAAGCAGGTTTCTCAATCTCCCATTTCCAATATCTGAATGATAGAGATAATAATGGATCCTACTCCCTCAAAGGGGGCAGGAAGATTGTGAAGATTAAATGTGTTGACATAAGTTAAATGCATAAGGTGCTGCCAAGCACATACAAGCCAATAGGTTAACTATTTTGTTTGTTACTGAAGGGTCTTGTGCCCTGAACTTCTCTGGTCTTCCAGAGCCTCCCTCCATGGTTTACCACCTGGGCTTGCTCCTGTTCAAGTCACATCAGTCCTCCAGCTCTTCTCAGAGGATCTGTTCTCTATCAAAACACCATTATGCAGAACAGTGCTCTTTTAATAACATTGTCAACCATGACAAAAGGCAGAATGGGGACTGATACCTTGGGGCATCACTCTTCATCTGTGTAACACAGGGTCTTCTGATGATCTAAAGTGGTAACAGGATTATAATGCAAGAGTTGGGGTAGACACTAGGCATCCTCCCACGCTATGCAGAGTCAGATGTGGCTGAACATTCAACCTAGCACTTTTTCCATAAAAGAGATGTGGAAATCAATTTCCAAGAAGATTTCGAACTGCTCGAATTTACACCAAGAGGGTGTTCTACTTTCCTGCTAAAAAGCTTGAGTATTTTTATACAGTCCAGCTTTCCCTCCATAAACAGTTCACCTAAGTCAATTAAAAATTGTTTCCTTTTCTGTGTCATCTTTAAAAGAAAATCAAACACAACCAAGATACAGCATCATGTCCCATTTTCTGTTAAGTTTCATATAGTTTTAGTAACCCTTCCTTCCACCGCTATTGCCAAAAATGCTATATAGTACATGCATTAGAATGTGTTAAAGCAGATCGGGCATGGTGGCTCACGCCTGTAATCCCAGCGCTTTGGGAAGCTGAGGTGGGCAGATCGCCTGAGGTCAGGAGTTCAAGACCAGCCTGGCCAACATGGTGAAACCACTTCTCTACTAAAAATAGAAAAATTAGCCTGGCATGGTGGTGGACACCTGTGATCCCAACTACTTGAGAGGCTGAGGCAGCAGGATCACTTGAATCCGGTAGGCGGAGGTTGCAGTGAGCCAAGATTGCACCTCTGCACTCCAGCCTGAGCAACAGAGAGAGACTCCATCTCAGAAAAAAAACAAAAAACAAAACAAAACAAAACAAAAAAAAACAAAAGAGTGAGTTAAAGCATGTGAAAATAAACTTGGCACATTTCTAAGAATTTTATCACCTGTCCAGAAAGCTCCAGATATAATTGGTCACTATAGGTACAAAAAACAGCAGGACAACTTAAGATTATAACCTGAAAATGGAATTTTTAATGGAGAAAAATCTGTGTCGACTTATACACATAGTGGCCACATACCTACGGGATACAGTCCCCTATTAAAGCGCTGGCCTGTAAATGCTGCTGCACCACAGATTAAAAATGAGTCACAGGACCCTGAATCCTTGGACCCAACTCTCTCCTTCTCTGGTTCTTGACCCAGTGAAGGAGCTGATGATGCTATCATCCTCTGCCCTGCAAGTGTGAGATTTTAATTGCAGCACCCAGGACTTTGTTCCCACTCACTAAGCACCTTACTCAAACAAGTCAGAGAAGAAACACAATGTATTTTTTCTCACCTGTCCAGAACAAGATCTGGAGCAAAGATGAGCTTGCCGGGGTGGTCAATTGAGCGCCACATCAGCCCCATCATTAACACCTCCATCCAACAGCTCTCCAAGAGCCGCACTTGGTCGAACAGGCTGAGCTCCACAAAGCCTGGGGAAAGCAAGAGGCGGTGAGACACCCCCACCCCTCCTCCTCAGCTCCCTGTGTGTGTAGAGACAGAATGGCAAGTGTTAAAACACTAAGAAAACACAAACCATTAGGGAGTTGATATTTTATAGATGTGATTAACTGCTCATTAAAGGAAGAAAACTTTGAAGTTAAGCTGCGCAACTTAGTTTCCAGTCTTGGACCCCTTCTAGAGACAAATATACTTCATTTAGAGTTTGTCAAGCACTACGACCTCGGCTCAGAACTGATCTTTGTTAGCTGTGTCCTGATAATTCCTCTGCACTACTGAGAATGTTGATGCTTGGCTGCCAGTCAGAAGACCTGCCTGTCTGACCCAATCCTTGACTGGGATCAGAAGGGGTGGGGGATGGGGTAGGTGGGGGATGGGGTAGGTGGAGGTTGGGGTTGGAGGCTTGCAGAGAGCAGTGCCAGCCCTCACAGAAAACCAAGGCCTCAACTGCAAGGATTTCTCTGATTGATTAAAATTTCCTATCCAGTGTTAAGATCCTTCTTCTGGGTAGAAGCACTGTTTCTGGGTGATTCTATCCTAAACAGCAAATATAGCCAAGCACACCTGTAATCCCAGCACTTTGGGAGGTCAAGGTGGGTGGATTGCCTGCACCCAGGAGTTTGAGACCAGCCTGGCCAACATGGAGAAACCCCATCTCTACAGAAAATTATCTGGTCATGGTGGCAGGTGCCTGTAGTCCCAGATACTCTGGAGGCTGAAGTGGGATGATCGCCTGAGCCCAGGAGGTCGAGGCTGTAGTGAGCTGAGATCACGCCACTGCACTCCAGCCTGGGCAACAGAGCGAGACCCTGTCTCAAAAATAAATAAATAAATAAATAAATAAAGAGCAAATATAATAACGAAGCAGGTCCTGACAACCTAATAACCCATGTTGGTCACAGTACTGTTTGCAAACAGGTAATCTCTGGGGAGGGAAGCACTTCAAAAGCAAAGCAGAGAACACCGGGGCTTCCTTCACAAGCCATGATAAAAAGAGAGGGCCATGTAATATAAATATGATAACAAAAGACACCGCCTTGGAGTGAAATGGACTCTGGTTCGAACCCCAGCTCAGCCTCTTTCTAGCTGTTCACTTAATCTCCCATTAAGTCTTTGTTTTTCTTATAGGAAAATGGGGGTAACAATGCCTATCTCTGAGAATGTCTTATAGGCAGGATCTCTTATCATTCTTGTTTTACAGATGAGGAAACTACAGCAGAGAGAACACACATGGTTCAAGTCTTTGAACAATTATAACGCAAATCTGCCTCAAGGAGAATGTAATGGTGTTATGAATGTAAAGATGGATAAATACTTTCTAAATCCACATGCTTTGCTCAGTTTAGGTTCCTAATGTGTATATACCTTCCCAGTCTCACCCATAGTGATTGACAATAAGCCTACCCAAGAGAGATCACGGTTCTTAATCTTGTAGATATTCAACAAGATCAAGGCTAGATGATATTTTAATATATATTTTTTGGTTTGGACAATGACTATGCCAGCTAAGAGAGGAGAAAAAAAATCACGCCTTCAGATTATGTCTACGTTTCCTGAAAACTTTTCAAAACACCAGGCTTGAATAAGGAATAATGCAGTTTAAGAGTTCAGATTTCTTATGGCACAAAGAAGGTGCACAGCTTTCAGCAATAATTAATTTCACCACTGCTCTCCATGTGTGGTCCTGCAAAATCGTGTTTGGAATACATTTAAAGCAAAAACTAGAGGAAAGTGCATCAGTATTGCCTCCCCTGGGAAAAAGCAGAGAAAATAAAATAATTCTGGCAAAGGTGAAGATGCTAGACAAAACAAAATACAACTAGAAACCAAAAATCCTCAGGAAGCTCAGAAGAAATGGGCCCAGGCCAACAAAAGTCCCCAAATGATACTGTCACCATAGGCCTCAGTTCCCCAGGCTCTTTACCCAAAACTTCTCTTCCCCCAGCTTCTCACCCCTCCTCATCTTTACAGCTTGCCCAGTGCAGTCGCTGCCCTCCAGGCCATGGGAATGCCCCCAGTGGCTCAGAACTTATAAGAGACTTCATTTCTTCAAGGACTGTAAAGAACAGCATGGAGAAGCTGTCACAGGGGGATCGTGGGGTGTTGCCACTCTAGGTTAGAATCCTAGATTCACTCCTCCACAGAAACACCAAGTCAAATGATAATTAGCTGGTAATTTTAGCATCATACAGCACTTCAGATATATATTACAAATGGGCTTGAGAGAAGTGATCACTTTGGAGGATGGAAAACGCAGGTTCCAAGTGACAACTCATGAGTAACTAAGCTCATTTTTAACTTGATGGCATTCCAGGTTTATGGGCCCATTGATGATTCGTGTAACTTCAACCACTGATTTACTCTGTTTGTCCATACATATTCATTTATGTACATAATATTGATTCTCTACTGGAACAATAATTTACAAAATTCTATTTAGCATCTGACAAACCTTTCACTTTCAAACTAGTCATACTGTACTCTACCCCACCCCTCCTTTCAAGGTGAGGAATCCACAGCCAAGAAATGGGTCAATGTGGAGTCTATCATTTTAACCACGTTCCAGGTTCCAGGACTCTAGGATTCTTGCCCAAATGACCCCAAGCCCAATTCCAGAGCCTAGGTAGGTTCCCTGGGTCCATCCTCCCAGACCACCTCTAGGCATGAGAGGTGGCCAACAGGTGAGTGTCTGTAGCAGATGTGGACACACAGGATAGGGTTTGTGCAAGGTGGTATGGGATGCATCTAGCCATGGGAAAAGAAGGCAGTCAAGAATAGAAATGGCTGGGCCACGCACAACTCTTTCTGCACTACCATGTTGGGTACAGAACTCAGAAGAGTCTCAGAATTCTAAATCAGAACACGGCCTTGTTGAAGGTAGGTATGCCAAGACAGAAGGAAGGAACATATTGCACTTAAAAGTTACAAATCCAGCTGAGGACCTGTTAAATATCTAGGCACAGCTCATGGACCTCTACTTTGTACTCTTGCCCCTTAAATATTAGCGGCCGGCCTTTCTACAAGTACATGGAAAACTGATAGCCAGAAAGCCCTACCGGGAATCTTCTTGGCCCAGCTGATCATGTGTACCAACTCCTTGTCGGCCAACTTGGTCAGGGACATCATCATGGAGGCCTCGGTGAAGGGCGCACTGGGGCGGCTGATCAGCACATGGGGCGGCTCAGCCTCCAGGAGGGTGAGCACTAGCTGCTCGGGGCTCAGGGCGTCCAGCAGCAGCTCCCGCACTCGGGGCGCGTGGCCGCCACTTCTCTTGGCCTTGCCGGCACAGTGCAGCTGCTCGTCGGCACTTCTCTGTCTCCGCACAAGGCGGTACCCACATCTCTCTCTCCGGGAGCCTGAAGAGGAAAGCAGAGTCATTCGAATTGCCAGGGTAAAACCGCAGTCAAGCAAAAGCAGCTTGACTTTTATTTTCTGGAGCCTGTGGGGCACGTACCAAAGATTACTATGGTCGTGACCGTACTAGCAAAACCAACGACATAACTTTTCAGAAACTTTTTAGGTCTCCATTTCCAGGTCATCTATAGATACTAACACCGTTTCTCTATAAAGAGTGCTCATAAACCTGTTTCCAAACCATGAAATTAGGAATTTTCTTCAGGTAGAAAAATGGGGATATTTCCAAAGGTATCAAATAATATACTTTTATTATAACACATTCTTAAAATGTTTATATGCATGTGTGCATATGTATATATTTCCTTATACTTACACAAAACAAGTATATTTCAAATAACAAATTAAGTGAAAAAATCTGAAAAATATAGAAGAGAATAAATTTTGGCATAAACTCTTTCAGTCTTTTTAATGCTTTTATTTTTCTTTTTTCTTTTTTTTTTTTTTTTGAGACGGAGCCTTGCTCTGTGGCCTAGACTGGAGTGCAGTGGTGTGATCTCGGCTCACTGCAAGCTCCGCCTACCGGGTTCACGCCATTCTCCTGCCTCAGCCTCCCGAGTAGCTAGGACTATGGGTGCCTGCCACCATATTTTTCCACGTTTTATACACAAAATTATTTATTTATTTTTGAGACGGAGTCTCACTCTGTCACCCAGGCTGCAGTTCAGTGGCACATTCTTGGCTCACTGCAACTTCAGCCTCCCGGGTTCAAGCGATTCTCCTGCCTTAGCCTCCCAAGTAGCTGGGATTACAGGAGCCCGCCACCATGCCTGGCTAATTTTTATATTTTTAGTAGAGATGTGATTTCACCATGTTGGCCAGGCTGCTCTCAAATTCCTGATTCTCAAGTGATCTGCCCATCTTGGCCTCCCAAAGTGCTGGGATTACAGGCGTGAGCCACTGCACCCAGCCTTTATACACAAAATTAGATTGTAGTATCTACACTATTTTAATTGTATTTTTGAGACAGAGTCCTGCTCTGTTGCCCAAGCTGGAGTGTAATGATGCAATCATAGCTCACTGCAGCCTTCATCTCCTGGACTCAAGCAATCCTCCTGCCTCAGCCTCCTGAGTAGCTGGGACTACAGGAATATGCCACCATGCCCAGCTAACTTTTAAATTTTTTTGTAGAACTAGGGTCTTACTATGTTACCCAGTCCTCAATAGTTTGACTGTTTTCTCAGAACCCATTGGGCATTAAAAATCATTTTTAATGTTTGCTAATCTAACTAAACCATCTCGCTTTACTTTGTATGTTTTAATTACTAGCAAAGTTGATTTATATGCTTGTTCTTTGGATTTACTTTTTTTTTTTTTTTTTTAAGAGACAAGGTCTCTGTCACCCAGGCTGAAGTATGGTGGTACAGTCATGATCACAGCTCACTGCAGCCTCAACCTCCCAGGCTCAAGAGATCCTCCCACCTCAGCCTCCTGGATAGCTGGGACTACAAGTGTGCACCACCACATCTGACTAATTTTTGTATTTTTTGTAAAGACAGGGTCTCACCATGTTGCCCAGGCTGGTCTCGAATTCCTGGGCTCAAGTGATCCTCCTGCCTTGGCCTCTGAAAGTGCTGGGATTACAGGCATAAGCCACCACATCCGGCCCAAGAATTAAGTTTTAGTGATATAGAAACAAGGTGGAACCAAAATAACAAACAATAACATGCAAAATCAGAGAGGAATGATTTTGGTTAGAATTTCTAAGATTCTTTTTTGGGAAGATAGAAGCTTAAATTCTCAAATTAATCAAGAACACGTTACAAAACATAAACGTCATTAAAGGAATTGAAACATGGCCAAACATGGTGGCTCACACTTGTAATCCCAGAACTTTAGGAGGCCAAAGGTGGTTTCGGCGGGTGGGGCGGGAGGGGACGGATCACTTGAGGCCAGGAGTTCAAGACCAACCTGGGCAGCATGGTGAAACCCCATCTCTACTAATAATACAAAAATTAGCTGGGCATGGTGGCAAATGCCTGTAATCCTAGCTGTTTAGGAAGGTGAGGCAGGAGAATCACTTGAACCTGGGAGGCAGAGGCTGCAGTGAGCCAAGATCACACCACTGCACTCCAGCCTGGGTGACACAGCGAGACTCTGTCTCAAAAGATAAAAGGGAATTGAAACAGAATGTATGACTTTTAAACTAGCAAAAGAAGAAAAAGAAAACATAAAAATGTGATCAACTCCTAAAAGGGAAGAAGTAGAAAATACATAATAAAATTTTTTAAATCAAAAAATAAGATGATAGAAATGAACCCAAATATCAGTTATCACAATAAACAAAAAATACCAAATTGACCATTTAAGAGTGACTCTGAAATTATACATATTTTTAAATCTAGACATAGATTAGGTGTAAGAGATATACCTAACATATAGAAAAACAAAGTAGACAGATAGAAAAATATTTAACAGGCAAAATTAACCAAATAAATTGACATTACTCTATTGATACCAGACAAATAAACTTTAAGGCAAAAATTATTATTATAGATAAGGAGACTCATCGCTAGAATATTTTAAAAAGATAAATAATTCTAAACTCATATACTTCAAAACAACAAAGGCCAGGTGCGCTGGCTCATGCCTGTAATCCCAGCAATTTGGGAGGCCAAGGTGGGCGGATCACCTGAGGTCAGGAGTTTGAGACCAGCCTGGCCAAAATGGAAAAACCCCATCTCTACTACAAATACAAAAATTACCCAGGCATGGTGGTGCATTCCTGTAGTCCCAGCTACTCAAGAGGCTGAGGCAGGAGAGTCGCACAAACCCAGGAGGCACAGTGAACCGAGACCGTGCCATGCACTCCAGCCTGGGTGACAGAGCAAGACTTGGGTTGAAAAAATAAATAAATAAATAAATAAATAGACAAACAATAAAACACAGCCTCCAAACACAATACAAAAAGTAACTGAAAGAAAAAGAGAAACTGACAGATGCAGTATTATAACGGGCTATTTAAATCTCTCTCTCAACAGCTGAAAGAGCAAAAAGTCAGAATGCAGAATATTTGAACCACATAATTAACAAGCTTGATCTACAAAGGCCATAGATATTTTGCAAAAATTATCACATGCTAGGCAATGAAGAAAATCTTAAAATAGGTATTATTCAGATCATATTCTCTGACGATAAGAAAAATGGAAATCAACAACAAAAATATAACTTCCAAATCCCTATACATTTGAGCACCAACATCTTTATAAGTTTTCATCGGTTAAAGACAAAAAATGTAAAATGGAAATTAAGAAAGACATGTTGTAAGTAAGG
The DNA here is from genome assembly GCF_000001405.40 of Homo sapiens. Taxonomy (NCBI): domain Eukaryota; kingdom Metazoa; phylum Chordata; class Mammalia; order Primates; family Hominidae; genus Homo; species Homo sapiens. The sequence continues at coordinate 64,264,080 of NC_000014.9, forward strand.
ATGTCATTAGCATGGTTATAACTTTTATATGAATTTCCCTTAAAAAAAGAAACCCTAAAAGTTGAAATCTGCAAAATGCTTGGTTTTATACACCCATCATTATGTTTATTCACTAAATCAATTGTTTACATTTTTAAAAATAAATATTAGTTAGAAAATGTGAGCAAATTTAAATTATTGGCTCCCAGGAAAATTTGTCAGAATTTCCTCTTAACATTGACTAGTTATAGTAGAAGAAAGGGCTCTATTTATTCAGAAAATTTGAACCAAATTTACTGCTAAAAGAATTAAAGGCCTAAAATACAATTCATTTTATTAGTAATCAAGCAGAATGCTAAGGTCAATTATACACCCAGGATAAAATGGAGCAAAATGTATGTTTTTCTTAATTTTTTTAATATACTTTAGGTTCTGGGATACATGTGCAGAACATGCAGGTTTGTTACATAGGTATGCACATGCCATGGCGGTTTGCTGCAAAATGTATAGTTTTAAAAAGCACCTTTCTGCTAGGCAAGGTGGCTCATGCCTGTAATCCCCCAGCACTTTGAGAGGCTGAGGCAAGGGGATCACTTGAGCCCAGGAGTTGAAGACTAGCCTGGGCAACATAGTGAAATCCTGTCTCTACAAAAAATACAAAAATTAGCCAGGCATGGTGGTGCACACACCTGTAGTCCCAGCTACTCGGGAGGCTGAGGTGGGAGAATCAATTGAGCCCGAGGAGGTAAAAGTTGCAGTAAGCCAAGATTGCACCACTGCACTCCAGCCTGGGCTGCAGCAGAGTGATACCCTGTCTCAAAAAAAAAAAAAGAAAAAAAAAAAAGCACCTTTCTGATCATACATTTCTCTTTTGTAGAGTATAGAGTATATAAGGATAAGGAATTTACAAAACAGATTTATATACCCTTTACATACCCAAAGTGAGAGATTTTGAATTCATACGTTCAAATTTACTTGACAAATTTTCACTGACAAAGTCTAACATTCTAGGTCCTGTAGTGAATTCTGGGGGTTCTAGACTCAATAAAGCCCTTGACAAGGAGCTCATTTTTCTATCAAGGATGTTTCTAGTGTTGTGGCTTTGACACTGTAACCTAGGCAGCTGCCTCTGAGTGAGCTTAATGAGCAGCTCCACCAAATCGAGTGCTCCATATTAGGCAGTGGTAAATAGCCCCAGCCAAAGATGATGATGATCGTAGTGATAAATGACACTAAATGGCAGCTAATGTCTACTGGAAGCTTCTATGCACCAGGCATTGCATATTGCACATGTCCTGACAGCTACCCTACAGTACAGGAACTATTACTGTCTCCAATGTACAGAAGAGGAACCAAACATAAGCTCAAATAACTTGTCTAAGATGGCACAGCTAGAAAATAGCAGAAGCAGGATCTAAACCCAAGCAGTAGCCTAAATCCAGAGCTGGTGCTTTTAACCACTATTTTATACTACCCACCTATCAAATCCCTTTCACAGAAGAGTATACAGCAGGTATATAAAGATATGGCACCCAAAATATGTTGAGCTATTGTCCCAATATGGGGATATAGGCCAAATACATGGCTATTCAGAGGGATTTCCTGGCTCCTTACATTTCAGTATATCCTTATAATGAAGTTTCATCCATAAAGTTAGTCTAGGTGGGTGTTGTCCTACCATTATATGACCACATCCATACTTCAGTAGAAAAGACAAGATCAGAAATTCAGAAGAAAAGGGTGATAACAGACTACATGGTTTCAAAATAAAAGAAGCAGGATGGTGCAGGAGGATCCAACAAGCAGGTAGAATCTCTAGTCCTCCAAACCTGATAGAAGAAAAAGCATGCATAGAGGGTTTTGGGGAAGGCAGATAAGAAGAGTGATGGGAAAGGAGAGAGACAGAGTTAAGAAAGTTCATCTCTAATGATCTTTCTCTATGGTCAGTGAAGGGCAAAATATCCCATTGTATATGTGCAACAACCCATCTCATTTCTTCCATAATCTCCAAAGAGAATACAGTCTTTTCTTAGACTTTCTGGCTAAATACAACAACCTTTCTCTCATTCCCTTTTCTATGAAAGCTTCTTTAACTATCCCTCTGTACTCTGTCTCATGAAACAGTGTTGTATCAAAGCTCATATGAGTTTTTCAGGGAAGGAGAGAGAATGGAAGGAAAACTAAAATTGAGTGTCAGATATTGTGCTAAGTCTTCATATATGTTTTCATACTTATTGTTCACAAAACCAAGTGAAGCAGATATCTCTGTTCAGAGACATGAAAACCAAGGGCCAAAGAGGTGATTCAGTAGTTTGAGCACAGTTACAGTCAGCAGGAAGTGATGAAACGAAAATGAAACATAGACTCTATGGGATCCAACCTCCATGCTCTTCCCTGCATACACTGCCTTGAGCCATGAGGGCAATAGCTGTGCAACGGATCCTAGTATAATAAAAGCATTCTTAAGACTAACTTGGAAATCATTTTTTAAACACACACACATACTCACTTTAAAATAGTTTAACTTAAAACTTAAAACATTTATTTGCAATCTTTTGTCAGAGTGCCAAGGCTTTCTCTTTAAGCATCTGGGCCAATTAGACAAAGTCACTTTTCTGCATAAACATACACATAAGATATTATCTCTGGATTTTCAGTTTCAGCCTCTTTAAAACAAAAACAGAGCAAGAACCTAGATACTTCTAAAGAATTCTGAATTCAGGATCTCCCAAGGTTTATGGGTTTTTTTCCCCCAGTCTCACCCATACCTATCTCAATAGCTATTAGTCCTTTAAGATTTTATTCAAAACTTTCAACTAAACTTCCTCCTCCCCCCGCCCCCAGACAGAGTCTCACTCTGTCACCAGGCTGGAGTGTAGTGGCGCGATCTCGGCTCACTGCAAGCTCCACCTCCCAGGTTCAAACTATTCTCCTTCCTCAGCCTCCCAAGTAGCTGGGACTACAGGCACATGCCACCACGCCCGGCTAATTTTTGTATTTTTAGTGGAGACAAGGTTTCACCCTGTTGACCAGGATGGTCTTGATCTCTTGACCTCATGATTTGCATGCCTTGGCCTCCCAAAGTGCTGGGATTACAGGCGTGAGCCACCGCACCCGGCCTTAACTAAACTTTCACAGAAAAAAACCAAACTTGTCTTTTCCTATTCATAATATGTTTGAGTAAATTTTAATTAAATTTTATAATGTAACAATTACAGTGAGTAGAAACAGGTTTGAAAAGAAGCCCACCGGTTTCTGACAAGGATAATGTGAAGCGGTGGGAATGGAAATGTTTAGGTGTTTGAGAGAATAACCAATAATACACGCTGTGAGGCTATGGGCACTGGCAGGATGTTCTACAGAGGAAATGAAGATCATCAGTGACTCTAGGAAGCCAGAGAAGCATGATCAGATGAAGAGAACTTCTGCTGTAACTGAACTATAATAGCTGAGGGTTCTAATCTGTTACATACACAGAGAAAAGAAAAGGGCAGAGAATGCTCACAAGGCAAAGCTACTAAGAAATTGTCAGGGAGGGCTGGGTACAGTGGCTCACACCTGTAATCCCAGCACTCTGGGAGGCCAAGGCAGGCAGATCACGAGGTCAGGAGATCGAGACCATCCTGGCTAACATGATGAAACCCCATCTCTACTAAAAATACAAAAAAAAAAAAAATTAGCCAGGCGTGGTGGTGGGTGCCTGTAGTCCCAGCTACTTGGGAGGCTGAGGCAGGAGAATGATGTGAACCCGGGAGGCAGAGCTTGTAGTGGGCTGAGAATGGGCCACTGCACTCCAGTCTGGGTGACAGAGCGAGACTCCATCTCAAAAAAAAAAAAAAAAAGAAATTGTCAGAGAGTAAAGTGATGGATTTTTGTTTTAAATTTTCAAATAATTACACAGAGAAATTACAATTAACCACAGGTAAAATACTGGCTAGCAGAAGAATAAGTGCAGGCAGAACTGCTCTGAGTACATATAAACAAGCAAGTGAGTACAGACAAGTGAACCAAAATCTAGCCAGGTGGAGAGAGCTGGGTGTTGGCATCTTTGTCAGTTATATACCAAAGTGCTCACTTTTCTTTGTGCATAAAATATATGCGAATGTATGTGAGTGTACAAAATACATGTGAATATATGTATGTGAATATGTTAAATACACATATGTATACACCTATGACTGTCATAGAACAAAATCTATGCTGTATGTACTTTTCATAGTTCCATTATGTTTCTGACTCCTACATATTTTTCTACTTCTAGAAAGCTAGACGAGGGGATAGGTGTGAGCCTCCCCATGGCTACCCCAGTAACCCACAAGATATCCTACTTTTTTGTCACGAGTTTTAACCATGGACATTTACCACGACTTCATCCTTAGAACTGGACTTTTCAAGATCACAGACAGACGGCCACCCAGCCCTGTTTGAGGATTCCAGTGGCTAGAAGTCCCCTAACCCATCTGGTGGCCTATTCTGTGGTCAGACCACTTGAACTCTAGAAAGCTCTTCTCTACCTGGGGCCAAAATCTGCCTCCCATAATCTGTTCCCATTCACCCCAGCTCTGTCCTCTGCAGTTACTGTGGATAAGTCAATGCCCCCTCCAATGTGACAACACGCAAATACTTAATTACTATGTCCCAAATCTTCTCTTTTCCCGGCTACCTGTCCCCAGTTCCTCAGAGGACAGGGCTTTTAGCAAGGCCCATATTCAATAAGAAGGGAAGCAAGCACTCACCACACTTCACCATTCCCACTTCGTAACACTTCCGAAGTCGGCAGGCCTGGCAGCTCTTGCGCCGGTTTTTATCGATTGTACACTGATTTGTAGCTGGACAAATATAATCATTATGTCCTATAGCAGAGTGGGAGGGAAAAAAAGATTATTGCTATGATCTCTTAGTTAAATCTCTTCCTGGTCAACAACACTGATAACACTTTCCAGCTGAGAGATAGGGGACATCTTCTTAATGACCAGTACAGGTACAAAGCCAAAGTCAAGCTACATTGTCACCTTGTTAATGAGTAAAGGAGACCTAGGAACATTTCAATATCCTGGTTTTTTACTAATATGTTATTCTCTGCATATTCTTAGAATTCTCAAAAGAGAGATATAAAAATATATCCTTTGGATGTGGAAAATAAGACTAACATTAAATTGATTTGCTCCAAGTCACAGAACTCAAGAGTTGTAAATCAAGTCATCAAATTCAACTTCTTATATTCTTTTACATATATCCCTCTTTCGGGTTTAATACAATATTTTTATGGGAATTCATAGTCAAATAAAATAACAAAAGGAACAAATAAAGAAATTAGCAATCTAAATAATGACAGAAAGTACTGCTATTGACAAGAGTTGTGGTGGATTACCGTTCTCAATTCTTCATTCTCTCCCTCAGCCTTGCGACCCTGCAGTGTACTAGAGTGCGCAGAGAGCAAACACTTCCCTACCAGTTGATGTTGGGCTTGACCACAGGACTTTTTATAGCCAATGATATATCAATAGATGTGCTGCTCCAACAGTTTGGCTTGGCCTCTTGAGCTCCTGTGAGGTAGCCACTGGTCCAAGAAGAACGTGGGGACATGTGGAACAGACCTGACCTCCCACAAAAGCCCAGAACCAAGTTTATGAAGTAGAGCTACTCTAAACAACTCAAAGACACAGAAGTACAGAAAATAAGGCCCATTGTAGTAAAATCCTAAGAGTTTGAACTTGTTAGTTATATAGCAATCTCTAAGACAATGGTACTTTTAATTCTCTTATGCAAGGAAGAGCTAAGAATATTTATATTTCAAAAATTATTTCAGATGCAGTACGAAGAACCAATCAGAGGCAGCAAAACTGATGAGGCCAGGAGACCAGATGACAGCCTGCTGTAGTTGTGCAAATGAGAGATGTCTGGATGGGGTGTTGGTAGGGAGGATGAGGACAGCTACATGGGTTTGAGAAAGGGTTAAGAAATAGAAATTATAATAAAATAGATGAGAAGCAAAAGTGAAAGTGAATAGGGCATTTTAGTGCCTTTCTAATAAACAATATGGCCTCAACATCTTACATTAAGCCTATAATGAACCAGAATTTCAGTGCGGAGAATAAATGAATCTCAATGATAAATGAAATGAGCAAGTCATAAAAGAAAAAAGTCACAAAATATATGTAGAAGACATGAACACATAAAGTTCAAAAACAGAGAAAATCAACCTGCATCGTTTAGGGATGCACGTGTAGGTGGTAAAACCATACACAGCAAGGAAGGCAGAAAGGAGGACTGTCCCACCTCTGCAGGGAGGGAAGTAGGTGTGGCAGGAGGGACCACCCAAAGGGATTCTGGGCTGCCATTATATTCTATTTCATTGTTTGAGCGCTGGTTACACAGGGATTTGCTCTATAATCATTCTTTAAACTGGACATGTTACATGCAGAATTCTACACATTAGCAAACAATGAAAAGGTAATTTTTTTTTTTTTGAGACAGAACCTTCCTCTGTTGCCTAGGTTAGAGCGCAGTGGCACGATCTCGACTCACTGCAACCTCTGCCCCCCGGGTTCAAGTGATACTCCTGCCTCAGCCTCCCAAATAGCTGGGATTCAGGCACCCACCACCACGCCCAGCTAATTTTTGTATTTTTAGTAGAGACGGGGTTTGGCCGTGTTGGCCAGTCTGGTCTCGAATTCCTGACCTCAGGTGATCCACCCGCCTTGGTCTCCCAAAGTGCTGGGATTACAGGCGTGAGCCACCACAGCTGGCCAGAAGAGGTAATTAAAAAGCTAATTGTAACTCCAATATTGAAACAGTCTTCACAGTCTCTTAGATCTACATGAATCTCTCATGTTGCAAAGAGATATCTGCACTTCCATGTTTGTTGCAGCATTGTCCATTATAATGTAAGCAAAGAAGATGTATATGAAGTACAACGATGTTTTTCAAGCTTTCTAAGGCTCCTTTTCTTCTATTACACTTATATTATTAACTATACTTCATATATTTGATTTCAAACAATAACATCTCTAGTATGGCCCAATTTTATTAAAATACTTTGATTTATCATCTTTTTTTTTTTCCGAGACAGGGTCTCCCTCTGTTGCCCAGGCTGGAGTTGCAGTGGTGTGATCTCAACTCACTGCAACCTCCACCTCCTGAGCTTAAGCAATCCTCCCATCTCAGCCTCCCATGTAGCTGGGACTCCCACTTTCCCCACTCCCACTACCCTTCCTAGCCTCTGGCAACCAACCTGCTACTTTATCCCCACAAGTTCAATTGTTTTCTTTCTTTTTCTTTTTTGGAGACGGAGTCTCTCTCTGTCACCCAGGCTGGAGTTCAGTGGCATGATCTCGACTCACTGCAACCTCCACCTCCCGGGTTCAAGCAATTCTCCTGCCTCAGCCTCCCGAGTAGCTGGGACTACAGGCGCATGCCGCCACACCCAGCTAATTTTTTGTATTTTAGTAGAGACAGGGTTTCACCGTGTTGCCCAAGCTGGTCTCGAACTCCTGAGCTCAGGCAATCTGCCTGCCTCGACCTCCCAAAGTGCTAGGATTACAGGCATGAGGCACTGCAATTGTTTTTATTTTTAGCTCCCACAAATAAGTGAGAACATGGGAGGTTTGTCTTTGTGTGTCTGGTTATTTCACTTAACATGACCTCCAGTTGCATCTGTGTTGTTGCAAGTGACAGGATCTCATTCATTTTATGGCCGAATAGTGGTGTATATGTTCCACATTTTCTTTATCTATATTCACCTGTGGATGGACACTTAGGTTGCTTCCAAATCTTGGCTATTGTGAACAGCGCTGCAACAAACATGGGACTGCAGACATCTCTTCGATATACTGATTTCCTTTCTTTTGGGTGCATACCCAGCAGTGGGATTGCTGGATCATATGGTAGCTCTATTTGTAGTTTTTTGAGGAAACTTCAAACTGTTCTCCATAGTAGTTGTACTAATTTACAATCTGACCAACAGTATACCAGGGTTCCCTTTTCTCTACATCCTCACTAGCATTTGTTATTGCCCATCTTTTGGATATAAGCTACTTTGGGGTAAGATGGTATCTCATTGTAGTTTTGATTTGCATTTCTCTGATAATTAATGATGTTGAACTCCTTTTCATATACCCATTTGCCATTTGTACATCTTCTTTTGAGAAATGTTTACTCAGCTCTTTTGCCCATTTTTAAATTGGATTTTTAAGTTTTTTTGTAGAGTTGTTTGAGCTCCTTCTATATTCTGATTGTTAATACCTTGTCAGATGTTTGCAGATATTTTCTCCCATTCTGTGTGTTGTCTCTTCACTTCATTGATTGTTCCTTTGCCATGCAAGCAGTTTTTTAACTTGATGTGATTCCATTTGTCCACTTTTACTTTGGTTGCCTGTGCTTGTGTGGTATTATTACTCAAGAAATATTTGCCCCACCCAATGTCCTGGAGAGTTTCCCCGTGTTTTCTTTTAGTAGTTTCATAGTTTGAGGCCTTAGATTTAAGTCACTGATCCATCTGGACTTGATTTTTGTATATGGTGAGAGATAGGGATCTAGTTTTATTCTTCTGTACATGGATATCCAGTTTTCCCAGCACCATTTATTGAAGAGACTATTTTCAAAAATGAGTTAACTGTAGATGTATGGATTTGTTTCTGGGTTCTCTATTCTGTTCCATTGATCCCTATGTCTGTTTTAGGCTAGTACCACGTTGTTTTGGTTGCTATAGCTCTATGGTATAATTTATAGTCAGGTAATGTGATTCTTCCACAGTTTTGATATTTTTGCTCAGAATAGCTTTGGTTATTCTGGATCTTTTGTGGTTCCATACAAATTTTAGGGTTGTTTTTTCTATTTCTGTGAAAATATCATTGGTATTTTGATAAAATTGCACTGAATCTGTAGATTGCTTTGGGTAGTATGGACATATTAATTCCTCCATTCCATGAACATGGAATATCTTTCCATTTTTTTTGTCCTCTTCAATTTCTTTCACCAGTGTTTTATAGTTTTCATTGTAGAGAACTTTCACTTATTTGGTTAATTCCCAGGTATTTTATTTGTAGCTACTGTAAATGAGATCACTTTAGATTTTTTTTTCAGATTGTTTGCTGTTGGCATATAGAAATGCTACTGATCCTGCAACTTTACTGAATTTATTAGATCTAATAGTTTTTTGGTGGAATTTTTCAATTTTTCCAAATATAAGATCATCAGCAAACTAGGATAATTAGACTTCTTCCTTTCCAATTTAGATGCCCTTTATTTCTCTTTTCTGATTGCTCTAGCTAGGACTTCCAGTACTATGTTGAATAACAGTGGTGAAAGTGGGCATCCTCGTCATGTTCCATATAGAGGAAAGGCTTTCAGTTTTTCTCCATTAAGTGTGATACTAGCTGTGGGTCTGTTATATGTCTGTTATTGGGCTGAGGTATATTCTGTCTATACCCAGTTTTTTAAGGGTTTTTATCATGAAGGGATGTTGAATTTTATCAAATGCCTTTTCAGCATCAATTGAAATTATATGGTTTTCCACCTTCATTCTGTCGATATGGTGCATCAAATTAATTTGCATATGTTGAACCATCCTTGCATCCCTGGGATAAATTCCACCTGGTTATGATGAATAATCTTTTTAACGTGTTGTTGCATTTGGTTTGTATTTTATTGAGGATTTTTACATCAATATTCATTGGGGATATTGGTCTGTCATATTCTTTTGATGTTTCTTTGGTTCTGGTATCACGGTAATACTGGTCTCACGGAATGATTTTGAAATTATTCCCTCCTCCTTCTCTATTTTTCAGAATTGTTTGAATAGGATTGGCATTAGTTCTTCTTTAAATGTTTGGTAAAATTCTGGATGAAGCCATCAGTCCTGGCTTTTCTTTGCTGAGAGACTTTTTTTTTTTTTTTTTGAGACCTGATCACACTCCATCACCCAGGCTAGAATGCAGTGGTGCAATCTTGTCTTACCACAGTCTTGACTTCCCGGTCCCAAGCTATCCTCCCACCTCAGCCTCCTGAAGAGCTGGGACTACAGATGCATACCACCACACCTGGCTAATTTGTAATTTTTTTTTTTTTTGTAGAGATAGGGATCTCTGTGTGTTGTCCAGGCTAATCTTGAACTCCTGGGTTAAGGTGATCCTCCTGCCTTGGCTTCCCAAAGTGCTGGGATTATAGGTATGAGCCATTGTGCCCAGCTTGCTGGGAGGCTTTTTATAACAGCTTCAATCTTGTTACTTGTTACTGGTATGTTCAGGTTTCGGATTTCTTCATAGTTCAATCTTAACAGTATGTATGTGGTCTAGGAATTTATCCATTTCTTCTAGGTTTTCCAAATTATTATCATATAGTTGCTTATAATAGCCTATAATGATCCTTTAGATTTCTGCGGTATCAGTTGTAACATCTCCTTTTTCATCTGATTTTATTCGACTCTTCTATCTTTTTTTTAAAAAAATTAGTCTGGCTAAAGATCTGTCAGGTTTATTTTCTCAAAAAAACCTTCATATTTTGTCAATCTTTTGTGTTGTTTTCTTGGTTTCAATTTCATTTATTTCTGCTTTGATCTTTTTATGAATATTTCTTTTCTTCTATTAATTTTGGGTTTGGCTTGCTCTTGCTTTTCTAGTTCTTTAAGATACATCATTAAGTTGTTTACTTCAAGATTTTCTACTTTTTAGATGTAGGCACTTAAGCTATAAACTTTCCTCTTAGTACTGCTTTCACTGTATCCTATAGGTTTTGGTATGTTGTTTCCATTACCATTTGTTTCAAGAAATTTTTAATTTCCTTCTTAATTTCTTCATTGACACACTGGTTGTTCAGGAGTATATGGTTTAATTTCCATGTTTGTATAGTTTCCAAAATTCTTTATTGATTTCTAGTTTTATTCCATTGTGGTCAAAGAAGGTGCTTGATTTGATTCCAGTTTTTTTGAATGTTTTAACACTTGTCTTGTGGCCTAATATATGGTATATCCTTCAGAATGATCCATGTGCTGAGGAAAAGAATGTGTATGTTGCAGCCACTGGATGAAATATTCTGTAAATATCTATTAGGTCCATTTGGTCTTTAGTGCAGATTAAATCTGACATTTCTTTGTTGATTTTGTGTCTGGATGATCTGTTCGATGCTGAAAGTGGAGTGTTAAAGTGTCCAGCTATTACCATATCAGTCTGTCTCTCTCTTTAGCTCTAATAATATTTGCTTTATATATCTGTGTGCTCCAGACATATTTACAATTGTTATATTCTCTTGCTGAATTGACATCTTTATTATTAGTGACCTTTTTTGTCTCTTTTTATAGTTTTTGTCTTGAACTCTATTTGGTCTGGTCTAAGTATAGCCACTCCTGCTCTTTTTTGGTTTCCATTTGCATGAAATATTTTTCCATCCCTTTATTTTCAATCTACATGTGTCTGAGGTGGGCTGATCTCCTGAGGTCAGGAGTTCGAGACCAGCCTGGCCAATATGGTGAAACCCCATCTCTACTAAAAATACAAAAATTAGCCAGGCGTGGTGGTGGGTGTCTGTAATCCCAGCTACTTGGGAGGCTGAGGCAGGAGAATCCCTTGAACCTGGGAGTCGGAGGTTTCAGTGAGCCGAGATTGCACCATTACACTCCAGCCTGGATGACAGAGTGAGACTCTGTCTCAAAAAAAAAGAAAAAAAAAGTTGTAGTTATTGTTTTTCATTGGTTCTTCCTTTAGACTTTCTACTCAAAATATGAGGTTACAAACCACAATTAACAGTGTTATATTATTCTGTGGTTTTCTATGTACTTACTATTACCAGTAATGAAAATAGGTAAATTTTATTGTATGCATATTATATCTCAAACTCAACTTTTAAAAATTGGCTCCCATATTTTAAATCAATGAAAAATGAATGGATTTATTAAGTAAAATGATGTGGAGAAAATTAACGAGAGATAAATACATTTGGTTATTTCATTCAGTATGCCAAAATAAATTTCTTTTGAATTAAATAATAAAATGTAAAAACAAACTATTAAATAACAAAATATGCGCAAAAGTTTATATAATGCCTGGGTATGAAAGGACTTTTTTTAGGCTTAAAAACTATACACAAAACTATCAAAGTTGGTAATATTTGACTATTTAAAGATTAACTATTTCTGCATATCAAAATCAGAGTCAAGTGGAAAAAATATTTGTCATACATGTAATAATAGGTTAATATATAAAGCACACAATAAATTTATCAAGCAAATGCCAGAACCCAATATAAAAACGGGCAAAATCTCTGAATAAAGAAGATAAAAGAGAAAATACAAATGGCAGATAGATTTATGAGAAAACATTTACCTCACTAATAAAGAGAAGCAAATTGAAACCAAAAGATACTATACATCACGTATCAATGTAGCAAGGTTTTTTTCTTTTTGATAAGAGTCAATGCTACCAAGAGGTTGGAAAAAGCGACACTCACACTGCTGGTAAAAGAGCAAGTCTGTACAACCTTCTTAAGACTTGAACACTTGAAAACATCTGTCAAGAACTTTAAACATTAATGCACTCTGACCCCACAGATTTGTTCTAAAAACATATCCAGAGAAACTTATTTTTTTCAAAACTTCATGAACAAATAAAGTAACCATAGCATTAAAACAATGAAAATAATTGATAGGGCCTTCAATAATAAAGAGTTAAATAAATTAAATCTGATCATAAGATAGAATATTACACAGTTGTGCAGTTGTGAAAAGGGTCTCTGGAAATTTAACAACAGAAATGCTTATACGACAATATTAAGTGAAAAATGATACAGAACTCTGTGTATAAGCCCAATTAATTTTGAAAAATCATATTCAAGGAATTGGTAAGTGCCACTAGTGAACAAAATGGACAAAAATCCTTGCCCTCATGGAATCTATAATCTATTGTCTTGTTCACCACTGCATCCGTAGAGCCTGGTACAATGCTCAATAAATATTTGTTAAATGAACACCAATAGGAAAGAGAACAAAAAGTAAAGGATAAGCTCAAAAAATAAGCCATGCTGTCATCTGGACCAGATGAAGTGATGAGGTCCTTCTCCCTATGTCCTCCTTCCTCTGTGCTCCATAACCCAGTAGAGAAACAACAGCACTTATCACTCTGATGGCAACTCATTGTGTGAAGAAGCCAACAAAGTATCAATGGAAAAGCAAGCACAACACAGCTTCCAGTGCATTTGTACAGTGAAGGGGACAGGTACATGACTAAGATATGGTCAATTAGCTTATAAATCAAGTTAGCAAGACAAGTTTAAAATTATAAAAAACATAAGAATGGGCCAGGTGCGGTGGCTCACACCTGTAATCCCAGCACTTTGGGAGGCCGAGGCGGGCGGATCACAAGGTCAGGAGATCGAGACCATCCTGGCTAACATGCCGAAACCCTGTCTCTACTAAAAATACAAAAAATTAGCAGGGTGTGGTGGCCAGCTCCTGTAATCCCAGCTACTTGGGAGTCTGAGGCAGGAGAATGGTGTGAATCTGGGAGGCAGAGCTTGCAGTGAGCCGAGATTGTGCCACTGCACTCCAGCCTGGGTGACAGAATGAGACTCCATCTCCAAAAAAAAAAAAAAAAAAAAAAAAGTTACATGCAAGGAATTTCTCAATACTGTACCATCCTGGCCTATTTGAGACAATTTTAAAAATAAGTGGCCACTTTCAGTTACTGTAATGCACTTATATCAAAGACAGGAAGCATGCAAAGAAAGGATCATTTAGGCACTACAACTGTACAACTGTAACAGCTTTAACTCTTTCCTCTTTGCACATTTAGAATTTGACATTCCTGTCTGATGCAGCAGGAAGGAAGAAACAACATAGAGAAGCAAAGGAAATTTACTTTCAATTGTTATTAGCTGTAGTCTCAGGGGTCAAAGATGTTTCAAGCAGACCAATGTTTCCCCAAAAGCAAAAAAAAAAAAGAAGGATCTCTTTTTAAAAGATATGGTTAGTAGTAATAGGTCCAAACGTTCTTAAGGGGTAAAATCCTAGAAACTCAGCAAGATACAAAATAGTCATCGTATCAAGAATTCAGTTCAGAATTTCAGAAAATCAATATTGTTCTTATCATATAGCCAGGAAATGGACTTGGCCTTATAATCTACTGTTAAGATTGTCACAAATAAAATATTTGAGCACTGAATATGTTTTCATATAATCAACCTTATTTCATCTTTAGAAAATCCCTATGAGTATCTCCATTTCACAGAGGAGGAAACAGGCTAGGAGGTGAAGTCGCAGAGCTAGTAATTATAAAATCCAGGACAAAGAGGCTGCCATTCATACAGGGTGAATTTCAGGGGACAGGTAGGAAGGTGACTACCAACATTTCACTCCTCACCATATCCTGGATTCTATCAGTATTTCTCTGCTTAAGGTAAAACATCCTCTTAGAGTTATCAATGGGTGAGTTAATTTAGTAAATTGCTATTTGCCATTTACACACTATGAATTCTCTCAACGTTGCTTTTCTTAACTGGCAAAGAACAAAGCATTGGGGCTTTGATAGAAAAAGGAAGGGAGCTTTCAGATGGAAACATAGGGTGTTGCCTGGGAGGGAGCAGTTGAGGGACAGGTTATGGGGCAAATAGAGAAAACAAGAGTAAGCAAGAAAGTGACTTCAGCAAATCAGGGCTGGTACGAGAGAAGGAGTGTAGCAAAGACACATGCAGGGAGATGAGCTGACCAGCCTTGAAATCAGGGGTGCACAACTTGAAGTTTATAAACCAAAAAATAAAATTCTAAGGCCCCTCAACCATCTGAATGGGTCCCTCCTCTTGGCCAAGGGCATTACAAAGTTAACCTGAAAAATAAGTTTAGGCCATGATGGAACAAGGGAGACAGACATGGTTCATTATACCCTCCCTCCCCTTTTGGAATCACTGATAGAACAGACCCTTTAAGACCCCTAAGAAATATTTACAATCTATTCTCTCTGAAGCCTGCTACCTGGAGGCTTCATCTGCATGATAAAACCTTGGTCTCCACAATCCCTTATTGTAACCCAATCATTGCTTCCTACTGATAATAATTCTTTCAATCAATTGCCAATCAGAAAATCTTTGAACTGCCTGTGACTTGGAAGCCCCTGCTTTCAGGTGTCCTGCCTTTTCAGGCTGAATCAATGTACATCTTACATGCATTGATTAATGCCTTATGTCTCCCTAAAATGTATAAGACCAAGTTGTGGCCTGACCACCTTGGGCACATGTTCTCAGATCTCCTGAGGGCTATGTCACAGGCCATTTGTCACTCATATTTGGCTCAGAATAAATCTCTTCAAATATTTTACAGAGTTTGATTCTTTTCATCAACAAGTTGATTTAAAAAAAAAAATCCAGAAGGCGTTTAGAGAAAGTTAGGGAAATAATCTAAACACAGCCCAGAAAACAAGGGGATTGTGAACTGAGACCCTCCTAGCCTAGGGGAAGAAATGTGTCTAGATCAATTCTCAAAGTCCACTGTAGCTGAATTCCTGATTTCTGACCATTTCCAAAAAATGTGTTTATTCTTTCTTCCTCAGGAGCCAGCCCACCATCATGACTGTTAAGCATGCTATATATTAAATTTAAGTAAAAGAAAGAAACAATCTTTGCAACTCCTTGTGAGCACATTTTTTCCAAGAGACATCTTCACAAGGTTGTAACTCGATGTCTTCTATCCAACACCCATGTGGGTGAACGAGGGGTAAGACCCATTCGAGTTGGCTGTATAATCTTGGGGTTCTGGGGTAGAAATCTGCAATTCCACCCCACCACCCAACCCACTTCCAAACACACATGATCCTCTGAACTGCTCATCAAATACTTTGTGTGCCAAACAGGCCAGTAGTGACATTTCTGCCAAGTCATCTCTGCAAAATTGTTTGAAATCAAAAGTAGGAAACTAAAGAAGCAGTTAACAATTCTCTTGTACCTTGAATGCTTCTTTTAAAAAAGGCCTTACATCCTTCACACGACCAGACTCCATAGTGATATCCCGATGCGTAATCGCTGCAGACAGCGCAGAAGTGAGCATCCCTCTTTGAACCTGGACCAGTAACAGGGCTGGCGCAACGGTTCCCACTAACCTTCCTTTTCAGTGTCTCTCTAGGGAGCAAAGAAAATATCCATTGAACAGAGCATAAAAGGGAAAGGAAGGGCTTTCTAGGAAAAAAAAATAGCATGAACATTGCCTAATTTAATCTCTTTTTCCTCCAGGGTTCCTGGTAAATATATTCCCGGAAATCTGATACAGCAAAGCTTTTGATACTGATATCATATCTACAAAGAGCCACGCTGTGGGGAATGACTAATGTTTGAAAGTGGGTAGGTGAGTTTATGCCCATCCACGTGATGCTGATGAGCATTTGTCACTGCCGAAGACCAGTCATAGCCATGGGGTGGGAGCTACATCTCTAAGTGTAATGAAAGGAGTGGCCAGATCAAATCTTACCCACAGGTCTGAACCACAGGCAGGATATGCATTGGTCTTCTGTAGTTACTAGAGTTCACGAATGCTGCATGGATGGGTGTGAAGGCATTCAACCACTTCCAAACATCAGTCATTCCCAACAGCATTGCTAAGCAGCCCTTCAGACATTTGAAGTTCCCATTTAAATGGAGAACAAACATCTCACACTCTGCAATTTCAGATAAAGGTCTAGATTTAAAATAACTTTCAGGTTGGGCGCAATGGTTCATGCCTGTAATCCTAGCACATTGGGGAGCCAAGGTGGGCGTATCACCTGAGGCCAGAAGTTCGAGACCAGCTTGGCCAACAAGGTGAAACCCTATCTCTACTAAAAATACAAAAATTAGCCAGACATGGTGGTGCACACCTGTAATCCCAGCTACTTTGGAGGATGAAGCAGGAGATTGCTTGAACCCGGGAGGCAGAGGTTGCAGTGAGCCAAGACTGTGCCACTGCACTCCAGCCTGGGCAACAGAGTGAGACTCCATCTCAAAAAAATAAAATAAAAATAACTTTAAGAGGAATAACAAATGGACTTTAAGTTACCTTGAGATGAATGTGAGACAAGAAAAAGGGGGAAGAGAAGAGAAAGGGAGAGAGAAAAAAGAAGAGAGAAGAGAAGAGAGAGAACAAGCAAGTGCCTGGCCTGGAAAGGCTTGGAAGGAAGCAGAGGCTCAATGCTGGACCACAGGCAAGAGGTTCATAAAGGAACGAAAAGTCTAACAAGGGATCCCCAGGCAGCCTCCAAAACACATCTGGCTAGTTCCTGATGTTGCCAGGCATGGTTCTTTTGGAAAGGGAATGGTAAAGGTATTATTGATTTATAAATGAAGGTAATTATATAATGGATTAATTTGCCCAAAAATTAGCAGAACTTTGATTATAATTCATGCTCAGAAACAAAATATGTCTTCCTTTAAAGGAGGAAGGAGAAAAAAAAAACAAACCATTACTTTAAAAAAGTTATCCACAATGTTTATATTCTCTTTACCAATGAGTAAAATGTTTTTAAAAGAAGAAAAATAATGGTGCAATGTTACTGTCTCAAAGTTTTATGATAATATTTGAAAGTAGTGAATTTCAATATCCAACATGCCCTTAGTACTTTTAGATTTTTATCTCCCCCTCTCCTTTCTCATTATACTATCCATTCCCTTCATACCTATGATTATCATTAGAAATATTAATAATTAGATGGAAATAATCCATTATGTTACCTTGCATTTAAAGAGTACACATATCCTTTTTAACTTCAGGGAATGTCAACTGAAGCCTAAACTTCAATAGTTTCCACCAATCTTTATATAATGTTATTATTTTAGTTCATGGTTAAAAAGCTTATACCAATCATCTATCTTTTCATGCTTCGCATGTCTAGAATTTCATTTAAGTTGTAATACTATCACAGTTACTTTTATCCTGGAAACAATTTGTCATGAACATTAAATTGTGGTTTCACTATAAGAAGACTTTGAAACTGAAAGTAAAGTAAAAATTCATTTTTCAAATCCAAATAACTCCATTAAGAGTGACTTAAGTTCAGACCAGGCACAGTGTTCATCACGTCTGTAATCCCAGCACTTTGGGAGGCCAAGGCAGGTGGATCATTTGAGGTCAGGAGTTCAAGACCAGCCTAGCCAACATGGTGAAACCCTGTCTCTACTAAAAATTTAAAAAATGAGCTGGGCGTGGTGGCACGCGCCTGTAATCCCAGCTACTCGGGAGACTAAGGCACGAGAATTGCTTGAACCCAGGAGGTGAAGGTTGCAGTGAGCCGCAATCGTGCCATTATACTCCAGTCTGAGTGACAGAGCGAGACCCTGTCTCAAAAAAAGAAAAGGAGTGACTTAAGTTCAGTATTTACTGTATAAAGACAATAGTCATGATAGCAAATTCTCCCCACAACACTGATGTACACATACCAGTTTTTAATGAGAACTAAAATATCAGAATAGAACAGGGCATCCTGTGTTTTGGGTGCTGTAAGTAAACTATGTAATTAATACAATAAAGACCTTGTCTAACATATTATTTCCTTCTCACTCAACCATAAAGTGATTTGAGAAATGGCTAGCAACTATAATTCAGAATGAAGACTGGACTTACCTGTTTACAGGTAAGGTGTGTTCTAGCGATCTTGCTTCACACCAGGGACTCTTTTGAGGTTCCGCATACAGATGTGATAACTGGCGATGGACCACTAAAGGAGAAAGGTGCCCAGGTGTTGGCCACAACACATTTGGGCTTGTGGTCTGCCGACCAGGCCCACCTTCCAAGTTAGTGACATTGCTGGGAATGCTGTAATTCATCACAGCAGGGCTATAGAATGTCATGGCTGGATATTCATGGTGGCTGTCTACATAGGAGGAAGGTATGTATATGGAGCCGTGCTCCAGGGGTAAGATGGATTGACTGCAGTTGTAGGAGGAAGGAGAATTAAGGCTAGATGGTGAGTTTTTTATATCCATGTCTTGAGATAACAGCTGAGAAAACACCTTGCAAGAAGAGGCACAAAGGTCATTATAATGTTCTCAAAGATTCGTGGGCAAGTATAATGGCTGTAAAGAAACACAGAAGATATTGCCAAGTTAGAGCTACAGCTGTTAACTATGAAAATTTAAATATTTTCATTAAAAAAATACATACGTTTGTATGAGATTACAAATACATCCTGAAAAATATACATGAAAATATTAACCTCAGAGGAGTGGGAATGTGAGGCATGAAACTCACATTTTCTGCTTCATTCATCTCTTCATTGCTTGTTTGTTTAATCAAGAGTTTAAGCACAAGAGTTTAATCACGAAAATTTATTATAAAATAGTCTTTAAAACCAAAAAACACAGGATTAAATAAAAATGAAAGTTCTTATGGAAAAATAAGCAAGAATAACCAAGTAAACGCTAAGAGAAGATCAATGAGCAAGGCTAGTCTCAACCAATATTAAAATACGCTATGAGGCCAAGCGTAGTGGCTCACGCCTGTAATCCCAATACTTTGGGAGGCTGAGGTGGGCAGATTACTTGAGGTCAGGAGTTCGAGACCAGCCTGGGCAACATGGTGAAACCCCGTCTCTACTAAAAATTAGCCAGGAATGGTGGCATGTGCCTGTTGTCCCAGCTACTCAAGAGGCTGAGGTGTGATTGCTCAAGCCCAGGAGGCAGAGGTTGTAGTGAGCAGAGATTGTGCCACCGCGCTCCAGCCTGGGTGATAGAGTGAGACCCTGTCTCAAAAAAAAAAAAAAAAAAAAAAAAAGAGAGAAATTACCATTTCCGAAAAAAGTTTTTAAAAGAAAGAAAACACATTATGAATCTCCAATAATAAAAAACAATGGGTATTAGCTGAAGAGACTGACCAGTGTAACTGTGTCACTTATCAATCTGTTGCTTCTCAGTTTTGTTTTGTTTTGGTTTTGTCTTTGTTTTTGAGACAAGGTCTCACTCTGTCACCCAGGCTGGAGTGCAGTGGCATGATCTCGGCTCACTGCAACCTCCTGCCTCCCAGGTTCTAGTGATTCTCCTGCCTCAGCCTCACGAGTAGCTGAGACTATGGGTGCGCACCACTGTGACTGGCTAATTTGTTGTATTTTTTAGTAGGGATGGGGTTTCACCACGTTGGCCAGGCTGGTCTCAAACTCCTGATCTCGAGTGATCCACCTGCCTCGGTCTCCCAAAGTGCTGGGATTACAGGCATAAGTCACCATGCCTGGCCTACGTATCAGTTTTGAATGTGCCCTTCAATTTATGCTCTAAAAAACAGAATTTTTGTATGTAAAGTGAGCACAAGGCTGGGGGTGCTGGCTGATTACAGGCAAATCTTTTTTTTTGAGATGGAGTTTCACTCTTGTTGCCTAGGCTGGAGTGCAATGGCGCCATATCAGCTCACTGCAATCTCTGCCTCCCAGGTTCAAGCAATTATCATGTCTCAGCCTCCTGAGTAGCTGGGATTACAGGCATACACCACCACACTAATTTTTGTATTTTTAGTAGAGACAGGGTTTCACCGTGTTGGCCAGGCTGGTCTCGAACTCCTGACCTCAAGTGATCTGCCTGTTTCGGCCTCCCAAAGTGCTGGGATTACAGGCATGAGCTACCATGCCCGGCCACAGTAATAGACAATTAATACAATATCTGAGGGGTAATTCATCACTTTCTTTCCCAAAACCACTCATTTCCTATTTGTGTTAATAGAAAAAGCCCATCATAGTTACCTTTGACTTCTCCCCTTGACTCAGTTAACTTTACTCATCAAGGCACATTGGCTTTTTTTCCCAATGCCTTTTTTCCACTGTCTTTTGCTGCCATCTTGAAGTAAGCTCTCATTATCGCATTACTTTTTTTTTTTTTTTTTGAGACGGAGTCTCGCACTGTCACCCAGGCTGGAGTGCAGTGGCGCAATCTCGGCTCACTGCAACCTCCACCTTCCAGGTTCAAGCGATTCTTCTGCCTCAGCATCCCGAGTAGCTGGGATTATAGGCGCCCGCCACCACGCCCAGCTAACTTTTTGTATTTTTAGTAGAGACGGCGTTTCACCATGTTGGCCAGGCTCGTCTTGAAATCCTGACCTTGTGATTTGCCCGCCTCGGCCTCCCAAAGTGCTGGGATTACAGGCGTGAGCCACTGTGCCCGGCCAGCTCTCATTACTTCTTATCAGTGCATCTGTAACAGGCTTCTTACTGCTCCTCGTCCCCAGTTAGCTTCTCCTCCAGATCCATAGAGTTGTCAGATTCATGTTCTTAAAACCCAGCTCTCTGCTTCCCACCAAACTCTAAGTCACATTCTTCGAGCATTCAAGGGATGCCACTATGTTGCCTCAACCCATCATTCCACACGAATCTCCTGCTGTTTTCTTACAGAAAACCTGCTATGTCCATTAAGAAACATGCAAACTGCATTGTGAGGTGGTTGGCTTGTTATACCTTCACACTTTTTTTGCTCATAGCACCCCTTTAATCACTTACATACAAACCTAATCCTGCTTATCAGAACTACCTTGAACCCTTCTTCAAAATGATAGAGGTGCATAGGAGAGTAAGAAGTAAAGTCAATGCCTGTAATCTCAGCACTTTGGGAGGCCGAGGTGGGTGGATCACATGAGGTCAAGAGTTTGAGGCCAGCCTGGCCAAGATGGTGAAACACCATCTTCACTAAAAATACAAAAGTTAGCCAGGCGTGGTGGTGCATGCCTGTAGTCCCAGCTACTCGAGAGGCTAAGACATGAGAATCACTGAATCTGGGAGGCGGAGGCTGCATTAAGCTGAGATCGTGCCACTGCACTCCAGCCCAGGTGACAGAGTGAGACTCTGTCTCAAAAAAAAAAAAAAAAGAAAAAGAAAAAGAAAAAAAAAAGGAAATTCAGATTTTTAGCTCCTTGAAAGCAAGTACCATTTCTTACTCACCTTGCACTGAAACTCAATCAATATTTGTCATAAGGAAGTGAGGAAATGTGTTCAAAATGTAATATTTCACCAAGTCAAGGACATTAAAGATGGGGGGTGCTGCAGTAGGCATGGTAGTATGCTGAGAAAAGGGACTTCAAGGAGTTCTGGGACATACACCCTGCCTTCAGGGAGCTAATGTACCAGGAAGAGGCAGGACAGACCAGGTAAAATGATAAGGAACTAACACCAAAGTGGTACCACTTCCAACCAACATTGTAAATCAAAAATTTGGACCAAGGAGAGGAGAGAGAATGGTAGCTGGAGAAGGATATAGGATCAAGGAAGGTTTGGTGTTTGGGTTTTATTTTAATACTATATGTAATTAATAATGAGTATGGAATTTTATATTTCATTTTTTTTTTACATGGAGTTTCGCTGTGTCACCCAGGCTGGAGTGCAGTGGTACAATCTTGGCTCACTGCAACCTCCGCCTCTTGACTTCAAGTGCTTCTCCTGCCTCAGCCTCCCTAGTAGCTGGGATTACAGGTGCCTACCACCATGCCCAGCTAATTTTTTGTACTTTTAGTAGAGATGGGGTTTCACCATGTTGACCAGCCTGGTCTTGAACTTCCGACCTCAAATGATCCACCCGCCTTGGCCTCCCAAAGTGCTGGGATTACAAGCGAGAGCCACCAGCCAGAATTTTGTATTTTAATTACTTAGATTCCTGATCAACATAAACAATTCCTTATTCTTAACAGAAAATATGCAGGATAAAACATATAGTGATAACTATTGCCAAAACTAGCAGTTTCTAAAGTGGTTTTTTGTTTTGAAATGAAATCTCACTCTGTCACCCAGGCTGGAGAGTGCAGTGGTGTGATCTCGGCTCATTGCAACCTCCACCTCCAGGGTTTGAGGCGATTCCCCTGCCTCAGCCTCACAATTAGCTGGGATTATAAGCATGCACAATTAGGCCAGGCTAATTTTTGTATTTTTAGTAGAGATGGGGTTTCACCATGTTGGCCAGGCTGGTCTTGAACTCCTGACCTCAAGTGATCTGCCCGCCTTAGCCTCCCAAAGTGCTGGGATTACAGGTGTGAGTCACCGTGCCTGGCCTGAAGTTGTTTTTTTTTTTTTCTTTTTTAATTGTGTTAAAATACATGTAACATAAAACTTACCATCTTAGCCATTTCTAAGTATAAAGTTCAGTAGTGTTAAGGATATTCACATTATTGTGCAACCAATCTCTAGAACTCATTTCATCTTGCAAAACTAAAACTCTCTGTTAAACAAATTCCCCACTCCTCCCTTCCCCCAGCCCCTGGCAACCACCAGCCTACATTCTGTCTCTATGGATGTGATGACTCTGGGTACCCAGCAGTGGTGAAACCAACTATCAGACCCCACCAACAAATGACAAATGCCAGGATACACCTAGCCAATCAATCAGGTGCATGGCAACTTTGCTTAGAAAATACAGATCTCACATCTCAACATATCACCAATCAACTTCTGTAGAATTTCCACATATCCCCAGAAGGATGATAATTAAAGTTAGAGAACTGACTTCTGGAGAGTCATTAAAAGGCTAGGTGCTTTTTGTTTGGATATATTTCAGATATATCAGATTCACATGATTCACAGATTAACTCTTTGTCAGTGGCATCTTGAATAGTTAGGTACTTGGTAGCCAATGCAAAGAGTTTTTCTTCCTAAGCAGAGCCATAATAAGGGGAAGAAATGATGAACTTACACCATTGTAATAGTTCTCTGAGACAGGAGAACAGGTAGCAAAAAAAGACCTCCTTTCTACCAGAGGTCTGTAAAAATAAGTCAACAAACCCATTCTGGTTGAGAAGCCCTCCTCTAAAACAGAGATATAAACTGGTCAAAGGAAAGACTCCCCAAAAGATTTAATTTCTTTAACATTGTAGGGCAGAGTTTTCCCAACACATCGATTGAATGTTCAAACATGGCCTCAGTACAATGTTCTGGTACAACAGGAAAAAATTGTCTCTAAAGAGTTTAATTGTTGGGCCTGGCATGGAATTTCACCTGGCCAACCAAAGAACCAGTACCCAGACATCCTGATTCTAAGAATTATTCATTTATTTGCATGTCAATTTTCTTTAGTCACCATAACCTAAAATAGTTGGTCCATATCCTGGGTGGTGAACAGGCTTTGTTTTCTGTCCAGAGACCTCTCTCTCTCTCCCAGCACACACCCCTGTATTTGGCCCTCTCAGGTCACATCTGAATTCAGCCAGAAAGCTTTTTGTACACATGGGATCGTGCATGGTGTTCTAATGTACTGGCTGGGAAACATACTATGGCTTTTGAATTAAAAGAAAAAAGTAGTATTTAAAATTCCCAATTTTGACAATGATTCATGGACAAGAAAAAGTTTGGCCCTAGAAATGGCAGAAAAACACTCCAAAAAGACTACACTTTTTTTTTTTTTTTTTTGAGATGGAGTCTTGCTCTGTTGCCCAGGCTGGAGTGCAGTGGTGCAATCTTGGCTCACTGCAAGCTCCACCTCCCGGGTTCAGCCATTCTCCTGCCTCAGCCTCTCAAGTAGCTGGGACTACAGGTGCCCGCCACCATGCCCAGCTAATTTTTTCTATTTTTTAGTAGAGACGGGGTTTCACCATGTTAGCCAGGATGGTCTTGATCTCTTGACCTCGTGACCCGCCCGCCTTGGGCTCCCAAAGTGCTGGGATTACAGGCATGAGCCACCGTGCCAGCCAAGACTAGACTGGTTTTTATCAAAGCACCTGTAAATCTAGTTAATAAGAAATCAGTCACCCGGGCGCGGGTGGCTCATGCCTGTAATCCCAGCACTTTGAGAGGCCAAGGTGGGCAGATCACCTGAAATCAGGAGTTCGGGACCAGCCTGGCCAACATGGAGAAACCCAGTCTCTACTAAAAATACAAAATTAGCCGGGTGTGGCAGCGCTTGCCTGTAAACCCAGCTACTCAGAAGGCTGAGGCAGGAGAATCGCTTGAACCCAGGAGGTGGAGGTTGCGGTGAGCCGAGATCACGCCACTGCACTCCAACCTAGGTGACAAGAGCAAAACTCTGTCTCAAAAAAAAAAAAAAAAAAAAGGTCAGCCACCATCAAGCCTGTTCTTATGTATATTCTATCAATGGATAGAGCAGAACATTCATTCTAGCCCCAGCTCTGCCTGAAAGCCAGGCAATCTTAGACAAATCCACAAACTCCCTGAGCTGCCACATCTTCTTCAGTAGAATCAGGTACCTATTTGGTGCTGTACCTTTTCACGGTGCTCTGAGGGTGAAATGAGATGATGTCTGTGAAAGGATTCTGAGGCCGGGCGCAGTGGCTCACGCCTGTAACCCCAGCACTTTGGGAGGCCAAGGTGGGCAGATCACCTGAGGTCGGGAGTTTGAGACCAGCCTAACCAACATGGAGAAACCCCGTCTCTACTAAAAATACAAAATTAGCCGGGCATGGTGGCACATGCCTGTAATCCCAGCTACTCGGGAGGATGAGGCAGGACAATCGCTTGAACCTGGGAGGTGGAGGTTGCAGTGAGCTGAGATTGTGCCATTACACTCCAGCCTGGGCAACAAGAGCAAAACTTCATTTCAAAAAAAATAAAGAAAAAGAAAAAGAAAAAAAAAAAGAAAGCATTCTGTAAGGTATTATTACACATCCAAGAAGATGAAGCCAGTCTATTGGTATATCACTGGATACACATTTAGTGTTGGTTGGAATTTCCAGACAAGTTACAATGTCTTTATGGCCACCCTGAAGATTTTTGCCTCCTAATTTTACTTTTTGACTTCTGTCCACAGAAATCCATCACCCCTAGTCCAGATAGCTGGGCTGCTGGTAGCCTGCCAACACTGTGTGTGTGGACAAAATGCCACATATTCCTGATGCCATATTCTCAAGCTTGCAGACTAGGAGGATAAGTCTAGGAGGATAAGAATAGAGGATAAGTCCTCATCCCTATTCTTCTTCCACCTGCCCATCACACTTTCCCAAGCATTCAGTTCAAATGCTCCACATTTGTGTGTCCTGCAGAAGTAAAAAATTCACGCTCACAAAGCAGCAACTAGAAGGAATTTCATGGAAAAGATTTAAAAAGATTTCTTAAGCAACAAGCATCCTTGATGTGCATAAGTAGCTGTTTGACAATTATTAGCTTTTTTGGGGGGTGGGGGTTATACTCTAGCTCTGTAACTCAGGCTAGAGTGTAGTGGCAAGATCATGGCCTACTGCAGCCTTGATCTCCTGGGCTCAAGGGATCCTCCAAACTCAGCCCCCCAAGTAGCTGGGACTAAAGGCATGCACCATCATGCCCAGCTGATTTTTAAATTTTTGTAGAGATAGGGTCTCACTGTGTTGCCCAGATTGATCTTGAACTCCTTGCCTCAAGCAATCCTCCCACCTCGGCCTCCCAAAGTGCTGTGATCACAGGCATGAACCACCACACCTGGCCAATTATTATCTTTAAATGTATTCTTATTTATTTATTTATTTATTTATTTAGAGATAGAGTTTTGCTTTGTTGCCCAGGCTGGAATGCAGTGGCATGATCGCGGCTCACTGTAAACTCGGCCTCCCAGGTTCAAGCAATTCTCATGCCTCAGCCTCCTGAGTAGCTGGGACTACAGGCTTGAGCCACCATGGCCAGCTAATTTTTTGTATTCTTAACAGAGACAAGGTTTCATTATTTGGCCAGGCTGGTCTTGAACTCCTGCCCTCAAGTGATCCAGCCACCTAGGCCTCCCAAAGTGCTGAGATTACAGGCGTGAGCCACCACACCCAGCCTTTTTAAATATATTCTTTCAAAACAAAATATTAAGGCCCTCAATTAATTTAATATTAGGAAGATAAAACACTCCAAAATCACCAGAGAACTCATCATTAATAACTGATTTGCATGTAATTCTTAAGAACATGTACATAAGGAAACCCTGTTTCCTTCTAAAATGAGGAAAAGCTAATTCTCCTAGTAACCAATTGGCGCTTATTTAGTTGGATAGGAAAGAGTTTCAAGGGTTTGAATAGGGTAGGAGGACCAAGCCTCGAAGGCAGGGGTGGGAGAGAGTTCATCAGTCTTCTCAAGTGTCTTCTCTCTCAACAGCAAGTTTCTGCTCTTCCCTAACACCAACAACAGCCACAGACCATGCTCTGTAGGAACTGGACCAAATTCAAATATTCATTTGGGACAGGGTCAGAGAGAATTCCGAGTGAAGGGATTCAAGATGACACAGCCAATCCAGAAGTTAGGCTGAATGCACTCAACTCCCCTTCCAGGCCTGGGTTTGACAGTAGAACACACAACAATTTACTAACAAAATGCTGCAGTCTGGCTTTGAGGAAACATATACAAGTCCAGCAATCTATCTTTCTAGGTCACCCTAACTCTCCTGCCCTCTCTCAAGTACACCCACACAAAGATTCTCCACTAAAAGCCCTTCATTTTCAAGACCTGTCATAATTCCAGCTAGGAAGGCCAACTATCCAGTTTGCTAGCTCCTCATAAACTTGCCACTCTGCATATCCTAGTTACTACCACTGTAACTGGGTATGCAAGGTAAGTTACATATTTAAAATACAGGCTGTTTTTCATAGAACAAAGGAAAAAGGAAAAAGACATCAATTTTATATATATATATGTTAGCAGTACCTACCAATAACAGGCTCCTAACTGTATACTGAATTGAATACTGTGTTAAACAGTGAAAAATATTAGTTTACAAAAGGTTATACATCTCCACCCTGCAGGAAAATCTAGACTTCAAGACATGAGCACAGAAATTTAAAAATCCTGACATCTACAAATAAGTTGGACACAGACCTAAGCCCCTATGAAGATAAATATTTTACCTTCAGCAATTGTAATCACTCTGCATTTTAAATGTCTTCAATTTGTCATTTTCAATCCCTGTTTTGCTTCTCACTATTTGATAATATGCAATTTCAGGTAGCTTTCTTAATCTCAGGTATAATGAAAAGTAGTTTTTTTTTTAATAAAGAAGTTTTAAAATTCAAAGATTATAAAAGAATGATGCATTCTATTAATATGATATAAATAACTTTTAATGGCCTTGTATTTCAATTCAGGATAACTAATGATATATGCCATAACCAAAGGCTTAAACCACAATAGAATCTAAATCTGCTAAGAACTAAATCTATTAGCCCTATATGAATTTAACACTTAGTCCAAGTCTCAAGTTTCCCATTTGCAAATAGCATTGTCTTTGCCTTGATTTATCCCAAGGTACTAGAATTAAAAATAGCACAAACTGACTCATCCTATAAAAAGGGAAAAACAGGTTTTTCTTTCAAAAGAAGTAAAGGAAAATATGTCTAAGTAAAAACGTACTAAAGAGCAAAACCACATAATCATTATGTAGTTTTGATCAGTGATTTTCAGGGGCAGTGGGGTAGGTAGAGGTACAAAGGGGACTTTTGGGGTAATGGAACTGTTCTGTGTCATGTGTGCGGTGCTGGTTACATGACTGTGCATCTGTCAGAATTCATAGAGGTACATTTACAGAGGCTAAATTTTACTGTATGTAAATTATACTGCTGTAGCCTAATTTTTTTAAAGTGCTATTGCATATAAAACAATGTGCTAGACACTGAATTATGAAATCTAACGTTCAAGCATACAATTCTCAAGGTTTCTAGATGTATTATCAAAAACTTATCATTAAACACTTTGAGTTCAGCCTTCAGTATTTTATATTTTATCCATATTTATATTCTATAAAACGACTCAAAGCATCACCTAAAATTATCACATGAATTTTGAATTATTATGTGTTCAACATACACTTATAGAAAATTTCCTTCTTATTCTTAAAAGTGAACATATCAATATCTATTAAATGTTAATTATATGGTTATGAGTTGAATTTACTACTAAATTCTACCTTTTCTGAATTATAAATACATTAAGAAATGTAAACTGTGATTAGATTTATTCACATCCCTCAGAACACTACGAAATGTGTCCTAAACATGTTAATTGATTTCAGAAACTTCTATGTCTTGAGCAAGACTTAAGTGTTAACAAGCATCTGATGGCTTTTAAAATAAGAATGTTTCAGAAATTCATCTAAAAAAATGCTTGAACGTAAAATGCAATCCTACGGTGTATACTCTAATGCCTGTTGATGAACAGATCCTTATAGTTTCCTTCTTCTAGAACTCATATCAAAATACATTTTCTTCAGAAAAAATAGGAGTCAAAGATGTTAATCATGTTCTTTTCATAGTCACGTTACATTTGTTTTACAACACTCTCAGAAAAGCCTTTCCTTTCACATGTTCACTTTTTAAATTACAAACATGTTTCCCCTCACTAGACACCGAGTTACGAAACTTAGAGCAAAAGTAAAACTTTCTAATGGAATGCCCATGTAAATACTAGAAATATAACAAAATAAGGCAAAGTCTGTCCTCCAAAATGTTGCCTACCACACCAAAACACAATCCTGCTTTTTAAACAGCGAGTAAAATTAAATCAACCTTATCTTCCTAAATAGAAGTCCACTCAAAGTTTTTTCACAAAAATGACATTCACTTGACTTAATATTGTCCTTCCAATAAGAATAACACGCAGGGTGTTAGAGGGCAGTTGTTGGACTCCTCTTCAGCAAATAAAGGAGACCAGTTAGAGCTTAGCTTGGTCTGCCCAGGAAAGGAGGAACGCAGCTTGCTGACATGGCTAAGGAATGCCAATTAATACATTTTAAAACCCCTATCATCTTGCCTGAGACGTGTACATCTTCCCAGGCCCTCAAAGTTCAATCAGAAAGTGTATTCAACTCCATTGTCATTTCACCCATAGTGGGGAAGTCCATCGAGGAAAACCATAGGGAAATAAAATGTTTTTCAGTTATTCATATTAGCACAATCAACCCAGAGCTCACGGCACAAACTAAATAAGTTAACTTGCCAGTGTCTTGAATGAAGACATTTAATCAAAGCATGCATTTTCCAACTTTCCAGTAGCTTTCAGGACAGTTGGTTTTGGTGATCGTTTTTTGGTCTTTTATTGTTCTCAACACGACTGGTTTCTCACCGCAGGATTTCAAACAAAATGAGACAATTAAACCACACCTCGAGCGAAGGGGCGCTTACCTTGCAGATAAACACACCGGCCTTGCCTTCTCTAAAATGCGGACACGTGCTTTTCCCGCATTAGGGGGGGTCTCCCGGCGCGCGCCCCGCCGCCACCTGTTGAGGAAAGCGAGCGCACCTCCTGCAGCTCAGGCTCCGGGCGCCAGCCCTGCCCCGCAGCCCCAGAGCCCGTCGCAGCTCGGGTGGTCCCTCCCCGGCCCAGCGCTCGCCGCCTGCTCTTCGCCCTGCAAGTTTCAAGAGGCAGTTATTTCTCGCAGCCTCCGCGCTTGCAACTGCCTCCTGGCGGGGGAGTGGGTGTCCAAAAAGCCAGCAGCTGGAGAAACTGAAAAGATCACAAGCGACTTAACGATAAGCCCCTTCTTCCTTTTAAAGACCGAGAGGAGGGTAGAGGGGAGTAGTGCCTGAGCCCACGTGACCGAGCCAGGGAGCCCGACGGTCTCAGGAACGCCCGACGCCGCGCGTGACCTCTAAGTGGGAGCACCCTCGAACCGACTCCTGGTCCACCCACAAGGATAGTGGCGCACAGATGGCGCTCCCCGCAGCCCCAGTCTCAGATTTAAGAGGTCTGGAGTAGGGCCTGAGAATATGCATTTCCAACCAGGTCCTGGGGGATGCCGACACTGATACAGCCAGTCTGGGGACCACACTTCGAGGATCACGTCCTCAGCCCCTGACTCACATAAGTGTCATTCAGAACAGATGTCTGATTCTAAGGAGCCAGTGGTGAAACCAGAGAGGCTTTGGGTTTGTCAAATCCCCAGCAGCAAACGTAACCTCGGGCCCTGGAGTGGCAAAGCCGTGGACTAGAGGTGGAGGGAGTGGGTTCTCAGCTCTCAAGAGGTCACTGGGAAGGCCTTTCGCGTTAGATCAAAGATCCCAGGTACTTCCTCGAACTCACTTGAAGTGGCACCGGGGAGACCTGTGCCTCCGGCCACGGCGCCCTTCTCCGCTGGAGGCACCTGCCCACCCCTCTTCTCGGGCGAAGGCCCCTCGCGCCCCCTGGTGGCAGCCCCAGTTCCCCCAGCTTAATGGGGTGTTCCCCTCACCCACCCCAGCAGGAGCCCCAGGGTGCGAGACTAGGACCACAGTCTTAACTGGCTTTAAGGCAGCTGTTGCTGATGAAAATGAAAAGGAAAGTAGCATGTGACCCACAGGCCATTGTGAGAACCCCCCAGTGTCACATCTGTGCCTAATTAATCATCAAACCATCTACTCAGGTGGCATAAGGGACATGGTTTTTGAGGGTTGTGATCCAGATCTCTAATAGAGGAAGACGAGGGGGGGCATTTGGAGGGAAAGTTTTACAGTACCAGCCTCAGCTGTTTGGTGTTTAGCCAAAATAGAGAGACGCAAGTGTGCTCTGGGTTGATAAAGATGAGGTCCACAGGTAATGAAGACAGGCTCCAAAGATGGAGAAGCATCTGCTTCATCAGCTAAACAATAGCTGTGAAAAGTCTCCACTGCCCCACCCTAAGTCCAATTTTCATTAAAGCTGAGAGTCCTGGTTTCTCTCAGGTTGAAAGGCAGAGTCTCCCTGTCCTTGAGGCAGAGAAGTTAGTTTGGACGGGAAGAGTGTGTCGCTGGCAAATAACTGCAGCAGACAACATGCCAATCTCAGCCTCCCTGTCTCCTGTCCTGGGGTCTCTCAAAGTACCCAGTCCCCATATGCTCTTCCTCCTTGCCACCTTATGGAGAAAATGTTAAATGATGGTTTAAAAAAATCAGCTTCATGGCCAGGCATGGTGGCTCACACCTATAATCTCAGCACTTTGGGAGGCCGAGGCAGGTGGATCACGAGGTCAGGAGTTTGAGACCAGCCTGACCAACATGGTGAAACCTCGTCTCTACTAAAAATACAAAAATTGGCTGGACGTGGTGGCACATGCCAGTAATCCCAGCTACTCAGGAGGCTGAGGCAGGAGAATCGCTTGAACATGGGAGGCGGAGGTTGCAGTGAGCCAAGATCGCGCCACTGCATTCCAGCCTGGGCGACAGAGCGAGACTCTGTCTCAAAAAAAAAAAAAAAAAAAAAAATCAGCTTCATTTGGTGGTATATACTTGTTAACAAGATATCTCTGGAAATGGAAACCGTCATGAAGGAATTTCAACCATAAGCCAACAGGCAGAAAAAGATAGGTGAGGGTGAAGAAAATGCATCTATCAATATTAACATCATACCTGACGCTGTGCTAAGCACCTGCACAGCATCTCATTTAATCCTCACACCAGCTCAGTGAGATATTGACTCCACTTTTCCAGTGAGGAAATTGAGGCTCACAGAGCTTCTGTCAGCTACCTGAAGCCACCTAGTGAGAAAGGAACCCAGTAACAACAGTGGCTTCATAGACAGCTACCGCTTATTGGACATTTATGCCCCGCTTTCTCTCAATAATTCTTATTTTATACGCAAGCCTATAAGGCAAATTCTATTACCCCCATTTTATACTTGAGAAAATGAATGTTCAGGAAGGTTAAACAACCTCCCTATGGTCACATGACCTATCAGTGGCTAAGAAGGACTTGAATCCAGGAGAGAGGCCAAGGACCCATTTACCTCCATACCATGCCTCCAATCAATCAGAATGAAAATGGCTTGACTCTCTGCTCTATGCAGAACACTGCAGACAAACTTCTGCCACCTGTGTGCCAAGCTTCTGCTCTGTGTTCACTGTGATGCTTCCTTCAGAAGGCATTCTACACACAGGAACAGCATGTTCTCTTTTCAGAGCAGCTCAAACACCCACAGAAGCTGTTTATTATACAAGGAAACCTCACTGCAGGAAATAATAAGCAGAAAATGAATGGGAGTGAGTAAGTTTCCTTCTGACTCACCCTGTCCATCAAGAAAGACAATGGTACCCAGAGATGGAAACTTTGCCTGGTTTAATGCAGAGTGGAGAGGATGATTATTCCAATTCTACCTGAATTGTGACCACAATGATGAAGGGATTATTCTTGAGGCAGTTCATACCAATGGCTAGACCAAAAAGCCCCCTGAAGCCTGGTATTGAGAACGATGCCTGCTATATAAGTGAGCAGGGTCCCAGCCTCATTTCCACCTCACCCCTGACCTGCCTAAGGAAGCACCCACATATGACATTGAAAGGACTGCCTGTCTCCAAAATATCCTACAATGGGGATTGAAATTGTCACCATTAAGTCATCTTTTGGGGATAAAGCATTGAATTGTTAAAATTAAGTCATGTTATATATGATGGGTAATATTAACTTACTAGCATTTATGATTAACAAGATGAGCTTGCAGCATGAGCTAGATGTCACCTGGGAAAGCAAAGGAAGTCAATGTAGTACAGGTATGGTTTGCTGTGAAGAGGAAGGAAAGCCTCTCCATAAAAGGTGCACCTTCCTCATCTTCTCACCCCACCCCTTCTCTGTCTAGCAAAGTCTTACACATCCCAAAGCCAAGAGCCTAAATAAGGTGAAGAGCACATTAGCCCAGTGGAACGTGCACATTGGCTCCCCCACAGCCCTCATCTTACCTGTCAACACAACCTGCGCTGCGATTGGACAGCGCATGTCTTACATCTCTAGCATTCTCCATGGTCCATAACACCCACCTAGCACAATCCACGCGTTCAACAAATGTTTGCTGAAGCCTTTGACTTGGAAAGATCAGAGGGAGAATTTTCCGTAGGAAAGAAACTACCAAGAGGCAAAACAAAACCCTGTAAAAGGCAAGAAAGCAAAAGCTAATAGGAAAAGTGGAGGGAAAGGAGGAATGCTACAGATGTCTAGAAGGGTGTCATGCCAAAGGGTGCCTTTGGATTGTTGCTTTATTCTCTGAGCTTGAAGCCAAGTAGGAGGATTTGGGTTCTGGGATAGTTATCTGCTCCAGAGTGTTATAGGAACAAGCTTATTTATATTATGTGGGTATAAATTGGTCTGTTTTAAGAGAATCTGAGAGATAAAACCCTACACTTATGGAATTAATAAAGGGGAAAGATTAATTGAACGTGCAATAACACCTTTTTTTGGTGGTGATGAATGAAAAAGATAGGATTACTAATTAATATGTCAGAGATCATCTCAACTGAACATAAAGTTCACAAAATGTGATTTGACATTTGAAACTTGAATTTGGATAGAGCTCTTTAGGATCACATCTTTTGTAGAAATAAAAACAAACCTAATATTTATTGAGCATTTTTCTAGCCTGGACACCACAGTAGGCAGGCTTGCATAGGTTGATTCACTTTTATTTCATTTAATCCTTGAAAATTCCCTGGGACTGTCTATTTTACAGATGGGAAAACTGAGGCTCAGAGAGCTAACATTTATTTTATAAAGTCACCCATGTGCATTTGGTAGGGTGAAAGTTTCCACCCAACTTTACCTACCTACCTGCACATCCCATGTTTTCTCCACTGTCATGAGATGCTGTTCTTATTTGTTGCATAAATGGAGGCATGTCTGTCCTGTAGAGCCCAGATACTGTTGAATGAAATGTTGTCAATTTCTTGTCTAGGAATGACCACCTATGAGCATATTTATGTAACTTATTCTTTATTGATCTGCGTTGGACTGGGGCCCTCAGAGGGTAACAAGGACATAAGCAGCAAGACAGACCCAACCTGATACCTGGGCACCAGGACCATGAGACAAGGTTGCTCTGACCTGCAGTTTAAATGAACCACCTGAGCAAGCAGCACCTGCAGCCAACTCTTTCTAAATCACACTCATGTGTTTCAGTCTTGATCTTTGCTATTTGTAAACAAACAGGTAAAAAATAACTTTTTGTCCTGTCCACTGCCCCTCAAAGGTACTTAAATTCCACACAAATCCCTTGCATACCTTAAGTTTCTAATTTTCTATGCATTTGAAATCAAACAT
This sequence comes from Homo sapiens, assembly GCF_000001405.40. Lineage (NCBI taxonomy): Eukaryota > Metazoa > Chordata > Mammalia > Primates > Hominidae > Homo > Homo sapiens. The sequence continues at coordinate 64,298,884 of NC_000014.9, forward strand.
GAAGCATACACATTTTTGTCCTTACTTCCAACTCTGCAGCAATTCTCTTGAGCTAGAAGAGAAACTAGCCCCTAGAGGTCATTGGCATGAATGTGAACACCCAGTTAAGAAAAAAAAAAAAAAAAGTTATAGGACTGTTAGAAATGGCGGCAAATTGTAATATGCAATTTCACAAATGACTCAAATGCAATTCTGAAAATGCAGCTTCCTTACATTTTCTGGCTCAGAAGATATTAATAAGTCAGCCAGTGTAATATTCCCTGAAATGAGATAAAAAAAAAAAAGGTACAGACAGACATGGCTTGAGACCATAGATAAGACTGTCTGATTTCATAGTTTAATATTTCAAAAAATATTTCAAAAATTTTGACTAAAGTTTTTTCTACATCTTCTTGTAAATGTATCTAACATTTTCAATTTCTTTGTTCATATCATGGAAAGTTACTATAACTGCCTCATATTGTCCTTTAGACCCATAGCAACTAACTCTCCAGTGATGCTCATTACAGAAATAGCTTTTTTTTTTTTTTTTTTTGAGACGGAGTCTCGCTCTGTCGCCCAGGCTAGAGTGCAGTGGCACAATCTTCCGCCTCAGCCCCCCAAGTAGCTGAGACTACAGGCACCCACCACCACACCCGGCTAATTTTTTTGTATTTTTTTAGTAGAGACAGGGTTTCACCGTGGTAGCCAGGATGGTCTCGATCTCCTGGCCTCCTGATCCACCCGCCTCCGCCTCCCAAAGTGCTGGGATTACAGGCGTCAGCCACCGCGCCCAGCCCAGAAATGGCTTTTATAAAAATACAGACTTGATTTTTTGTGCACAGAGCGTGCTTCTTTCACATATGTCACCGTTTGATCTGATGAACCTAACCAGAGAAAGGAATCGTTTTCTTCTCTCTTATTCAGTCCTCTCCTTTGCTGGGAATTATAAACAGAAAATGAACTTCTCCAAGTAGTTCATGCAGCTACTTAAGGATCACCAATGCTGTTCCATGGGCCAGGATCTCTGCATTCTCCTCTCCCCTCACATTGTTTCTCTTCCTTTTACATTCTCACATATTATTTTTCTACTGTCCAGGCAGTTTAGCTAACTAGCTTCTTAATGGTTCTGCTCATAGTCAAGTCAAGTGCTTCCTCAGCCTGCTCCACGTATTCTACCACGCCACCAGCCACAGCTTACTAGGAGGACTGCTGTCCTGGCATGACACTGGCTTCTAGTTAACAAAGAACTTGCATGGCCACATCATGCTGCATGTTCACACCAACCCTACAATGTTGATTTTATCACCAATTTGCTGACAAGGAAACTTGAGGGTGTTTTCCAGATTTGCACTCATAGGAACACAGGTCATCTGACTTCCATACAGATGCACACCTGCCTCCTTGCAAGAGATTCAGTTTCTGTGTTCCTAGCACTGAGGCTGTCAACATCTGCCATATTGCACTGCTACTATCTCACAGGCCTTTCAACCGGACCCCATCCCTTCCTTCTCATCCTACCTCTACCCTCCCTCATCTCAGTCTAAAATACCACTCAAGGGAGAAAATTCTTAACAACTTCTTTAGTTATTTTCACCTTAAAATTTTTCTGACAGGCTGGGTGTGGTGGCTCATGCCTGCAATCCCAGCACTTTGGGAGGCCAAGATGAGAGGATCGCTCGAGCCCAGGAGTTCAAGACCAGCCTGGACAACATGGCGAAAACCCATCTCTACAAAAAATACAACAATTAACCAGGTGTGGTGGCACCTGTAGTCCCAGCTACTCGGGAGGCTGAGGCTGGAGGATCACTTGAGCCTGGGAGGTTGAGGCTTCAGTGAGCTAAGATCACACCACTGCACTTCAGCCTGGGTGATAGATACCTCATCTTTAAAAAAAAAAATTTTTTTCTGACACTCAGCATTACATTTATTCTTTCATAAAACACTCTTCTTTGAGACTGCATCTTGCCCTCATGCATTTATCTCTTTGTGACAATGCTCCCTTAATGCTTGCAATACCTTAAGTGTCTACCTGAGACACAAGGAAATATGAGGGTGTTTGCTCACAGATGATGAGGAGGAGGCTATAACTACCATTCATTCAGCAGTTGCTTGTAAATCCTTTGCCTGCACTATTTAATTTTATCCTTAAAACAATCCAATGAGGTGGGTACTCCTTATGTCTCCATTTTACAGATGAGAAGATTAAGACTCAGAGAATTTAAGGAACTTGCCCAACAGCTAGTAAGTAGCAGAGGGTTCAAACCAGATCTGTTTCACACCAAAGCCCATTCTCTCTGAACTGCTGGTCTCCCTAAGACTTTATACACTAGCTGAAGGGAGAAGACAAATGCATAAGACAACCTACAATGCCTGTTGCAAATGATAAGTGACAAATTAATGGTGGCAATCAGGAATTTTGTGGACTTTCAGAAGGTAAGAAGTCACGTTCCCGCATGTTTGGGTTCTTCTGAGAGAGTTACAGTAACTCCCAGAGCTCCTTACCAGGGCTAATTAGAGGGCGCTGATCTCCTCTGGGGTCTCTTCTGAATTACACAGGTGCATGGGCCCAGCCTTGAATCCTTCCCTTGGAGTCCCTCGTTCTTCCACTTTAGCACTGTGGAAGCTTCATTCAGGGCACCTGTAGGCTACAAACTACCTCCATCTGCTCTGTTTTTCAACCTAACCTTGTGGCTGGGAGAAGAGAGCCCAGGATTTCTACGGAGAGAACAGAGAACACAAGGAAACTAGCGCACATAGATCAGAATTGCCCAGTGCAGGGATGGAACCCAGGCTTGGAGTTCCAAGGCTTGGGCCTAGGGTGGGTTTTCAGCACAAACACTTCCTAGTTGTGTGCCCTTCGACATTTTCCCAACTTCTTTGATTTTTCTCTGTAAAATGGGAATAGCACAAGAAGCTATTTCATAGAAATGACAAATTGCTGTAACGTGCCTGACACTTTGTAAATTCTCAATAAATAGTAGCTTGAAAACAACCCAGAGATCCTCAGATTGAAGGACTTCCCAGGTGTACAGAAGCCTTGGCCTAAGAGATGGCAAGGAGCAGGTTTTCCTCTTTGGGAAGTTTGGGCTCTGAGGGTAGAGAAGACAGTGAACGGATTAAATGCCTGCCTGGAGTGTGTTGTGGAACTCTGCACACATCTCTTCAAGCAGGCCCAATTGTGAAGTTAGAGAAAGACCCCTGACACCTGACCCAATTATAAGAGTAATTTGCAGCAGTGTTTCTCCCATTTCACAGGGTCATAAGAGTCACCTGGGTCACTTTTTTATTTTTTATTTTTATTTATTTATTTATTTATTTATTTATTTATTTATTTATTTTTTGAGACAGTCTCGCTCTGTCGCCCAGGCTGGAGTGCAGTGGCGCAATCTCGGCTCACTGCAAGCTCTGTCTCCCGGGTTCATGCCATTCTCCTGCCTCGGCCTCCCAAATAGCTGGGACTACAGGCTCCTGCCACCATGCCCGGCTAATTTTTTTGTATTTTTAGTAGAGATGGAATTTCACCGTGTTAGCCAGGATGGTCTCAATCTCTTGATCTCGTGATCCACCCGCCTCGGCCTCCCAAAGTGCTGGGATTACAGGTGTGAGGCACCGCGCCCGGCCTCACCTGGGTTGCTTATTTAAAATACAGATTCCCAGCCCCCTCCCCCAAAATGTTCTAACCCAGGTGCTCTAGGGCAGGTCCTGGGAATGTTTATTTTACACAAGCCACTGGGTGATTTCATGACCAAAGAAGTTTAGGAAACATTGCTTTAAGCATTCAAAGAACTTATGTGTCCTCTATGTAATAGAATCTACATAATGAGCAGATTTATCATCCCCACTTTACAGGAAAAGTAACTAAGACCCGACAAGCTTCAGCAGCATGCAAGAGCCTGCTCAGGCTGGCTCAAGAGAGCCTACTGTTGTTGTTATTGTTGTTTTGTTTTTTTGAGATGGAGTTTCACTGTTGTCGCCCAGGCTGGAGTGCAGTGGCACAATCTCGGCTCACTGCAACCTCCGCCTCCTGGGTTCAAGCGATTCTCCTGCCTCAGCCTCCCGAGTAGCTGGGACCACAGGCACCTGCCACCACGCCCAGCTAATTTTTTGTATTTTTAGTAGAAATGGGGTTTCACTATGTTGGCCAGGCTGGTCTCCAACTCCCGACCTCAGGTAATCCTCCTGCCATGGCCTCCCAAATTGCTGGGATTACAGGCATGAGCCACCGCGCCCAGCCAAGAGAGCCTACTGTTAAATGTTCAAGGAATTTGCAATTCGGTGATTAAACCCCGAGTGGCTTGAATTTGGCCATGGTGGAATAACTACACTCCAGATTTCTCCTCGCCAGAAGGGAGCTCACAGGTGCTCAGGTCGGCTTCTTTTTTCAAACAACCCAGGGCACTGATAGAAGTGAACACTTCTTGGCTGTTCTCTTGTTTTGGGTGCATGGCTCAGTTTGAATATTGTCTTTTTCTCTACTGAAATTCATAAACATTACATACAAATCAGCAATCTAGGGCTTTTTTTTTTTTTTTAAAGAGCTGGTTTACTAGCACATCACTGAGTCAGGGTCAGTAGTTTGTCTGACTGTTAGCAAAAAAGCTGAAGTTCACCTGTGTTCTCGCTCCTTAATCCATGTGCATTCTCCTCCTGCTCCCTCTATCGTCCCTTCAACCTCCAGTCCTGGATAGCGTTAAGGGCTCAAATTCTAACAAGGATCACCTGCTAGAGAGTTGGTTCAGAATTTCTAAAGACTTTAAGTGATCATTCTTTTCCACAACAGGTTGATGTCTCCCTCTAGTGGATAGGAAAGAGTAAGACAAGTTTTTAGATCATTGTATATGTGTAACATGTTGAAATATATAGAGAGCTAATTTCCAATAGCAGCACAAAAATTTCCTTTTTATTCATTTAATATTTCATTCACTCAGCATTTATGATTTGCTTACTATGTGCCAGATATTGAGGTATAAAGATAAAAAAATGAGAAAAGTCACTATATACTGAGAAAGACTGCCAAGATACATTGAGAAGAAAATCAGAGTGCAGAACGTTATGAAAAATATACTATCATTTGTTTATAAAGGCAAAAGAAAGAATACATACATACATTCACATAGGATATATTTAGAGAGACACACAAAATACTGTTAATATTAGTTGGTTTTGGCCGGGCATGGTGGCTCACGCCTGTAATCCCAGCACTTTGGAAGGCTGAGATGGGAGGATTGCTTGAGCCCAGTTCAAAAACAGGCTGAGCAACATGGCAAAACTCCATCTCTACAAAAAATACATTTAGCTGGGCACAGTGGTGCATGCCTGTAGTCCTAGCTACTCAGAGGGCTGAGGTGGGAGGATCACCTGAGCCCGGCAGGTTCGAGGCTGCAGTGAGCTATGACTGCCACTGCCCTGCAGCCTGGGCGACAGAGCAAGACTCTTTTCATACAAGACTAGTGCATATGCCACAGCAATTTGATTGGTTACAGATTGCTAAATTCCAAGAAAGAATACTTTATTACTCTATAAGGAGGGGTAATGATCTGTGGGGGTCTTTGGTGCTGTTTGTTCTTAATTATCTAAAGGAAAAACAAGGCAAAAGTTGCAGCTGCATGCCATGTGACTCAGGCTGCACAGCCACACACCTCTCAAGGCTCAGAATAAAGTTCCAACAGCTTTAAGTTTGAATTATTTAATTTCACATACTTATTCAAAAGTAAATTAAAACCTGCGCATAGTAGCTGATGCCTGTAACCTCCAACGCTTTGGGAGGCTGAAGCAGGAGGATCACTTGAAGTCAGGAGTTTGAGATCAGCCTGGGCAACATAGTGAGACCATGTCTCTGCAAAAAAAAAATCTTTTAAAAATTAGCTGGGTGTGGTGACTCATGCCTCTAGTCCTAGCTACTTGGGAGGCTGAGGTGGGAGGATGGCTTGAGCCCAGGAGTTTGAGGCTGCAGTGAGCTGTGATTGTTCCACTGCACTCTAGCCTGGGCAACAGAGCGAGACATTCTGTCAAACAAACAAACAAACAATAAATAAATAAATAAAGTATTAAAATTTAAAAAGTTAAAACTGGTTTTAAATGTATTCAAAGAGCTATTTTCTTCTAAAATATTAAAAGCAAACTGCTTATAAAAATTAATAGGCGGCCAGGCGTGGTGGCTCACGCCTGTAATCCCAGCTCTTTGGGAGGCTGAGGTGGGTGGATCACAAGGTCAGGAGATCGAGACCAACCTGGCTAACACGGTGAAACCCCGTCTCTACTAAAAATACAAAAAAATTAGCCGGGCGTGGTGGCGGGCGCCTGTAGTCCCAGCTACTCTGGAGGCTGAGGCAGGAGAATGGCGTGAACCCAGGAGGCAGAGCTTGCACTGAGCCGAGATCGTGCCACTGCACTCCAGCCTGGGCGACAGAGCGAGACTCCGTCTCAAAAAAAAAAAAAAAAAATTAATTAATAGGCAACATTTTAAAATATCAAGATTTTAACTCAAAAATATTTAAAGCTAATTTTAAAAATTATTATACTAGGCCGGGCGCAGTGGCTCACGCCTGTAATCCCAGCACTTTGGGAGGCCAAGGCGGGCGGATCACGAGGTCAGGAGATCGAGACCATCCTGGCTAACACAGTGAAACCCCATCTCTACTAAAAATACAAAAAAATTAGGCGGGCGTGGTAGCGGACACCTGTAGTCTCAGCTACTTGGGAGGCTGAGGCAGGAGAATGGTGTGAACCAGGGCAGCGGAGCTTGCAGTGAGCCAAGATCGCACCACTGCACTCCAGCCTGGGCAACACAGCGAGACTCTGTCTCAATAAATAAATAAATAAATAAAATATATATACTATATAAAATGCTTTATACAAATTAGTCATAATTCTACCATTTAATGTCCATCTGGTTGATGCAGTAAAGAAGCATAGTATATCTAGAACTACCTATGTACAGATTTAAGTCAATGTTAGGTATTTAACACTACCAAATGTTCCTCAGCTTCTGTGCATAGCAATTGTAGTACCGTGCTAACTCCTGAATAACTCTGAAGCAAGAAAATGGGACTACAGAAAAATAGGCCGGGCACGGTGGCTCACGCCTGTAATCCCAGCACTTTGGGAGGCCGAGGCAGGCGGATCACAAGGTCAAGAGATTGAGATCATCCTGACCAACATGGTGAAACCCCGTCCCTAGTAAAAATACAAAAATTAGCTGGGCATGGTGGCGCATGCCTGTAATACCAGCTACTCGGGAGGCTGAGGTAGGAGAATCACTTGAACCCGGGAGGCAGAAGTGAGCTGAGATCCGCCATTGCACTCCAGCCTGGGTGACAAGAGCGAAACTCCATCTCAAAAAAAAAGAAAAAAAAAAAGAAAGTAAAAAGAAAAAGAATACTACATTGTGCAAGAAACACCTGCATTTTGGCTCTTAAGAAGAATTAAACAAGTTAATTTGTCTTTTTTCTCATCTAAATGCTTCTGCTACTCCACTCCGTCCTGTCCTTAAAAGTAATGTTTATCTCTGACATCAGCAGCAACACAAACCTTCATGGCATTTGGACATAGTTGGATTTTGTTTCAAGGACTTGGAAACCAGAAAAAGACAAACAAAGGGCCCCTATACCTAGTTTGCTGAGTTTTTATTAGGAACGGATGTTAGATTTTGTCAAACACTTTTGGTGGATCTGTTGGGGTAATCATATGGTTTAATTTTATGTTAATGTAGTGAATTATATTGATTGGGCTTTGAAATGAAGACTTATATGCCTGAAATAAACTCCGGTTGGTCTTAATGCATTGTCCTTTTTACATATTGTTAGGTTAGATTTGCTAAAATTTCCTTGAGAATTTTTGCACCTGTGTTCCTGAAGACTACTGATCTGTAGTTTTCTAAGAATGTCTTTGTCAGGTTTTGGTATCAGGGTAATGCTGTTATCCTAGGATGAATTGGGAAGTATTCCATTGGCTTCCATTTTCTGAAAGAGGTGGTAGAGAACTGCTGTTATTTCTCCTTAATCATTTGGTATAATTCACCACTGAAGCCATCTGGGCTTGGAGTTTTCCTTGTAGGAAGGTTTTAAACTACAAATTCAATTTTAAAAAATAGATATAGGACTACTCAGGTCAGCTCTTCTTGTACAATTTTTGGTAATTTGGTTTTTTTCAAGGGGTTTGTCCATTTTATATATGTTGAATTTTTTGTTAAAAAGTTTTTCATAATATTCTCTAATTATTATTTTAATAGCTGTAGAATCTGTAGGTTATCTCCTTCATTCCTGATATTTGCAATTTGTGTTTCCTTTCACTTTTTTTCTGTTCAGTCTGGCTAGAGGTTTATTAATTTAATTTAATTTATTTATTTATTTATTTATTTATTTTAAGACAGAGTCTTGCTCTGTCACCCAGGCTGGAGTGCAGTGGCACGATCTCGGCTCACTGCAACCTCTGCCTCCTGGGTTCAAGTGATCCTCCTGCCTCAGCCTCCTGAGTACCTGGGATTACAGGCATGTGCCACCATGCCCAGCTAATTTTTTTTGTATTTTTAGTAGAGATGGGGTTTCACTATGTTGGTCAGGGTGGTCTCGAACTCCTGACCTCGTGATCCGCCCACCTCAGCCTTCCAAAGTGCTGGAATTACAGGCATGAGCCACCACACCGGTCTTTTAACCTGTTTTTTGTTTTGTTTTGTTTTGTTTATTTTTGAGACAGAGTCTCATTCTGTCGCCCAGGCTGGAGTGCAGTGGCACGATCTCAGCTCACTGCAATCTCCGCCTCCTGGGTTCACGCCATTCTCCTGCCTCAGCCTCCTGAGTAGGTGGGACTACAGGCGCCCACCACCACGCCCGGCTAATTTTTTTGTATTTTTGGTAGAGACTGGGTTACACTGTGTTAGCCAGGTTGGTCTCACCTTCTGACCTCGTGATCCACCCGCCTCGGCCTCCAAAAATGCTGGGATTACAGGCGTGAGCCACCATGCCCGGCCTAGGGATTTATTAATTTTATTGATCTTCTCAAAGAACCAGCTTTAGGCTTTATTGATTTCCTGCTATTTTTGTTTTCTATTTCATAAGTTTCTGCTCCAATCTTAATTATTTCCTGTCTTCATTTTATTCTGTGTTTAACTTACTCTTTTTCTAATTTCGTTTTTTGTTTGTTTGTTTGTTGTTTTTGTTGTTGTTGTTGAGACGGGGTCTTGCTTTGTCACACAGACTGGAGTGCAGTGGCATGAACATGCCTCAGTGCAGCCTCAACCTCCCAGGCTCAAGCCACCCTCCCACCTCAGCCTCCTGAGGAGCGGAGACCACAAGTGCATGACACCCTGCCCAGCTAATTTTTGTATTTTTTGTAGAGAGGCGGTCTCACCATGTTGCCCAGGTTGGTCTTGAACTCCTGAGCTCAAGCCATCACCTGCCTCGGCCTCCCAAAGTGCTAGGATTATAGGCATGAGACACCGCGCCGGGCCCCTATTTTCTAATATAGGCATTTAGTGCTACAAGACTCCCTCTAGCACTATTTTATTGTATCTCACAAGTTTTATTATCTTGTGTTTTAATTTTCAGACAGTTCAAAACACTTTCCAATTTCTTTTTTTGAAACTAATGTGTGATATAGAAGTTTTATTTTCCAAACATTTGGAGATTTTCTAGATATCCTTTTTATTGATTTCTAATTTAATTATATTGTGGCCAGAAAGTATATTTTATGACAGAAATAATTTTAAATTTATTGAGAAAAATAGTATGGCCTATTTTGATAAATGTTCTACAGGTACTTTTAAAAATGTGTATTCTGCTATTGTTAAGAGTGTTCTATAAATATCAGGTCACATTGGCTGTTTTTTTTATTAATTATTTTTTATGATTGTATGTCATAAACTTTATACTACATGTTGTTTGTTTAAAAGGTCATTTATCTTTTGAACAGATGTAAATTTATTTATTTTTTAGAGACAGAGTCTCACCTGTCACCCAGGCTGGAGTGCAGTGGTGCTAGCATAGCTCATTGTAACCTCAAATTCTTGACCTTAAGTGATCCTCCAACCTCAGCTTCCCAAAATGCTGGGACTACACACCTGAGCCACCACACCCAGCCCCCTCAGTTTCTTTCTTTGTTAAAAAGAAAGAAAATAAAAAAGAAAAGAGAAAAGAAAGAAAAGAAAATGAAAAGAAAAGAAAAGAGGAATAATACCTAGGCATTTGGTGAGGATCAAATAACATACCTAAAGCATATGACACAGTGCTTAATGTGCAGTTGTTGTTCAGTAAACGGTAGCTATTATTGCCAGATTCTTCTGTCACCACAAAAGTGGAATTATCTGGCATTTCTAGAGTCCCTAAAGAACAAAAGGAGAGCCCCTGTAACTCATACTCATTTACTGCTTAAGAGAGTATGTTATCTAAGCAGATGTTACATAGGCCAAGCACACTGTGGTATAATATTTTAACAGGTTGTTTTATTCTCAAGTAATAGAGAATCTTAGGCCGGGTGCAGTGGCTTATGCCTATAATCTCAACACTTTGGGAGGCCGAGGTGGGTGGATCACCTGAGATCAGGAGTTTGAGACCAGCCTGGCCAACATAGTGAAACCCTATCTCTACTAAAAATACAAAAAAGTATTGTATTGGTGGCAGGCGCCTGTAATCCCAGCTACTCTGGAGGCTGAGGCAGGAGAATTGCTCGAACCTGGGAGGCAGAGGTTGCAATGAGCCAAGATTGTGCCACTACAACCCTGGGCAACAAGAGTGAAACTCCATCTCAAAAAAAAAAATAGAGAATCTTGCGTCAAGTGAACTAAACAGAGGGAGATGTAACATCTCACTTAACAAGACTGGGTATAAACTGGGCATGGTAGCTCACACCTGTAATCCCAGCACTTTGAGAGGCCGAGGTGGGTGGATGGCTTGAGGCCAGGAGTTCGAGGACAGCTTGACTAACATGGTGAAAGCTCGTCTCTGGCCAGGCGCGGTGGCTCACGCCTGTAATCCCAGCACTTTGGGAGGCTGAGGCGGGCGGATCACAAGGTCAGGAGATCGAGACCATCCTGGCTAACACGGCAAAACGCCGTCTCTAATAAAAATACAAAAAATTAGCCGGGCATGGTGGCGGGCGCCTGTAGTCCCAGCTACTCGGGAGGCTGAGACAGGAGAATGGCGTGAACCCGGGAAGCAGAGTTTGCAGTGAGCCGAGATCACGCCACTGTACTGCAGCCTGGGCGACAGAGCGAGACTCCGTCTTAAAAAAAAGAAAGCTCGTCTCTACTAAAAATACAAAACTTAGCCGAGCACGCTGGCAGGTGCCTGTAATCCCAGCTACTCGGAAGGCTGAGGCAGGAGAATCGCTTGAATCTGGGAGGCGGAGGTTGCAGTGAGCCAAGATCGCGCCACTGCATTCCAGCCTGGGCGACAAAGTGAGACAAAGTAAGACGTCGTCTCAAAAAATAATAATAATAATAATAATAATAATAATAATTCTGGGTGTAGAGCAGCTTCAAATTTGATTAATTCATAAGCTCAATATTGTCATCAAATCTGTTCTTTCCATTGATTATGTAACTATAAAGATTCTGTTCCAAAGGTAAAATTTTATGAGTGCAGTTTGCCTTTTTCAAAAAATGCCGGAGAACTTTTTTTTTTTTTTTTAGACGGAGTTTCTCTCTTGTTGCCCAGGCTGGAGTGCAGTAGTACGATCTTGGCTCACTGCAACCTCTGCCTTCCGGTTTCAAGCAATTCTCCTGCCTCTGCCTCCCAAGCAGCTGGAATTACAGGTGCACACCACCACGCCCAACTAATTTTTGTATTTTTAGTAGAGACGAGGTTTCATTATGTTGGCCAGGCTGGTCTGGAACTCCTGACCTCGTGATCTGCCCGCCTCGGCCTCCCAAAGTGCTGGGATTACAGGCATGAGCCACCGCGCCAGAGAACTTTTACGTACAGTACTTTCCTTTGCTTTAGTAAGGCTAAACACAGTAATATTGCATCTCTCCTTCTTGACTGTATCCTTAAAAGTCCTTATTAGATACAACAAAAATTGCATATTGATTTCAAAATATCATTTATATCTCATTTATAGTATATTCAAAATACTTAACAATTCAATCTGTCTGACCTACTCCTATTTCCATGTTCCTGGTCATTTTCTGTCAATTACCAGTACATCCTTCCCCGCAAAATGGAGCCATTTTATCATATTAGATTTTTACTCACAGTTCTCTAAAATCATTTCAACTTATAGCTGTGCTTAGAAGATTTAAGGATGCTGAAATTACAGTGAAAGAATATTAACTTAGGAGTTGGTTCCAAAATAATTATGGAGCCCTAGTGACTTACAGGGGGTTAAGCAATACTAAAGAAAATTATTAATATTTTAAAATGCATTTAAAGGAGAACTTATATTACTTTACAAAACTCTAACTTAAATTTGTGTTTGGGCTTCTTGACGTTTCAAAACCTACTGTTTGATTCACTGCTGGTAGAACAATTTTGCTTTACATTTTAAAAGCCTACAACACACTGGGGATGGTGGTTCACGCCTGTAATCCCAGCACTTTGGGAGGCTGAGGCAGGCGGATCACTAGAGGTCAGGAGTTTGAGACCAGCCTGGCCAACATGGTGATACCCTGTCTCTACTAAAAATACAAAAATGAGCCAGGTGTGGTGGTGTGTGCCTGTAGTCCCAGCTACTCAGGAGGCAGAGATGAGAGAATAATTGCTTGAACCTGGGAGGCAGAGGTTGCAGTGAGCTGAGATCACGCCATTGCACTCCAGCCTGGGTGACAGAGGGAGACTCCATCTCAGAAAAAAAAAAAAAAAAAAAATTAGCCAGGCATGGTGGTGCATGCCTGTAGTACCAGCTATTTGGTAGGCTGAGCAGGGGGATTGCTTGAGCTCAAGAGTTCAAGGCTGCAGTGAGCTATGATCACACTACTGCACTCCAGCCTAGGTGACAGCAATACCCCATCTCTAAAAAAAAACAAAAACAAAAACAAAAAGACTTACTAAATAATGAAGTTCTCCAAACAGAAAGAAAATGATTTTTAAAAATGAAGGAATCTTGGAACATCAGGAGACAGAAAATATAATGAGCAAAACTGTGGGTAAATACAATAGGCTTTCCTTCTCTTGAGTTTTCTAAAATATGTTTGATGGTTAAAGCAAAAACTATAACACTGTATGATGTGGTTCTAAATGTATGAAGAGGAAATAGCTAAGATAATTATATAAACAGGGAAAAGTAGAGACATAATGGAAGCTAAGAGTTCTATACTTTACTCAAACTGGTAAAATGACATCAATACACTGTATTAAGTCATATATACAAAATGTAATACCTGGAGCAACCACTAAAAAAGCTATACCAAATATATATGTTTATCATCAAAAACTATAAATAATTCAAAATGGAATTCTAAAAAATGTTTCAGGAACAAGCATGAAATTAGGAAAAAGAAAACAGAAATTTAAAAAACAGAGAAAACAAAATGAAAAGGAAGACTTAAGCCCTAATATAGCAATAATTACATTAAATGTAAATGGTCTAGATACACCAGTTAGGCCGGGCGCAGTGTCTCACACCTGTAATCCCAGCACTTTGGGAGGCCGAAGCAAGCAGATCACTTGAAGTCAGTGTAGGAATTAAAGAAAGAGGAGAGAAAAGAAAGGTGGCTTGCCAGTCAAGACAGGTTTATTTTAGAAAAAACAAACCTGAGAGGGGCGTCTGGCTGAGTTAGGTCAGAGGCACATCCTCTTACAGACTAAGCATTTTTAAGGATTCAGGATGGGAGAGTTTATCAGAGGCTTGGACTGCTTCTGTGTCTCTTTGTTGTGCTTATTTGGGAGAGTTGTGTGTCTGTTCCCATACAGTCAAAAGTTCAAGACCAGCCTGGCCAGTCTCTACTAAAAATACAAAAAAATTATCCAGGCATGGTGGTGCACATCTGCAATTCCAGCTACTTGGGAGGCCAAGGCAGGAGAATCACTTGAACCCGGGAGGCAGAGGTTGCAGTGAGCCAAGTGAGCATCACTACACTACAGCCTGGGGAACAGAGTGAGACTCCATCACAAAAAGAAAAAAATAAATAAAAATAAATACCCCAGTTAAAAGACAGAGTTAGCAGAGGGGATTTAAAAGATGTTTAACTATATGGTATCTATAAGAAACTCTTCAAATAAAAATATAAGGAATTTGACAGTAAGAGGATGGAAAAAATATGTTATGCAAATATTAAAGGAAAGTGTCAAACAAAGTAGACTTCAGAGCAAATAAAATTACCAGACACAGGGAGGGACATTATATAATAACAAAAGGATCAATCAACCAAGAAGACACAGTAATCTTAAATGCCCCCAAACAACAAAGTTATAAGATATGTGAAGCAAAAACTGATAGAAATGAAAGAAAAAAGGTCAGGCATGATAGCTCATGCCTATAATCCCAGCATTTTGGGAGGCCAAGGCGGGTGTATCACCTGAGGTCAGGAGATTGAAAGCAGCCTGGCCAACATGGCAAAACCCCATCTCTAATAAAAAATACAAAAATCAGCCAGATGTGGTGGTGCACACCTGTAGTCTCAGCTACTCTGGAGGCTGAGGCAAGAGAATCACTTGAACCTGGGAGGCGGAGGTTCCAGTGAGCCGAGATCAGGCCACTGCACTCCAGCCTGGGGCAACAGTGAGGCTCTGTCAAAAAAAAAAAAAAAGAAAAGAAAAGGAAAGAGAGAGAGAAAGAGAAAGAAAGAAAGAAAAGAAAAAAGAAAGAAGAGGCCAGGCGCGGTGGCTCACGCCTGTAATCCCAACACTTTGGAAGGCTGAGGCGGGTGGATCACAAGGTCAGGAGATCGAGACCATCCTGGCACCCCACCTCTACCAAAAATACAAAAAAAATTAGCCAGGCGTGGTGGCGGGTGCCTGTAGTCCCAGCTACTCGGGAGGCTGAGGTAGGAGAATGGCATGAACCCAGGAGGTGGAGCTTGCAGTGAGTGGAGATCTCGCCACTTCACTCCAGCCAGGGCAACACAGGGAGACTCTGTCTCAAAAAAAAAAAAAAGAAAGAAAGAAAGAAAGAAGAAAGAGAAAAATCCACTATTGTTGGAGGATTCAGCTCCTCTCTCAGTTGATAGAATGAGATAGATAATCAGCACGAACATAGAAAAACTCAACCACACCAGCATCAACAAAATCCAATTGACATTTGTAGAATACTCCACCCTACAAGAGCAGGCTACACAACCTTTTGAGGGTCTATGCAAGAAATAGTAAGATAGACCATATCCTGAGCATTAAAACAAACATCAAAATATTTACAAGAATTGAAATCGTATAGAATGTGATTTCTGACCACAGTGGAATCAAACTAGAAACCAATAACAGATAACAGGAAAATCTCCAATCACATGGAAATGAAACAAGTACTCCTAAATAAAACATAGGTCAAGGGAAATTTTAAAAATACATGGAACTGAATGAAAATGAAAATAAAACATATCAACACTTGAGGGACACAGCTAAAGCACCACCAAGAGGGAAATTTATAGCACTAAATGTGTGTATTAGAAAAGAGGGAAGATCTCAAATTAATAATCTATGCTCCCACACCAAGAACCTAGGAAAATAAGAACAAAATAAATCCAAAGCAAGCAGAAGGAAGGAAATAATAAAAATAAGAACAAAATTGATTAAATGTAAAACAGGAAAAAAATAGAAAAACCAATGAAACAAAGAACTGGTTCTTTTGAAAAATTAATAAAATCGGCTGGGCACGGTGGCTCACACCTGTAATCCCAGCACTTTGAGAGCCTGAGGCAGGCAGATCACCTGAGGTCAGGAGTTCAAGACCAGCCTGGCCAACATGGCGAAACTCCATCTCTACTAAAAATACAAAAATTAGCTGGGCCTGGTGGTGCAAGCCTGTAGTTCCAGCTACTCGGGAGGCTGATGCAGGAGAATCACTTGAACCTGGGAGGCGGAGGTTGCAGTGAGCCGAGATCACACTACTGCACTCTGGCCTGGGTAACAGAGCAAGACTCCGTCTCAAAAAAAAAAAAAAAAAAAAAAAAAGAAAAATTAATAAAATTGACAAACTTCTATCAAGACTAACAAAGCACAAATGAGAGAAGACTGGATGGACGCGGTGGCTCATGCCTGTAATCCCAGCACTCTGGGAGGCCAAGGCGGGCAGATCTCAAGGTTAGGAGTTCAAGACCAGCCTGGCAACATAGTGAAACCCCATCTCTACTAAAAATACAAAAATTAGCTGGGCATGGTGGTGTGTGCCTGTAGTCCCAGCTACTCGGGAGGCTGAGGCAGGAAAATCACTTGAACCTGGGAGGTGGAGGTTGTGGTAAGCCAAGATCGCACCACTGCACTCCAGCTTGGGCAACAGAGCGAGAGTCTGTCTCAAAAAAAAAAAAAAAAAAAAAAAGGAGAGAGAGAGAAGACGCTAGTTACCAGTATTCAGAATGCAAGGTCTATTACTACAGACTATACAGATGTCTAAAAAATAATAAGGAATTATTATAAACAACTCTACACACATAAACTGGACAATTTACATTAAATGAACCAATTCTTTGAAAAACACAAACTACTACAATCATCCAATATTAAGTAGGTTATCTTTTTTTAATGTTTTATTTATTTATTTTTTTGAGACAGAGTCTCGCTCTGTTGCCCAGGCTGGAGTGCAGTGGCGCCATCTTGACTCACTGCAACCTCTGCCTCCCAGGTTCAAGCGATTCTCCTGTCTCAGCCTCCTGAGTAGCTGGGACTACAGGCACGCACCACCACACCTGGCTAATTTTTTGTATTTTTTGTATTTTTTTTTTTTTTGAGATGGAGTCTTGCTCTGTTGACAGGCTGGAGTGCAGTGGCATGATCTCAGCTCACTGCAACCTCTGCCTCCCAGGTTCAAGCAATTCTCCTTCCTCAGCCTCCTGAGTAGCTAGAACTACAGGTGCGTGCCACCACGCCCAGCTAATTTTTGTATTTTTAGTAGAGAGAGTGTTTCACCATGTTGGCCAGGATGGTCTCCATCTCTTGACCTCGTGATCCACCCGCCTCAGCCTCCCAGAGTGCTGGGATTACAGGCATGTGCCACCACGCCTGGCCTTAAGCAGATAATCTTAATTGCCCTTAACTATTAAAGAGATTGAATTTATAATTTATTTTTACTTTTTTATTTTTTAGAGGCAGTGTCTCACTGTCACCCAGGCTGGAGTGCAGCAGCATGATCATAGCTCATTGTAGCTTTGAACTCCTAGGCTCAAGACATCTTCCCACCTCAGCTTCTCGAGTAGCTAAGACTATAGGCACATGCCACCATGCCCAGCTAATTTTTTTTTTTTTTCTGTAGAGACAGGGTCTCACTCTATTGCCCAGGCTGGTCTCAAACTCCTGGGCTCAAGTGATCCTCCTGCCTCAGCCTCCCAACGTGCTGGGATTACTGCATGAGCCACAGTGCCCAGCCAGAATTTATAATTTTAAAACTTCCCATAACAGAAATCTCCATATCCGGATGGTCTCACTGGAGAATTCTATCAAATCTTAAAAGAAGAGTTAACACTAATCCTACACAATATCTTCCAAAAAATAGACACAGAGAATACTTCTAAATTCATTTTATGAAACTAATATTACCCTGATATAAAAACCAAACAAAGACAATCCAAAAAAATATAACTGTGGCCAGGCACGGTGGCTCTTGCCTGTAATCCCAGCACTTTGGGAGGCCAAGGTGGGTGGATCACTTGAGGTCAGGAGTTTGAGACCAGCCTGGCCAACATGGTGAAACCCTGTCTCTACTAAAAATACAAAAATTAGTCAGGCATGGTGGCACGCACCTGTGGTACCAGCTACTTTGTAGGCTGAGGCAAGAGAATCACTTGAACCCAGAAGGTGGAAGTTACAGTGAGCCCAGATCCCACGACTGCACTCCAGCCTGGGCAATGGACTAAGACTCCATCTCAAAAAATAAAAATAAAATAAAATAACTACAGACTAATATACCACATGAATATATACAAAAATCCTTAACAAAATATTATCAAATCAAATTCAGCAATACATACAAGGAATTATATACCATGATAAAGTGGGGTTGTATTTGGCCATTCTTTCATTGCTATAAAGAAATACTTGAGGCCAACTGTGGTGGCTCATGCTGGTAATCCCAGCACTTTGGGAGGCCAAGGCAGGCTGATCACTTGAGGTCAGGAGTTCAAGACCAACCTGACCAACATGGTGAAACCCCATGTCTACCAAAAAATACAAAAATTAGCCGGGTGTGGTGGCACACACCTGTAGTTCCAGCTACTCAGGAGGCTGAGGTGGGAGAACCACTTGAACCCAGAGGCAGAGGTTGCAGTGGGCCCAGGTCGCACCACTGCACTACAGCCTAGGCGACAGAGTGAGACCCTATCTCACAACACAAACAAACAAAAAATACTTGAGACTGGATAATTTACAAAGAAAATAGGTTTAATTGTCTCATAGTTCTACAGGCTGTACAGGAAGCATGGTGCGGGGCATCTGCTCAGCTTCCAGTGAGGCCTCAGGAAGCTCACAATCATGGCAGAAGGTGAAGGGGGAGCCCAGCACCTGACAGCATATCACATAACTAGAGCAGAAGCAAGATAGAGAGACAGGGAGGGAGCCACACACTTTTAAATTAACCAGATCTCGTGAGAACTCACTCACTATCGTGAGGACAGCACCAAGCCATGAGGGATCTGCCCCCATAACCCAAACACCTCTCACCAGGCCACACTTCCAACAATGGAGATTACATTTCACCATGAGAATTGGGTAGCATAAATATCCAAACAATATCAGGCCTTAATTCCAGAGATGCAAGGGTGGTTCAACCTTCAAAAATCAATGTAACTCACTATGTTAACAGGCTAGAAAAGAAAAACATATGATCATATCAATAGACACAGAAAAAGCATGACAAAATTCAACACCACTCATAAAAATAAACTCAGAAAAACAGGAATACAGGGGAGCTTTCTCAACTTGATAACAAGCATCTATAAAAAAATCTATATTTAACATTACATTTAATGGTGAAAGACTGAATGCTTTCCCTCTAAGATTGAAAACAGGATATCCATGCTTATTGTTCTTATTCAGTACAATGCTAGAAGATCTAGCCAGTGCAATGAGGCAAGAAAAGAAAAGAAAATTAATACAGATTGAAAAGGAAGAAATGAAACTGTTTTTGTTCACAGATTACATGATTCTCTATGTAGAGAATCCCAAAGAATTGACTTTTAAAATTTCTGGAACTAATAAACAATTACAGCAAGGTTGCAAAATACAAAGTTAATATACAAAGTCAATTGCTTTCCTAATATACCAAATATGAACAATTAGAAATTGAAATTAAAAGCACAATAACATTTAAAGTATCGGCCGGGTGCGGTGGTTCATGCCTGTAATCCCAGCACTTTGGGAGGCCAAGGCAGGTGGATCACTTGAGGTTAGGAGTTCGAGACCAGCCTGACCAACATAGTAAAACCCTGTCTCTACTAAAAATACAAAAATTAGCCAGGCATGGTGGCACATGCCTGTAATCCCAGCTACTTGGGAGGCTTAGGCAGGAGCATCCTTTGAATCTGGGATGCAAAAGTTGCAGTGAGCCAAGATCGTGCCACCACACTCTAGCCTGGGCGACAAGAACGAAACTCCATCTCAAAAAAAAAAAAAAAAAAAAAAAAAAAAAAATTTAAATTATCAAGCAAGTTAAATACTTAGGTATAAATCTAACAAAATATGCTGGGTGTGGTGGCTCACATCTGTAATCCCAGCACCCCAGGAGGCCATGGTGGGAGGATCATTTGAGGCCAGGAATTAGAAACTAGCCAGGTCAACACAGCAAGATTCCATCTCTACAAAAGAAAAAATTTTAAATTAGCTAGCCAGGTGTTGTGGTTCATGCCTGTAATCCCAGCACTTTGGCAGGCCAAGGCAGGCAGATTGCTTAAGCCCAAGAGTTCAAGGCCAGCCTGGGCAACATGGTGCAATCCTATCTCTACAAAAAATACAATTAGCCAGGCGTGGTTGGCATGTGCCTGTAATCCCAGCTACTAGGGAGGCTGAGATGGGAGGATCACTTGAGCCCAGGAGGTCAAGGCTGCAGTGAGCTGTGATTGCATCACTGCACTCCAGCCCTCCAGCCCTGGTGAAAGAGAGAGACCCAGTCTCAAAAAAAAAAAAAGTCTAAATGAGGACTATTTTAAAACTTGGATGAAAGAAATTAAAGAAATAGACTCATCCAAAGTCTGATCTTTAACAAAGGAACAAGGCAATTCAATCAAGAAAGGATAGTCTTTTCAACACATGGTACTAGAACAACTACATACAACTACATATCCACATTAACAAAAAATGAATCCAGACACAGACCTCATACCACCTTCACAAAAACTAACTCAAAATACATCACAGACCTAAATGTAAAGTACAAAACTATAAAACTCCTAGAAGACAACGTAGGAGAAAATGTAAGTGACCTAGGTTTAGAGATGATTTTTTGGATACAATAGAAAAGCAAGATTCATGAAAAAAAAAACTGACAAGTTGGACTTCATTAAAACTAAAAAGTATGCCCTGTGATAGAGACTATTAAGAAAATAAAAAAGACAAGCCACAGACTGGGAGATAATTGTTGCAAAAGATATATCTGATAAAGGATTGTTATCCCAAAATATACAAATAAAATTTAAAATTCAACAACTAGAAAATAAAGAACTCAATTTAAAAATGGCAAAAGTTCTGAACAAAAGTTCTCATCAAAGAAGATATACAGATGGCAAATAAGCATATGAAAAGATGTTCAACATCATATGTCATTAGGGAACTGCAATTAAAACAATGATGAGATACCACTACACACCTATTCAAATGGCTAAAATCCAGAACACTGACAACACCAAATGCTGGTGAGGATGTGAGAGTGACAGCAATAGCTCTCATTCATTGCTGATGGAAATGCAAAATGGAACAGCCATTTTGTAAAACAGTTTGGCAGTTTCTAACAAAACTAAACATATTCTTACAATAAGACTCAGAAATAGTACTCCTTGGTTTTTACCCAGGTGAAGTGAAAATTTATGTCCACATAAAAACCTGCACTTGAATGCTTATAGCAGCTTTATTTATAATTGTCAAAAATTGGAAGCAACGAAGATTTACCATTAGGTAAATGGAAAGCTAAAATGTAGTAAGTCTGCACAACAGAATATTATTTGCAAAAAAAAAATGCTTTTTATTCACATTGCAATAAAAAGCAATGAGCTATTAAGCCACCAAAAGACATGGAGAAAACTTTAATGCATATTACTAAGTGAAAGAAGCCAATCTGAAAAGGTTATATCTGTATGATTCCAAATACACGACATTCTGGAAAAGACAAAACTACGGAGGTAGTAAAAAGATCAAGCCGGGCATGGTGGCATACACCTGTAGTCCCAGCTACTCAGGAGGCTAAGGCAGGAGAATTGCTTTAGCCCAGGAGTTTGAGATAAGCCTGGGCAACATAGCGAGACATCCATCTCAAAAAAAAAAAGTTGTGGTTGCCAGAGGTTTGCAGGAGGAGGAAGGAATGAACAGATGGAACACAGGACATTTTTAGGGCAGTGAAACCATTCTGTATGATGATGTAATGATGGATACTTGTAATTATACACTTTTCAAAACCCATAGAATGTACATTACAGAATGAATCCTAATGTAAACCCCGGACTTTAGTTAATAATAATGTATCAGGCTGGGCGCAGTGACTCATGCCTGTAATCCCAACACTTTGGGAGGCTGAGGCAGGCGGATCACCTGAGGTCAGCAGTTCAAGACCAGCCTGACCAACATGGTGAAATCCTGTCTCTACTAAAAAAAGTACAAAATTAGTCGGGTGTGGTGGTGCATGTGTGTAATCCCAGCTACTCAGGAGGCTGAGGCAGGAGAATCTTTTGAACCCAGGAGGCGGAGGTTGCAGTGAGCTGAGATCATGCCATTGCACTCCAGCCTAGGTAACAAGAGCGAAACTCCGCCTCAATAATAATAATAATAATAATGTATTAATGTTAACTCAATTGTAACAAATTTACCACACTAATGCAATTTGTTACTGTGAAGATGGGGAAGGAAGTTTATGGGATCTCTGTACTTTATAGTCAATTTTTCTGTAACCCTATAATTGCTTCCAAAAATAAAGTATTATTTTTTAATGTGGCATATCCACACAATAGAATACCATTAAATAATAAAAAGAACACAATACTGATGAATGCTACAACATAGATGGACCTCAAAAACAATGCTAATTTTAAAAACTAGATGCAAAAGACTACATATTAAAGTTATTTATTTCTATGAAATGTCCAAAAAAAGGAAAATGTATACACACAGAAAGCAGATTGGTGGTTGCCCGGCACTAGTGATGGAAGAGGGCATTAATTGTCTAGAAGCAAAAAAAAAAAAAAATCTTTTTTGGGTGATGGAAATGTTCTAAACCTGGATTGTGGTGGCATTTGCACAACTTTATTAACTTACTAAAAATCATTGAATTGTAGACTTTAAATGAGTGAATTTTATGGCATGTAAATATCCCAATAATGATTTTTTAATCACATAAACAAAATGATAGACATAAACACATTTAAGTGAGGCTACCTATGGGCATAAGGAATGGAAGTGGGGAATGGAACCAAAAACAATAAAATTAAATAGAGATGGACCATTATGTCCCCAATGACAAGACACTATTTAAGAAATTTGATTAGCACAATCTTCTGCACCTAAGATCCAAATTATGGGAAGAAGGAGGCAATTTGTAGAAAAGAAAAGCCCAGTGGTCAACAGGCATATATGAAGATGCTTACCAGCCATTAAAAAGAATGAGATCACATCCTTTGCAGCAACATAGATGGAACTGGCAGCCATTATCCTAAGCAGATTAACACAAGAACAGAAAGCCAAATACCACATGTTCTCACTTATAAGTGGGAGCTAAACATTGAATACACATAAACATAAAGGTGGGAACAATAGACACTGGGGACTACCAGACATGGGAGAGAGGGGACATGGGATGCAAAATCACCTATTGGGTACTAAGCTCATTACCTGGTGACGTAACCCAAACCTCAGCATCACGCATTATGCCCATGTAACAAACCTGCACATGTACCCCTTAATCTATAATAAAAATAAAAATTATTATTATTATTATTTGAGACAGAGTTTTGCTCTTGTCACCCAGGCTGGAGTGCAATAGCATGATCTCAGCTCACTGCAACCTCCGCCTCCTGGGTTCAAGCCATTCTCCTGCCTCATGCTCCCGAGTAGCTGGGATTACAGGTACCCACCACCATGCCCAGCTAATTTTTGTATTTTTGGTAGAGACAGGGTTTTGCCATCTTGGCCAGGCTGGTCTCGAACTCCTGACCTCAGGTGATCCACCCACCTTGACCTCCCAAAGTGCTGGGATTACAGGCATGTGCCACTGCACCTGGCCTGAAATTATTTTTTTAAAGAAGAGGGATGCTTACTGGCTAAGTGCAATGACTCACACCTGTAATTTCAGCCCTTTGGGAGGCTGAGAAAGGAGGATAGCTTGATCCAGGGGTTTGAGACCAGTCTGGGTAACATAGTAAGACCTTATCTCCACAGAAAGGAAAAAAAAAAAAAAAAAAAGATCCTTATCTTCACTAGTAGTCAAGAAAATGTAAATTACAATAATAATGAGGTACCTTGTTTTTTGTTTCTTTTTTTACCCAACTAACAACAAAAAAGAATGACAGCATTCAATGCTAGCTGGATGTAAAGGAGAATGATTTACTCTTAAATGAACTGCTTCTATCCTTTTGCAAATAGTAATCTGACAATGGCTATTAGAATTTAAAATACGCACTGTGACCCTATCAGCTCATATTTGTCAATTAATCCCCTAGCAACAAAAGCACCAGTGTGGAAGGATATAAGTTGAAAGATACTTATTTTCACATTATTTGTAGTGACCAAAAGAAGGAAATAATTATATCATCCCTCAAAAGAGAAATGGTTGAATAAATTAAGATACATGCATACTATAGAATATTATACAGTTATTAAAGGAAGAGCTATATCTTTTAACTTAAGATACAACCATGAGGCACTACTAAGTAGAGGAAGTTGCAGAATATTTTTATTAGAATGATCTTAGTTTTGTGAAGACACCATTACCCTTTATATATGTTTACATATTTCCATAACTATGGGAATGGTTAACATTGGTTACTGAGGTGACATGGGCAGAGAGAAAATTATTATTTCCTTTAAACTGTTTAGCATAGCTTTAAGTGTTGGGGTAGGCACATGTTATTTTGTTTTTTGTTTGTTTTTTGAGACAGGGTCTCACTCTGTTGCCCAGGCTGGAGTGCAGTGGTGCAATCTTGGCTCACTGCAACCTCTGCCTCCCAGTTTCAAATGATTCTCCCACCTCAGCCTCCCAGGTAGCTGGGACCACAGGCATGTGCTACCGTGCCCAGGTAATTTTTGTGTTTTTAGTAGAGACAGAGCTTCACCATGTTGGCCAGGCTGGTCTTAAAACTCCTGACCTCGAGTGATCCCACCTCGGCCTCACAGAGTGTTGAGATTACAGGTGTGAGCCACCATGCCTGGCCAAGCACACGTTATTTTGTACAATCTTAAGAAAACTTAATAAAGGATTATTTTTATTTGCATGGATTAACCATTCAATGTATTATTTCCATACACATATTCAAAGGCAGAGGTGGAGGCTAGATGAGATGATATATTTATCTTTAAACTCTATATGGTCTACTGTTGACCTTACTTCATTAAGTCCTATTTTGTTTGTTTGTTTTGAGATGGAGTCTTGCTCTGTCGCCTAAGCTGGAGTGCAGTGGCACGATCTCAGCTCACTGCAACCTCCACTTCCCAGGTTCAATCGATTCTCCTGCTTCAACCTCCCAAGTAGTTGGGATTACAAATGTGAGCCACTACACCTGGCTAATTTTTGTGTTTTTAGTAGAGACAGGGTTTCTCCATGTTGGCCAGGCTGGTCTTGAACTCCCGACCTCAGGTGATCAGCCCACCTCAGCCTCCCAAAGTGCTGGGATTACAGGCGTGAGCCACTGCCCCCAGCCAGTCCTATATGTTTGTAAAATCTGTGGTTGTTCAATAAGTATTGAATAAATGAATGAATAAGCAAATCATTCAGTTTGTGAGTAAAAGAAATGAGTGCGGTAGCCAGACTTTTAAGATGACCACCAATGATCTGCACCGCGCCGCCTGGTACCCTTATAGTCTCGAACAACATTGTATCAGGTTGGTCTGTTTGACTGATAGAATATGGCAGAAGTGATGTTATGTAACTTACAAGAAGAGATTATAAAAGACACTAAACTTTCCATATTATATTGATGGTTTTATCTGTCAAATATGTACACAGTGAAAAAACTGAAGATATGGGAAAGGGCATGTTTTTTGATAAAATTAGAAGCATAACTCTAAGGATTTTTCCCCCTCACTTTTCCAATGTTAAGTGAAATATAAATAGTTTTTATCAGCTTTCTACACCAAATAAAGTTAAAGTTATTAATATTAGAATAATAAATAGTTAATTTCATTGCCCAAAATAACATCTATAATTCAGGAAAGTCTTTTTTCATAGTCTAATCTTTTAAAACATCATTAAAAGCAATTTTTCCTTCCAGGTATTTCAAGGATCTTTTGTTGTTCCCTATACTTTTCTTCAAGTTGGAATGATTCACAAACAGCTGTTCATAAAGATGATACAGCTGTTCCATTTGCTGAGTAAGCATCTGAATTTCCTGCTGAAGATCTTCTGTTCTCTATAGAAAAAGAAGGAAATACTTCCTGATAGTTAACAGTTACGTTTAGAGTGACATTGTGGGGACAATAAATTAGTAAATAGAGGCTAAAGGAAGACTATTAAGACTTGACATTTAAAAATTAATTTAAAAAGAAGTGGATCTGATACACAATAGTAAGACATTTTAGTTTGTAGAGTAATAAAGTCATAAAATAAGTTTTCAGAGATCAGAGGTTAAAAAATTATAGACTTCTGTTAATAGATGTAGCAGATGTCACTAGCATATTGAAACCTGATAGCCATATTCATTACATTCCACTGTTGATGGAGTGGAATTGCTGAGTCACAGGGTAGGATATATTCTGGTTTTAGGGATACACTTTGGTTTTAGGAGATATTGACAAATGCATTTCCAAATGGGTTGTACCAATTTAATCTCCTATCAGGAATGTAGGAGAATCCCGTTTCCTTGCCTAGCTCTGACATCATTTTAACCACATGCAAAATCCTCAATTATTTAACAAAAGAATGTAATACCTTCTGTTTCCAACCCACACATCATCCAAGATCTCCTGTCCTTTTATGCAGCTCTGGGATCTGAGTAAGCAAGTTTAGTTTCTGGACTTTTGTTGAGTAAAAGTAGGAAATAAGAGGAGAGAAAATTATTCATGAAATGATGAATTTGCATTAGAAAGAAGGTAGGAAAAAGAGGAAGGGAAGAGAAATTATGAGCAGCATAGACTGGATCTGGGAGAGTTTTTTAAGAGAATGGAGAGTTAGGCACAGGAGAAAAAGGTTTAGGATGTGATGTGAGAGATATAGTGAGAAAAGTTAAGAAAATGAAGGTGTTATTGTAAATTATGAATATTCCACCTTTTATTAAGAAAATTAGTTAAGGCAAATAATTAAGATTGGAATTACAGTTGACCCTTGAAGACCGATTTGAATTGCATGGGTCCACTGATAACGTGGATTTTCTTCTACTTCTGCTACCCCGGAGACAGCAAGACCAACCCCTCCTTTCCTTCCTCCTTCTCAGACTACTCAAAGTGAAGACGATGAGAATGAAGACCTTTATGATGATCCACTTCCACTTAATGATTAGTAAATATATTTTTTCTTCTTTATGATTTTCTTAATAACATTTTCTTTTCTCTAGCTTTACTGTAAGAATACAGTGTATAATACATACAACATACAAAATATGTGTTAGTCAACTGTTTATATTACTGGTAAGTCTTCCAGTCAACAACAGGTTATTAGTAGTTAAGTTTGGGAGGAGTCAACAATTATACACAGATTTTTTTTTTTTTTGCATGATGGCCATATCCCCTAACCCCAGATTATTAAAGGATTAACTGTACTGTCAACTAGTTTTGACAACTGAAATATTCTTTTATAAATGGAGCCAACACATAAATTGGATCATGTAGACCCTTGCTTTACATACAGATTACATTAAAAAGTGGTTATAGTCGAAGGAATTTGAAGAACACTTCCTCAGTACTATTTTACTTCCTCAGCAATATTTTACCCCCAACAGACTTCTATAAAATCTTCTCTTTTTATTCTTTTCTACTGACTACTCCTCAACCCTCCTTCACTCAATGAAGATTTGGGGCCTCACATTCTTCTTCTATACCAACTCATACCATAATTCAAGATTTCAGGGGTCACAGTAGATGATCGATCCAATAATACAGCTTTGTGATTCATGTGTGTACTTAATTCCAATGCCCTACACCTACACTCATTTATTATTTAATTATTTATTATTCTAATATTAATAACATTAACTTTTTTTGATGTAGAAAGTGGTTGTTAAAGCCAGATCATTCCAGCTCCCAAGAGTTGATTATTCATATCTCTTTCTAATTCTATGCTCAATGACATGTTGGTATCAAAAGTCAATGAATGCTCAAATTGGGTGCTTTTTCTCAAGAGCCAGTTTACCAGCACATGACTGCCTTTATACCCTACTTCAACCACCTACACCTAGATCCAAAAACAACCCTGGATTTTGTCATCAGCAGGAATTGCCCCATACCAGAAATATGAAACTCCGCTATCTTATTCTGTAACATGATCTCAGCTTTCAGCTTTCTCACAGCCCTATTACCCCTATACCTTTCTCTTCAGTATCACAGAGACCTTTAGGCCCCCCTTGCATTTTCTCTTAATATATCAGAAAGGCATAAAGGCTCCCAGTCAACCACGGTATAAAGGAACCATGGCTTCCTTCTACCCTCCCTTTGGGAGAGAACCAACAAACAACTCAACATTTCTCGATTACCTCCTAGAGTTAAACAAGATAACAAAAATTGTTTTTCTTCAAAAATCAATCAAAACTTATTCTCACCTTCATCATGAAAATATTCATGGTTCCTTGTCCTTTCATATTCATATGGGAGTGAATCTGTTGGCATCTACCAATTGATCTAGAATGGGTTTTTTTTGTTCCACCTTTTCTCTTTAAACCAGATATACCTTGTGTCAATAGACTGAAAGATATGAGTAGACTAAAGTAATTCAAACAATTTTCAAATGTCCATTCCAAAATTAAAAAGAAATGTCCCCTTTTAAAATATATATATAGTTGGCCAGGCACAGTGGCAAACGCCTGTAATCCCAGCACTTTGGGAGGCTGAGGCAGGTGAATCACCTGAGCTCAGGAATTCGAGACCAGCCTGGCCAACATGGTGAAACCCCATCTCTACTAAAAATACAAAATTAGGCCAGGCACAGTGGCTCACGCCTGTCATCCCAGCACTTTGGGAGGCCAAAGTGGGCAGATCACCTGATGTCAGGAGTTCGAGATCAGCCTGGCCAACATGGTGAAACCCCGTCTCTACTAAAACTACAAAAATTAGCCGGGTGTGGTGACGGGCTCCTGTAATCCCAGCTACTCGGGAGACTGAGGCAGGAGAATTGCTTGAACCCAGGAGGCGGAGGTTGCAGTGAGCCAAGATAATGCCACACACTCCAGCCTGGGCGACAGAGCAAGACCCCACCTCAAAAATACAAATACAAACACAAAAATTAGCTGGGTATGGTGGCATGTGCCCATAATTCCAGCTACTTCAGAGGCTGAGGGAGGAGAGTCACTTGAACCCAGGAGGCAGAGGTTGCAGTGAGCTGAGATCACACCACTGCACTCCAGCCTGGGCAACAGAGCAAGCCTCCATCTCAAAAAAATAAAAATAAATAAAAACAAAATATATGTATAGTCAAAATATATTTCTAAGGCCGGGCACAGTGGCTCAAGCCTATAATCCCAGCACTTTGGAAGGGCAAAGCGGGTGGATCTCCTGAGATCAGGAGTTTGAGACCAGCCTGGCTAACATGGTGAAACCTGTCTCTACTAAAAATACAAAAAAAAAAAAAAAAAAAAATTAGCCAGGCATAGTGGTGTGCACCTGTAGTCCCAGTTACTCAGGAGGCTGAGGCAGGAGAATCACTTGAACCTGGGAGGTGGAGGTTGCAGTGAGCCGAGATCACGCCACTGCACTCCAGCTTGGGTGACACAACGAGACTTCGTCTCAAAAAAATAAATAAATAATGAAACCCATCTCTACTAAAAACACAAAAATTAGCTGGGTGTGGTGTTGCACACCTGTAGTCCCAGGTACTCAGGAGGCCAAGACAGGAGAATCACTTGAACCTGGGAGGCAGAGGTTGCAGTGAGCTGAAATTGCACCACTGCACTCCAGCATGGGCGACAGAGCAAGACCCTGTCTCAAAAAAAAAAAAAGATTTCTAATGAAAACAGCTGTTCAGTAATTCCAATAGTCCCAAGAGGGTGTCATTTCAGAAACCATCCTTTTTAAGAAGACATTTGGAGAGCAATATCTGCCTGGGTAGTAGGATAATATTATAAGGATTAGGACATCACACACGGTATCTCAGTCCATTTGTGTTGCTATAAGGGAATACTTGAGGCTGAGTAATTTATAAAGAAAAGAGGTTTATTTGGCTCACAGTTCTGCAGACTGTACTAGAAGCATGGCACCAACATCTGTTTTGGATGAGGGCCTCAGGAAGCTTCTACTCAAGGCAGACAGCAAAGGGAAGCTAATTTTTCCATTTTGTAGATGAGAAAACTGGGACAAGAAATATTTAGCAATTTGTCTAAACCTACAATATAAGAGGTAGATCCCAGATTGAAACATACACAGTCTGACTCTAAAGACTCTTTGTATTTCAAAGAAAGTAGCCCCTTGGCTCTGATATTAGTTGCAGATATTTTAAATTCTTATTTAAAAATAAAATTTAAATAAAATAAAGTAACCCCTTTAGTATTAGTTGTAGATATTTTAAAATATTATTTATATTGTAATTCTACTTTAAGTACGCCTACAATTATTGTAGGAGAAAAATGGAAGTAAATAAAGAAATTTGAGAAATTTGAAGGCAAATATTAAAGGTACTGGAGAGTGAACACTAAAGGATCAGAAAGATGCCTTATGATACTGTGTGTGTAGATCACATGGTGAAAGAGAAGGCAAGAGAGAGAGGAGGGGTAAGTACAAGGATCTTTACAACAACGAGATCTTGTGGGAACCAAGAGTGAGAACGAACTTACTCCCTCTAGAAGGGCACCACACCATTCATAAGGGATCTGCCTTAACAACCCAAACACTTCCCACCAGGCTCCACCTTCAACATTAGTGATCAAATTCCAACATGAGACTTGGCAAACAAACAGTATCCAAACCGTAGCACACAGACTAAAGCACTTCTACTACAACAATTCCTGAGTGGAATTCTTTAATTGGGATGTGAGAAGGGGGAAAGGAATTGGAAATAACTACAATAATTTGGGCCAGGCACTGTGGCTCATGCCTGTAATCTCAGCACTTTGGGAGGCCAAGGCAGATGGATCACTTGAGCTCAAGACCAGCCTGGGCAATGTCGTGAAACCCTGCCTCTATCAAAAAAAAAGAAAGAAAGAAAGAAAGAAGAAATTTGTATGTGAAAACTTGTATCATACATACAAACAGCTTAGATACATAAATGACTAATTACATATTTGGATCTTGCTTTGAATACTAATTGCTAGGGAATGATAACATCTCTTTATTCTAAGGCTAATTTAAAGTTTTTTATGTCCTTTTCTATCGTAGAATTGCAGCCAAAAGGATTGGTGAGCCTGAAGTCAAGTCAAGATAAACTACCCGGCTAGGCATGGTGGCTCACGCCTGTAATCCCAGCACTTTGGGAGGCCAAGGCGGGCAGATCACGTAATTTCAGGAGTTTGAGACCAGCCTGGCCAACATGGTGAAACCCCATCTCTACTAAAAATACAAAAATTAGCTGGGCGTGGTGGCAGGCGCCTGTAATCCCAGCTACTAGAGAGGCCAGGAGGTGGAGGTTGCAGTGAGCCAACATCCTGCCACATTGCACTCCTTTCTGGTCAAAAAGAGCAAAACTCTGTCTCAAAAAAAGAAAGAAAGAAAGAAAGAAATTAGGCTGGGCACTGTGGCTCACACCTGTAATCCCAGCACTTTGGGAGGCCAAGGCGGGTGGATCACCTGAGTTTGGGAATTTGAGACCAGCCTGACCAATATGGAGAAACCCCATCTCTACTAAAAATACAAAAGTAGCCAGGCGTGGTGGCACATGCCTGTAATCCCAGCTACTCAGGAGGCTGAGGCAGAAGAATCACTTGAACCTGGGAGGCAGAGGTTACGGTGAGCTGAGATCGCACCACTGCACTCCAGCCTGGACAACAAGAGCGAAACTCCATCTCAAAAAAAAAAAAAAGAAAGAAATTGCCTCACTAGATTTCAGACACTTACTGGCAAGTCCAAAATTTGCAGGGTGGGCCAATAGACTGAAGAGTCAATGTTGAAGTTCAAGTCCAATGGCTGTCTGTTGGCAGAATTTTTCTTTGCTTGCAGAAGGTCAGTCTTTTGGTCTCTTCAGATGTTCAACTGATTGGATGAGCCCCACCCAAATTATGAAAGGTAATCTGCTTTACTCAAAGTCCACCGATCTAAATGTTAACCTCATCCAAAAACATCTTCACAGAAACATCCAGAATAATGTTTAACCAACTATCTGGGCAACACAGCCCAGCTAAGTTAACACATAAAATTAATCATCATGGCAGCAGGCACCTGTAATCCCAGCTACTCGGGAGGCTGAGGCAGAAGAATTGCTTGAACCTGGCAGGCTGAGGTTGCAGTTAGCCGAGATCATACCACTGCGTTCCAGCCTGGGTGACAGAGGAGGACTCCATCTTGACAAAAAAAAAAAAAAATCAACAATAACAAAAAACAAACTAATTATTACAAGAACAAAGACCAGAGGAGAAAAAACACAGTAAGTAGCAGTATGGTGGACTTAAATCCAACAATATCAGAATTTAATGTAAATAGCCTAAACATTCCAATTAAAAGACAAAGATTATAAGACTAGATTAAAAAACAAAACTATATGCTGTTTACAAAAGACATACTTTAATCACATAGAAAGATTGAAAATGAAAAATGGAAAAATACATACCATGCAATCTAAGAAATATTATCTAGCTATGTTAATATCAGACAACCTAGACTATAGGGCAAAAAGTATTACATGAAATAAGTGAGATTTCATAACGATAAAAGGGGCAATTCAATAGAAAGATAAAAATCCTCAATTTGTATGCAAATAGCTTCAAAGTTAAAAAATAAATGTTGATAGAACTAAATAAACAGACAAATCCTTAATCAGTGATGGATATTTTGACACACTTTTCTCAATAACTATAGAACAAGCAAGAAGTCCTGGGCCTAAATATCTCAGTCAACTCAGTCCACACTGCACAGGAAGGATAGAAAAAGGGCTGGGAACCAGACATGGTGTAAAAAGATCCTTTGGGGCCGGGCCCAGTGGCTCACGCTGGTAATCCCAGCACTTTCGGAGGCCGAGGTGGGCAGATCACGAGGTCAGGAGTTCGAGACTGGCCTGACCAACATGGTGACATCCTTTCTCTACTAAAAATACAAGAAATTAGCCGAGCGTGGTGGCGCGCCTGTAATCCCAGCTACTAAAGAGGCTAAGGCAAGAGAATCCCTTGAACCAGGGAGGTGGAGGTTGCATGAGCCGAGATCATGCCATTGCACTCCAGCCCGGGCAACAGAGTGAGACTCCATCTCAAAAAAAAAAAAAAAAAAAAAAGAATCCTTTGCACAGTCTCCTTCAGAGAGTCCTTCTCTCCCTTTTCCAACACTGGTAGAATGATGAAATATTGAGAAAAAAAATCATGGTGTGTCACTCAGCCACCATTTTAGCACTAAAGACAAAAACTGATGGTCCCTAGAGCCTCACTCTGTAGTCTTATTTGAAACTGTGCTTAGAAGATGAAAAGGACAAAGACATAAATTTTTAAAAATGAAATTATCCTGAAGAGTTTGCTATGCCTGATCAGCTATTATACATCCAGCTATGGCTATGGTTGATGAATTGCTTTTAATTACTTTTTCACTTGAACTTTTCAGCCATCTTATTTCAGACAATATCTGCACAACCAGAAAACACACACACACCTTGATCTCTTGTTGCTGGCTACTGAGTTTAGTCTCTTAGTTTGAGTAAATATTTGTTTCCCACTTCTGTTTCAGGCTCCTATGTTTTCCTTTTAAAAGTGATCTGCGAAATGCAAACCCCAGAGGAAAATGAAAGGTATCAATTGGTCTAACGTACAGTAAATAACAGAATAAAGATGGTCTACAACAGAATGTAAATCTGGATAGAAAAGCTTTTCATATTTTGTGGCTTTCTTAAATATTACTCTTATTATAAGAGGATACATTAATGACCATCTTTTCTCCTGCTATCAAAAAGGGTACTGTAACCAGGCACGGTGGCTCACGCCTGTAATCCCAGCACTTTGGGAGGCCGAGGTGGGTGGATCACGAGGTCAGGAGATCGAGACCATCCTGGCTAACACGGTGAAACCCCGTCTCTACTAAAAACACAAAAAATTAGCCAGGTGTGCTGGTGGGCACCTGTAGTCCCAGCTACTCGGGAGGCTAAGGCAGGAGAATGACATGAACCCAGGAGGCGGAGCTTGCAGTGAGCGGAGATCGCACCACTGCACTCCAGCCTGGGGGACAGAGTGAGACTCCATCTCAAAAAAAAAAAAAAGGGTACCGTATATGATCAAACATCTCCTCTCTACACACATTGACCAGATAATCACAAATCTTTTTTTTTTTTTTTTGAGACAGAGTCTCGCTCTGTCGCCCAGGCTGGAGGGTAGGGCAGTGGCGCGATCTCAGCTCACTGCAAGCTCTGCCTCCTGGGTTCACGCCATTGTCCTGCCTCAGCCTCCCGAGTAGCTGGGACTACAGGTGCCCACCACCACGCCCAGCTAATTTTTTGTATTTTTTAGTAGAGATGGGGTTTCACCGTGTTAGCCAGGTTGGTCTTGATATCCTGACCTTGATAATCACAAGTCTTATAATGAAAAATTGTAATAATGTTATACCAGGCAATAAGTGAAATTCCATGAAATTAAACTGATCAATCAGGAGCATGGAGCTCATATGCTATATGTGAGCTTATGATGAGAGACATGTTTCAAAAATAAACTAGAATTTTCTACCTTAGTTTTATAATTCGTTCCGTTAAGTCCTGCTTGCCTCTTTTAAGACTCTGAATACTTGTTTTTCAGACTTAATTCTGGTTAAAGATACAATATGTTCCTCTAGATCCTTGACATCGTATTTCAGGGACACTATCTGGGATGGCTATTAAACATTATTTTCTTTGTAGCTTTTTAGTTCAGACTTCAACTTTTGCAATGAAATTTCTTTTATGATGTATTAGTCCATTTTCACACTGCTGATAAAGACATGCCCAAGACTGGGTAATTTATAAATAAAAAGTTTAATGGACTCACAGTTCCACATGGCTGGGGAGGCCTCACAATCATGGCAGGTGAAACATACATCTTACATGGCAACAGGCAAGGTAGAATGAGAGCCAAACAAGAGGGGAAATCCCTAATAAAACCATCCCATGAGACTTATTCACTACGACGAGAACAACAGGGAGGAAACCACCCCCCATGATTCAATTATCTCCCACTGGGTCCCTCCCACAACATGTGGGAATTATGGGAGCTACAATTCAAGATGAGATTTGGGTGGGGACACAGACAAACCATATCATATGAGAAGTTTGTTTTGAAGATTCTTTACCTAAATAGAAGGCATTTTAAAAATTATTTATAATTTTAAATTTAAAAGTTCATTATTTCAAAATCATATTTTATATATAAATATATATTAAGGTCAAATCTTTCAAATCTGTGTGTTCCAGTGTTCAATACATTTTTAAAATAAAATCAAGTTAGCACATATAGCTTGGAATACCGTATTTTATTCTGATCAACATAAAAATTATTTTTTAAAAGAGTAAATTGTACCAACAATGAATTCTGTAAATCCTAGTAGAAAAGAACATTAAGTGTATGCTACTTTGGGCCATACTTGTTTTGCTTTATGATGTGTCCTAAAGGGGAGTGTGTTCAGTCTTCTCACTCTACCACCAAACCTAGTAGATTACAAAGCAAACCTGTATTATCTGAAAGGAACCCAAAAGTGGCTTTGTTGAGGGATCCAGCTAACGGCCTCTTTTGAGACACTGATTGACTGAGGATGAAAAATACATTTCTCAGGTGGCTCATTCACATGTCACAGAAGGCTTCAGTTCTTCCCTGGCTGTTGGGAGTAGGCCTATTTCTCACCAAATGTGCCTTTCCACAGCACTGTTTGATATGTTCTCATGACAAGGCAGCTGCTTTACTTCAGAGTGAATGATCGAAGAGAGAGAACAAAAAGGAATTCATGACCTATTGACATACCTCCACATTGGCCATATTCTACACATAGAAGCAAGTCACTAAATCCAGCCTACATTCAAGAAGAGGAGAATTAGCCACCACCTTTGGAAGGAAACACTATCAAAGAAATTGTGGTCTTATTTTATTTTTTTGAGACATTTGCTCTTGTTGCCCAGACTACGGTGCAATGGTGCGATCTCAGCTCACTGCAACTTCTGCCTCCTGGGTTCAAGTGATTCTCCTGCCTTGGCCTCCCAAGTAGCTCAGATTAAAGGCGTGTGACGCCAGGCCAGGCTAACTTTTGTATTTTTAGTAGAGACGGGGTTTCACCATGTTGGCCAAGCTGGTCTCAAAACTCCTGACCTCAGGTGATCCGCCTGCCTCGGCCACCCAAAGTGCTGGGATTACAAGCATGAGCTACCACGCCCAGCCTGTTGTCTTATTTTAAAACCACTACAGGAATACTGTTTGTGTAGGGTTTTTTCCTAAAATATTTTTAATAAATAATGGTTTTTCCTAAAGTAATATATACCTAGCACTGGGGATATAAACAAGAGAGGCAAACCCCTTACAGAGCTTACCTTCTATTGTGACAAGCCAGTAAACATGTATAAAAATTAATGAAATAATTTTAGATAATAAGTGCTGTACATAGAATAATGTAACAGTGATCAGGGAAGGCACACAAAGGAGTAACTTTTGTTAGTGTGACTAGAAAGGCCTCCTGTGATACATTAAGATAAATGGGGTTATACTATGCATTCTATTAGATAACCTGACTTTATCATTTAACAAAGCTATCTGTCTTAACTTGGGCTGCTATAACAAAATATTAATACCACAGACTGAGTGGCTTTAAAAACAGACATTCATATCTCATGGCTGTGGAACCTGGAAAGACCAAGATCAAGGTGACAGCCAGTTCAGTTCCTGGTGAGGACTCTTCCTAATTTACAGATGGCTGCCTTCTCACCATGTCCTTAAATGACTGACAGAAGAAAGCTCTGGACTCCCTTCTTCTTTGTATAAGGACACTACTCCCATCGTGGGGGCCCCATCTGCGTGACCTCATCTAAATCAAACTACCTCCCAAAGGCCCTGCCTCCAAATACCACCACATTCAGGGTAAGGGCTTCAACATATGAAAGTTCAGGGGACACAATTCCGTCTATAGCAGCTATCTCCCATATCTACACATTTATATCTTCCCTTTAACAACTGCATCCATCTTGATGAAAACTTGTACCTTTTTACAAATGTAAACAATGCTGTGATAAACACCTTTTTTTTTTTTTTTTTTTTTTTTGAGATGAAGTCTCACTCTGTAACCCAGGCTAGAAGTACAGTGGCGTGATCTCGGCTTACTGCAACCTCCACCTCCCGGGTTCAAGTGATTCTCCTGCCTCAGCCTTCCAAGTAGCTGGGATTACAGGCGTCCGCCACCACGCCCAGCTAATTTGTGTGTGTGTGTGTGTGTGTGTGTGTGTGTGTGTGTGTGTGTGTGTGTGTATTTTTAATAGAGACGGGGTTTCGCCATGTTGGCCAGGCTGGGCTCGAACTCCTGACCTCAGGTGATCCATCCACCTCGGCCTCCCAGAGTGCTGGGATTACAGGCATAAGCCACTGTTCCTGGACAACACATTTATAAATATATATGTGTACAAGCTGTGATAAACACTTTTACACATATTTGTGTGCACATATTAATATTTTTGTAGGATAAACTTCCACAGGTGAAATTATCAATGGAAGCACAATTTTAAGTTGTAGATAATATCAAACTGCCCTTCAAAATGGTTGTAAAAATTTACACTTCTACAAAAAGGAGTAAACACTGTTTCCTTACTAACTTTATGTATAAATATTTCTATCATAAGATTTTATGTATTTTTATTACCTTACAAACAGGCCATTCTCAGTCTTCATTTTATTTGATCAGTCTGTAACATTTAACAGTTAATTACTCTTTCTTTCACAGAACACATTTTTCACCTGTCTTGTAAGGCAGCATGCTCTTGGGGTTTTCCTCATAACACACTGGACTCTTCTTTTCAATCTTCCCTCCTGTTTCCTTCTCATCTCCTTGAATTCTAAACACTGCAGTGTCCTAGGCATCGGTATTTGGTTGTCTCCACCTAAACCTGTTCCTTTGGTGGGATCTCATCCAATCTCATGAATTTAAATGCCATATCTCCACTTGGATGTCTAAGAGGCAAGGTATTTAAAAACATTTAAAGCCAAACTTATGATTGTACCCCCAAAACCTGGTCCTTCCAGTATCACCTTATTTCAATTCAGTAAATCACAACTCTATTTTTGCGCTTGCTCAAATCAAACCCTTGCTTTCTTTCTTATATCCTAACTTCCTCTCTTCATTCAGATTTTTCTCATCAGATTCTGCCTCCCACTGCCATTCCTTGCCCTTTTAATTTACCTATTAAAAAAATAGATGAATCTCTAAAACTATATATTTCTTTACTTGATCATTGTCCTCCCCACCAGAAGATGAGCTGAGGGCAGGAACAGTTCACTACGGTATCTGATTCAATAATATCTCTAGCACCTATAGCAGTGTTCTTGGCACAGAGTGGCACTCAATAATTATTTGCTCAGTAAATGAATGGCTTGTACTGTTCACACTCATCAGTACCATGGTTGAAAACCAAGCTGTTGAGGTAGCAAGGGTAACAAATTGAGAGATAAAGCATCTGGGTTTGGGGCCTAGCCCAGGCACAGGTATGCAGCTGTAGGCAACTTATCCTTCAAAGTCGATTTCATCATCTGTAAAATGGGGTTTATGCATTTCCTCAGCATAAAAACCAGTTGAAATGGTCAATATCTACTTGGTATTACAAGACACAAAAGTTTCACTCCCTACAACTTACCAGGAATATTTGCTTCAATTCCCTTCTTAATTTCACTTGCTCAGGTATAAAACAACTTAAGTGGACATTTTCAGAAGCTCTTATATTACACTGTACCTCTAAAATATCCGCTTGTGCAAACTTTGAGAACTGTAAAAGCAATTACCAGAAAAAAAAAATCACGATTCCTTAATTCTATTATGCTGATGGTTGCACCACTCTGTAAATATGCTAAAAATCATTGAATCCATTAAAATGGGTGAACGTTATGGTATGTACATTATACTTGATAAAACTGTTAATCAAACAAAAAAGAGATTATCTAATTCCATATGTGGGACTACTATAAAATATCCTCAGAATATAGGAATAAGAAAAAAATACTAAAAGCCCCCCAAATTTTTTTAAAAGTCTGTTTTACATGAGCTCTGCCAGTAGTTGAAACAGGCCACCGTCAGAAACGGCTTGTAAAAGAAACCCGGTATCTGGTCAAGTCCTAAGTGACCTGAACCACGCACCTTCAGAACCATATTGGGATGACTGTAACCTGAGCGCGGTTCCTCCAGCAGAGCAAGCACATTCATCGGACTCAGTAACTCAAGGGGCCAGTCCTCTCCAGCATCCCAGCTGCCGCCGCCCTGTCAGGCTTCCCAGGCAATCGCCCATCTTATTCCTTCTCCAGTGTGGACGCCTACGAGGAGGGAGCGTCCCCTCTCGACAGTTAACTGGCATCTAGCTTATGAAGCCCGCGTGGATTCTCCAACCCCAGACCTGCTGGGGGGTGGGGACGTGCGGGTGACAAAATCCAGACTACGACCCTCCCTGAGCCCTGGCAACCCCGGGGTGACCCCAACACAGAGGGGGCCACGCGCGCTCCAGCTCTGACACTCCTTCCAGCTCGGCAGGGCCTGAAACAGGGGGCTGCGCTTCACCCACTGCTGAGCGTCAGATTCAGCTGAGGAGATTCTAAAAGCGCGGTGCTGGGCCCAGACCCAGGCACTCCAGAGCAGAACGCGGAGGGGCCCGACCCCAGTCTGGCGGCGCAGGTGTGTGACAAAGTCGGAAGGCGCGCCAAGCTCTCCAGTTCCACATCTGCTGTAGAGTCCAGCGCCCGCCACGCTCCCGCGCAGGGACCCGCCCATTACTGCCTGGAAGCCGGGCGCCCTCACACTTCTGCACCGCGTCCCCAGAGCTGAGGAGCATCCGGGAGACTCGCCGCCCGAACCCGCGAAACTGTCCTCCCTCCCGCGAGGCCGCCCCGTCCCCCTCCCCGCAGACCGCCCCCCCTCCCCGCAGACCGCCCCGTCCACCCCCCGCGAGGCCGCCCCGTCCGCCCCCCCACCCGGCTCCTCTCCCTGATTGGCTCGAATCGGGCGGGTTCCGGCGTGGGTTTCAGCCCCTCTTCAGGCGGGTTTCTAGCCACATGCAAAGGTGCTTTCTGGCCCGGCTCTTTTCACCCGCCAATCATCCCCTTCAGCCAGTCATCACCGACTTCCTCCACGTTTTCCTTGTCCTCTCCGGCCGGCAGTGTAGCAGCAGCAACTCCCTACGTTGAAGTCGTCTCCCTCCGTCCCCGCCCTTACTTCCTTTTCCCTTAAGGACCTCGCGCGCGCTTCCATATTCAG
The DNA here is from genome assembly GCF_000001405.40 of Homo sapiens. Lineage (NCBI taxonomy): Eukaryota > Metazoa > Chordata > Mammalia > Primates > Hominidae > Homo > Homo sapiens. The sequence continues at coordinate 64,339,005 of NC_000014.9, forward strand.
AGGGGCGCAGGCGCGGTAGCGCGGCCTCCCGAGCTGTTGTAAGCACCAGGTTGCGGTGGAACGTGCACCTTCAGTTGGGCTGCACGGAAAAGTGGTCTCCGCATAAACAGTTGCACTTGCCCCTAGGGAATGTTGGACCACAGGAGGGGACCTGAAGTACGATGTACAGGCCCTAATGGTCCCTCTGTATGGAAGCGAACACTTGCAGGGGAGGGGCCCAGCGGGATAGGCCGGGAACAAGGAGGCAGATCTCAGCCTGCCACACCTGAAGACAAGTACCTTGCAGCTGAGGAATGGGGCCCCAAGCAGAATTTTACTGTTGGCTGTGCCCCTGGCTCCTGTTCTGGGGCAACAGACTCCTTTATTTGACCAGAAAACATTTCTGCCAGCCTACTTGTGGCTGCCTGAAACCCCATAATTCAGAAATCCAGGCCACGATTTCTTTCTAGTTTTGAGATAAAGAAAATTCGAGTTTAGTGAGGTGACAAGACTTGATCAAGGGTTGCAAGACTGATTAGTGACGGATGTTCAACAAGAACCAAGTTCTCCTTACAAGCCCATTGCTTTCTCCACTGTTAGTGTATTACCATTTTATTAGTGGAACTCCATGCTCTCCCCTATTTGCCATCTCCCAGTCCTGGTCCTAGAGTAGTAGTTGTTGTTGTTGTTTTGTTGTTGTTGTTGTTGTTTTGAGACAGAGTTTCACTCTTGTTGCCCAGCTGGAGTGCAATAGCACGATCTCGGCTCACGGCAACCTCCGCCTCCCAGGTTCAAGCGATTCTCCTGCCTCAGCTTCCCAGGTTGCTGAGATTTACAGGCATGCGCCACCACGCCTGGCTAATTTTGTATTTTTAGTAGAGACGGGGTTTCTCCATGTTGGTCAGGCTGGTCTCCAACTCCCGACCTCAGGTGATCTGCCCGCCTTGGCCTCCCAAAGTGCTGGGATTAACAGGCATGAGCCACCACGCCCAGCTCCTAGAGTTACTTTCTAGTTTGGCCTCAGAAAAATTCAGCACTCCAGTTGACCTCTCCCTGTCCAACCCCAAATGAGATCGAATGCTTAACTAATGGATCTGATTGCCATACTTAAGCCACCATTGTTCATTTGGGTAGTTTCCAGTTTCCGGCAATAATGAACAATGCCACCGTTAGTAATATTGTAAATGTCTTTGTATAGAATATGCACACATTTCTGGCCAGGCGAGGTAGCTCACGTCTGTAATCCCAGCACTTTGGGAGGCTGAGGCGGGCAGATCACCTGAGTTCGGGAGTTCGAGAAATCAGCCGGACCAGCATGGAGAAACCCTGTCTCTACTAAAAATACAAAAAATAAGCCAGGTGTGGTGGCGCATGCCTGTAATACCAGCTACTCTGGAGGCTGAGGCAGGAGAATCACTTGAACCCAGGGGGCAGAGGTTGCAGTAAGCCAAGATCGTGCCATTACACTCCAGCCTGGGCAACAAGAGCGAAACTCTGTCTCCAAAAAAATAATAAAATTTAAAAATTTAAAAAAGAATATGTACACATTTCTGTTATATATGTTAAAAACAAGTAGTTTAGACAGTTCCTCTTCAAAGAGTTTCACTTTGTTACAAACAAGGTATTCTTCTCCAAGAGGTCTTTACTTCCTTGTACTGTCTGTCCTGAAGTCTTATTTCTCTGTTCTTTGTCTACAGTAATCTTGCCTGCCAATCTATCAGCCCCTCCCATCCTGCTGTGCTCAGGCAAGACAGCCAAGAAATCACCCCCTCCCTGCTGTAACAGCTTTCCCAGAAAAATTGATCTTCCCACCTTCCCACTTGAAAACCGCATTCCTGCACTTTTCAAGTTAGCCAACCAGGTTCAGCTTAGATCGTGTGGTCCAACTCCAGCCAATGGAGGCAAGACGCAGTAACAGGGACAAGCTGCATTAGAGATAATAAAACCCCCTGCTTTCCTTTGTTTGTGCGTCCTCTCGTGGCAACCAGACCTACGAGGGGCACCCTCCTGAAAGAGTAAATTTGCCTTGCTGAGAAAATTTATATTCGAGTGCTATTTTCTTTTATTTTGTGGCACTGAAAAATTTGCTTCTAACATGTATGTAGAAGTGGGACTACGTCTTCATAAGGCATGCATGTATTCAATTTTAGTAGATGCTAACTACAGCAAGCAAAATAATGGGTCCCCCAAAATATCCTTGTCCTAATCCCTGGAACCTATGAGTATATTAGGTTACATGGCAAAAGAGAATTAAGTTTACAGAGTTTGCCAAGAGGTGGCCTTAAAATAGGGAGAGCATTCTGGATTGTCCAGGTGGGCCCAACTTAATCACAAGCACCCTTAAAAATAGAGAAGAGGGAGGCAAGAGAAGGAGAATCAGAGAAATTGTAGAATCAGATAAAGAACCAGAGAACAGTAGCTGTGAGAAAGACTGGATGGGCCTGATCAATTCCTACTAGTTTTAAAGATGGAGGAAGGAGGCAATGAGGCAAGAATGTGGGTAACCTCTAGAAGTTGGAAAAGGCAAACAAATGGATTTTCCCCTTTCCAGAAGGAACACACCCTGTTGACACTTTAATTTTAGCCCAATGGGACCTCTAGAACTGTAAGATAATAAATTTGTACTGTTTTAGCCACAAAGTTTATGATAATTTGTTACAGCAGCAACAGAAAACTCGTACACTGCCAGTCTTCCAAAGTAATTTTATCAATTTATATACTTAAGGAGCTTTGAAAAAAATATCCATACTTCAGCCTCATACCACAAACTGAACTGGAATCTCTGGATAGGCCTAGGAAAAAATAATTCCTTAATTAGGTCATTTCATAGCATCTTGAAGGTTGAGAATCATTTATCTAAAGCCTTAAATCTAAATCCAATTCTTATCATTAAAGAAGAGTGTGGCAGTGATTTGGACACATGATTAAAAGCTTTTCTAGGAAACAGTGTTCCAGGTCCTTGAAGGATCTCCCCTGTTTGCTCAGAGTTAACACAGCTAACGTTTTGCACTGCCCCATGATTGAACAATCAGTTCCTACTAACACAATTCATAAAGGAGCATTAACACTAAGCCCTCTTTGTTTTTACAAGAGATTTTTCTTTAATATGCTCAGAAAGTGGCTCTTTCAGAAACTGGCCCACCTTAACACCTTGGCCTTCATGGAGAGCTTGGCTGTAGGAGCTGGTAGGGCCTCCATTTCCTGAGAGAAGGGTGTCCTGGAAGGAGGAGAGGGTCTGCCTGTTTCATGCCCAGGCTCCTGTGTGCTAAGGCTGCAGCAGGCAGATGACCCTTGGGCCGTGGCTCTGGGGAAATTCTGAATAAGAAGGTGGTTCTTACAGCTTGAGCAGGCTGGGCTGCAAGTGGAGGCTCTGGTCAAGGTGTCCCTCACTTTTCCTCTTTTGCTAGGCTGGTGATATTATTGAGAGGAAGGATAAGCAAGTTTCTTACATTGCAGCCAGGGATCCTAGAATCTGGGGAAAGAGCCTCCTTCCCCAAGTTTGCAGCACAGCTTCTTTGGTAGCGATACCACTAACTACTGAAGTTCACTCGGCAACAAATTTATAAATCCTGAGAAGCCTTGGGCAGTTTCTATCACAAAGGTATGTCATCAAAAAGAATGAAGGGTGATGTAATGTTGAAGCTAGTATCCATGTACCTTCCTGACAGATGTCAAATATTACAGTGCTTCCCTTTAAAATCAAAATATTTAGGCTGGGCACGGTGGCTTATGCCTATAATCACAACACTTTGGGAGGCTGAAGTGGGTGGATCACCGGAGGTCAGGAGTTCGAGACCAGCCTGACCAACAAGGTGAAACCCCGTCTCCACTAAAAATACAAAAATTAGCCGGGCGTGGTGGCAGGCCCCTGTAGTCCCAGCTACTCAGGAGGCTGAGACAGGAGAATTGCTTGAACCTGGGAGACGGAGGTTGCAGTGAGCCGAGATTACGTCACTGCACTCCAGCCTGGGTGACACAGCAAGACTCCATCTCAATAAATATATAAATAAAATCAAAACATTCCATGGCATGCTGAGATCCTTACAGTGCACCAGTGTGCCTTGGCACACAGTTTGGGAATCATGGCTGTGGCCATTTGGAAAGTGATTCTCATTTATCCCTTGAATGAATATTCAAGATAATTATTTTGTTCCAAAATGGTACTTCTGTAAGGTCCAGTATAATCTCACCCCGCCCATGCTGAAGAGCTCTCTAAAACAGGCATCGAGTCCCACAGGCCTGTCCAGATTCTGACTTGTTCCCACAGAGGATATCTTGGGTACATCTAAAACTACCTCGGAAGGTGAGCAGTTTCCATTTTTATTTTAAATTTTAAATTTTATTCATTTATTATTTTTTGAGACAGAGTCTCACTCTGTCGCCCAGGCTGGAGTGCAGTGATCTTGGCTCACTGCAACCTCCACCTCAGCCTCCTGAGTAGCTGAGAATAGTTTCTTGAAAGTCACTAAGCTACAAACAACCATTACAGAAATCAAGATATGTTATTAGTTTGGGTCACCCAGGTATTATGTACAAAGAATTGGTACTAGAAATTTAGTCTTATTAAACATTATTAAATGTAATATATTCTACTTTCAAACAATATTTTTAAGCTAGAAAAATGGTCTCTTCTATTACAATAACTCTATTTAAAATTTCCTTTGCATTTAAATTTTTTCTTGCTTTTACACTTTTATAGAGTAAACTTAATTTTATTGCTGCTTATTTTGTTATTTTTCATCCATAAGGTAATTACGTTTTGGACTTCTGATTTGCTGAATGATAATACCAGTCCCCTAAAAACACATTTTTCTACCCATCCTCCAAAAACCATAGTGATCAACACGGAGATCAAATAAAAACTACCTATAAATCATGCCTAAAGCAAAACTAGAGAATACCACAAACTTCAATTTGCATGTTAGTGGGGAAATAAATATTCTAAACCAGCAGAGGCAGCTACAGAGGAAGGTGCAGCTAATTTTCACTGGTGTAGAACACAGACAACCTTACCCCCAGAAACAAGACAGATCATAAATGGTGAAATACCAAGAACAAATCTGAGATCTGGTGGATCAGAACACTGACAAATGAAGGAAAAGCAAGGGTCTTGGAAGCACATGAGACCAAAAATGGCAGTTGTAGAGGGCAAGGTTTCTGAGGGGAGAGGGAGGTAGTTGTGTTCCTTGGAGGCTTGGTAATAAAGGAAAAGAAAAAAGCAAACAGTGGAAATTAATATGTTTATACAAATGAGACAGTATTACAGAATCAGACATCATATAAACCCTCACTCCCAAAAAGGCTTGATCTAGTAAACTTTAGAAACTGCACTCACTGTGCCAACAGAAGAGGGTAGTATTGAGCTAAGGAACCTAGTGAGTAAGCCCTGCCTCCAGCTACCCTAAAGTAGAAACATCTGAAGACCAGAGCAATTCAAGGAATTTGAAAGTGAATACAGACAAATGGCAAATTATATTCACATAAAATTACTTTAAGAAGAAAATAGAAAGACACTATCATCTAAACTGTTCAGGCGATGAAAAAAAAAATACTCCCAAAAGACAGCCATGGGCCGGGCATGGTGGCTCACACGTGTAATCCCAACACTTTGGGAGGCCAAGGAAGTTGGATCACCTGAGGTCAGGAGTTCAAGACCAGCCTGGCCAACATGGTGAAACCCCATCTCTACTAAAAATACAAAAATTAGCCGGGCATGGTAGCACTGCCTGTAATCCCAGCTACTCAGGAGGTTGAGGCAGGAGAATTACTTGAACCCAGTAGGTGGAGGTTGCAGTGAGCCGAGATCATGCCATTGCACTCCAGCCTGGGTGACAAGAGCGAAACTCCATCTCAAAAAAAAAAAAACAAAAAACAAAAAAAAAAACACAGCCGTGAAACACAGGACAAATATTTGACACAACACCCCTGAAAAAAATTAAATATCAATTTTTAAAGGATTTGCAAAAATGGGGGGAAAAACTTTATTTTGAATCAGAAATGTAATAATTCAGAATAGTCCAAGATATCTAGATGTGAGAGTTGAACTCAGGCAAGAAAACACTAAATCATCTAAAAAGTGAAGAGTGAACTACAAGGTGACCAAAGGAAAACAGATTTGACTGAAAATAAAATAAGGGACTAGACACGGTGGCTCACACCTGTAATCCCAGCACTTTGGGAAGCCAAGGCAGGAGAATTGCTTGAGCCCAGGAGTTTGAGACCAGCCTGGGCAACATGGTGAAACCCTGTCTCTACAAAACATACAAAAATTAGGTGTGGTGGTGGCACGCCTATAGCCCCAGCTACTCGGAAGGCTGCAGTGAGAGGACTGCTTTAGCTCAGGAGGTCGAGGCTGCAGTGAGCCATGAGCATGCTACTGCACTCCAGCCTGGGCAACAGAGTGAGACTCTGTCTCAAAAAATAAAAGAGAGGAATAGAAACAATCAAGAAAGTGAACACACAGAAGTTAAAGAGAGAAAAAAGTGAAAATGCTAATATCATGACTTTATGTTTTAAGCATATCTTAAGGTATAAGTTTCATAAGCAACTAATATATGGAGAAGTGACATATAATTTAAAAATTGCCCCAGATGATCAGTTGGCCTTTAAAAAATTCTCTCGAAATATTTGCTTTATAAGTATAGTGAAAATCTAAGCAAGTTAAGAAGCACTACTATATTCTCCTAGACAGTGACACAGAAAGTGACACACATGGTTTCCCCTGAGCTTCACATGATGACACATGATGTCATAGAACTCTACACTCCTGGTCACTTGTTAGAGTATATAAAATAATCATATATCCCATCCCTAGCCACTGTGGGTTTAGCAGGGATAAGCACTTGACCTAAACTGGGTCAATAAGACCTTTTCTTGGGATTCTCTCTCCTGTCACAGAAACTCCATATAAATCTCCATGGTTGCCAGTGATCATGTTTCCTGTCATGGAGAAAACCAACCAGCAGTCAGACAGATGAGCTGACACATAGATGCCAAGAAGTGACCATGAGAAAGGGCTTGTAGGTTCCAGGTGCTGATCCTGGGGCCCAGGTGTATCTCCGCCCACCTGGAGGTTAGGTTGTTTAACTCATGATTCCATAAGCCAATATTCCCTTTTGTCAAGTTAGTTACAGTCTAAGTAGGCGTGGGTGTTTATCACTTCAACTAAATTAATTTTAATTTTACTATTTTGAAAAAACCTCTTGTTCTTGTCCTGATACTTCTTCAGGTGCGCTCTTTGCTGTTGGGGGCTCAGAAGTGACAGCATCTAACATCTGCTGGGTCTTCTCTTTGTCTGATCTTGCCTTTTGCTCTGCAGAGTCTAATGTAGTTTTCAAGTTTTCTGTTTTCACAACTGCCTTCTCTTTCATCGTTTCAACATTTGCCTTCTCTTTCATCCTTTCAACATTTGCTAAAGATTGCCTGAGCTCTTCAATTGTTTTGTCCTGTGACAGCATATAAGATGGGGGAAAGGAAGGAAATAACTAGGATTAGATCTCTTCTAAATAACAGTTATGATAACTCTTGCTTCTTTTCCTTTTCTTTCTTTTTTTATGAAGACAGAGATATATGGAAAAGAAAAACATTCCAAAATTTCTGAATTAAGAGGACATTTCTCCATGATCGTGCTCATCAATAACTATTACTTAGCACTTTTATTAACTGGCCACTTGGGATTTAAAGAGTCTTAACATGTTTTCTGCATCCTCAAAGGTCTTAAAGCCCTACATTAATCAAATACAGAAATACAGAAGATAATTGGCATTTCAGTAAGAGAAATATTGCTGATAAACTGGCATATCAGTTGATCAGTTATTTAGTGCCTGTTTGGCTTAAGGCATAATTTTTGAAATAGTATAACTGAAGTTTGATATGGAGAAGGTCCAAAGAAGAGTCCCCAAAATGACTACAACTTTTAACTATTACCCCAATAAGAGACACAAGTGAAACTAAAACAAAAAACAGACTGGGTGAGGTAGCTCACACTTGTAATCCCAGCACTTTGGGAGGCCAAGGCAGGCAGATCACTTGAGGTCGGGAGTTTGAGACCAGCCTGGCCAACATGGTGAAACCCTGTTTCTACTAAAAATACAAAAATTAACTGGGCATGGTGGCACGCGCCTGTATTCCCAGCTACTTGGGAGGCTGAGGTGGGAGGATTACTTGAACCTGGAAGGCAGAGGTTGCAGTGAGCCAAGATCACGCCACTGTACTCCAGTCTGGGTAACAGAGCAAGACTCCATCTCAAAAAGAATAATAATAATAAAACAAAAAACAAGGGATTTGTAATAATAACACTTAGAATACAAGGAGGAGGATATATGGATATATGGGGGTTTCAATTGTATTGGTAATATTTGTTTCTTAAAATGAGTGGTGAATTCCAATTTTATTCTATATGCTTAAATATATATTCTTTTGTATGTATGTAAAATAATTTTAATATTAATTTTTTTAGCTTCAATGAAAAGCATGCTGCTAAAATGGTAAAAGACCAAAGCTTTAGTGAATTTCTGAAAGCCTCACTTCCTTTACTTACTTTAAGGACATTTACTCTTGTCAGCTGAGTTTTCATATTTTTATTTGACAATTTCAAATCACTGAGCTGTCTCTGAAGTTTCTGAATTTTCTCCTCCAATCTTTGCGTAGTAGCAATCTGCAAATTCTGCCAAATATTCAATAACATTTGTTTTGTTGCATGTTGTCTTTCTCTAGCTTTTTGAACTTCTTGCTATGCTTGTCTATCTGGGAATGCTTAGTCCCTGAGTTTTCCTTTGCAGAAATCAACAGTATTGAAGTAAAAAATTGTGCTTTAAGATGTTATTATACACTAGCATAATACCACATCCACTCCAGACTAACACACTGCAGGCTTAACAATACTTCCATAAGTAAAATATTTTTCACCATAAATAAGCATTATTAAAATAATCAAGAAAATAAAATATGACAATAAAAGTGATGACTCAGGACTACCAAGAGTACAATGAAATAGATTTTATAAGCACCAAGCAGTAGCATAGATTAGTTCAACTTTTCTAGGAATGTATTATAAAGAAATAATCAAATATGTGGATAAAGATTCACACACGGGCCGGGCACTGTGGCTCAAGCCTGTAATCCCAGCATTTTGGGAGGCTGAGGAAGGCAGATCACGAGGTCAGGAGATCGAGACCATGGCCAACATGATGAAACCCGGTCTCTACTAAAAATACAAAAATTAGCTGGGCGTGGTGGCAGATGCCTGTAATCCCAGCTACTGAGGAGGCTGAGGCAAGAGAATCGCTTGAAACCGGAAGGCGGAGGCTGCAGTGAGCGGAGATTGCACCACTGCACTCCAGCCTGGGCGAAAGAGCGAAACTCCGTCTCGGGGAAAAAAAAAAAGACTCACACAAAGATATTATTTATTTTATTTTATTTTTTAAGTTAGGGTCTTGCTCTGTCGCCCATGCTGGAATGCAGTGGCGTTATCACAGCTCACTGAAGGCTTGACCTCCCAGGCTCAAGTGATCCTCCCATCTCAACATCTGGAGTAGCTGGGACTACAGGGTGTGCACACCCGGGCTTTTTTTTTTTTTTTTTTTTTTTTTTTTTCCCTCAATCTCCTGGGCTCAAGTGATCCTCCTGCGTTGCTCATCCAAGGTGCTGGTATTACAAGGGTGAGCCACTGCACCCGGCCATAAAGATATTCAGATATTCTTTTTGAATATCTGAGAGTTTCGCTCTTGTGGCCCAGGCTGGAGTGCAATGGCATAATCTTGGCTAAATGCAATCTCCGCCTCCTAGGTTCAAGTGATTCCCCAGCCTCAGCTTCCCGAGTAGCTGGAATTACAGGCGCTTGTCACCATGCCTGGCTAATTTTTTTATTTTTAGTAGAGACAGGGTTTCACCATGTTGGCCAGGCTGATCGCAAACTCCTGACCTCAGGTGATCCGCCCACCTTGGCCTCCCAAACTGCTGAGATTACAGGCATGAGCCACCGCACCTGGCCCACAAAGATATTCTTTACAACATTATTCATAATAGAAAAAACTGAAACAATGCAAATGTCAAAAAAGAAAAATTATTATATGATAGATTATTCCCTAGAAATTAAGTTTTCAAAAATATTTATTAAGAAAAATTAACAATGATGTAGTTAATGAAAAAAGCAGGATTAAGAAAAACTATGTACATCTCAATGATGATAAAAATATACATGGAAAATAATCAGAGGGAAATATACCTATATTTAATACTAGTTATCGCAAAATGGTGGGATTACTGGTGATTTCAATTTTATTTCTATTATTTTCTACTTTACAAATCTTCACTAATACACATGATTTTTTAATTTTTTGAGACAGGGTCTCACCCTGCCGCTCAGGCTGGAGTGCAGTGGTGCAATCACAGCACACTGCAGCCTCGACCTCCCGTGCTCAACCCATCCTCCCACCTAAGCCTCCCCAGTAACTGGGACTACAAGTGTGCACCATGCCTGGCTAGTTCTTAAATTTTTTGTAGAGATGGGGTGTTGCCATGTTGTCCAGGCTGATCTCAAATTCCTGGGTTCCAGCTATCCACCCACCTCAGCCTCCCTAAGTGCTGGAATTACGGACATGAGCCACTATGCCCAGCTGAATTAATTTTATTATGAGAAAAAAATTAGTTATAAAATGTTATTACAAAAAAGTTATGGTAAATGTTTTAATCCATTACAAGAAATAACATATTAAGGAACAAGAATCAGAATGGCATATTTTCCTCAATAACAACCCTAGAGATTAGAAGACAATGAAGTCCGTGTGTGAAAATAAAGTCTAAACCCAGCTATCAATTGAGTATGATGATTCAAACAAAAAAAGACATTGTCATTCACACAAGGACCTCAAAAAATGTCGCTCTCCAAGGCACCATTTCTTAGGAAGCCATTGGAGGATGTGTTCCAGTAAAATAAGAAAGGAAACCAAAAAAGAGGAAGAAATGTGATTCGGCAAACAATGAAACCTAACCAGGAGATTAGAGAAGGAAAGTCATGGCATCATGGCTGTGCTCAGGCCCACAGAGTAAAATCCAGACTGAAGCAAGGGAATGAAGGACTTTGGGAGAGAAAAAATGGGAGATTTTTAAAGACTAAAGGATCATCTGATACAGATTTAGGCAGGAAAAAAACCTTGATAAATGAACACTGAAAATTAAACGTATGAAAATATAAGGAAGGTATTAACTGTAGGAAAAATAAAATGCAATACAAGAAAGAAAATGTACCAAGAATATAGTACTTCATGCTTTTGTAAACATTTAGTATCACGGTAAAGTAAATGCTGATTATGCATTTAGCTTAAAATATCAATATAACCAGATTGGGAAGATGAAAGGAGCAGGTAGGAAAGTGGTATGAGAGATGAAATTTCATCTATCATATAACAGGAAATCAACAACATGTCTAATATAGATAACTCGAGATAAGGCAGTTTAAAATTGTTTAGGAAAATGGAAGTTACTATCAGAAACAGCTAAAAGAGTTAAAGAGTTCCCTCTGGGAAATAAGAGAGGTACAGAAGAGGGCTGCTCCTTTTCAATAAAAGACTCTTGGTATATTTGATTTTGAAAAGTGTGTGTGTGTGTGTGTGTGTGTGTGTGTATAAAGGGTTAAAAAAATTCTAGGCTGGGTGCGGTGGCTCACGCCTGTAATCCCAGCACTTTGGGAGGTCGAGGCATGGGGATCACCTGAGGTCAGGAATTCGAGACCAGCCTGGCCAAGGTGGTGAAACCCCACCTCTACTAAAAATACAAAAATTCACTGGGCATGGTGGTGCACACCTGTAATCCCAGCTACTAGGGAGGCTGAGGCAGGAGAATTGCTTGAATCTGGGAGGCAGAGGTTGCAGTGAGCCGAGATTGCACCACTTCACTCCAGCCTTGGCAACAAGAGTGAAACTCCGTCTCAAAAACAAAAAACAAACAAACAAAAATTCTGAATACCTTCAGCCAAAAAATGGAAATCAACACTAAAATTACAAAAATACATAGAACACAGTGAAAAGAAACATTTCTTATAAAAATCTATTGGACAAGCTACAGAGGAACATTCAATAGTACTTACTCTTTTTCTGATTTAAAAACAAAAGACAAAAAAAGCACATTTACTTAAGAAGGGAAAAGAGAAAGTAGGGTGCAGATTTAATAAACATACTATATATATTCATTACATATAAACCAAAATAAACTAATAAAATGTGTATTTATTTATTTATTTATTTATTTTTGAGACAGTCTCGCTCTGTTGCCCAGGCTGGAGTGCAGTGCCACAATCTCAGCTCAATGCAACCTCCACCTCCCTGGTTCAAGTGATTCTCCTGCCTCAGCCTCCCAAGTAGCTGAGATTAGAGGTGCACACCACCATGCCCAGTTAACTTTTGCATTTTTAGTAGAGACAGGGTTTTACCACGTTGGTCAGGCTGGTCTCGAATTCCTGACCTCAAGTGATCTGCCCACCTCAGCCTCCCAAAATGCTGGGATTACAGGGTGAGCCAGCGTGCCAGGCCATAAAACGTATATTTTAAAAAAAGAACTGGCCAGGCACGGTGAATCATGCCTGTAATACTAGCACTTTGGGAGGCCGAGGCGGGAGAATCACTTGAGCTCAGCAGTTTGAGACCAGCCTGGGCAACATGGCGAAACCTCATCTCTACAAAAACTTCAAAAAGCTAGCCAGGCGTGGAGGCGTGCACCTATAGTTCCAGCTATCTGGGAGGCTGAGGCAGGAGGATCACTGGAGCCCTGAAGGTTGAGGCTTCAGTGAGCCATAATCATGCCACTGCACTCCAGCCTGGACAATAGACAGAGCCAGACCCTGTCTCAAAAAGAACCACTGGTTCTTTGGAAAGATAAAATAGATGCCTCAGGCAAGCCTGGTTAAAAAGGAAAGAGAGAAAGTGAAAATACACAATATTAGAAAGGAGGAATATACAGAATATATAGATATGCATACAGAATGGATACAGAATGCAAAGATAAAAATAATTCTAAGAGAACATTTTGCAACTTAGGGGCAGTAAATTGAAAATCTAAAAGAAATAAAGGCTGTAATTCCAGTACTTTGGGAGGCAGAGATGGGCGGATCATTTGAGCCACAAGGAGTTCAAGACCAGCCTGAGCAACATGGAAAGACCCCATTTCTACAAAAATTAGCTGGGCATAGTGGTGTGCACCTGTGGTCCCAGCTACTCGGGAGTCTGAGGCAAGAGGAGCACTTGAGCCTTAGGAGGTTGAGGCTACAGTGAATCGTGATGGTAACACCACATTCCAGCCTGGGAGGCAGAGCAAGACTGTCTCAAAAAAAAAAAAAAAAAGACAGTTCTCCCATGAGCTGGTCCAAACTGTTCCACCTTTAGAATCAAATTATTTATAAAATAAATAAGTGAAATTTTAAAAATACATTATTTCCTAGGAAACAATTTGACAATATACAGTGAAATCCAGAAAACCCAAGAACTCTAGTAAAGAAAACTATTAGGCCGGGCATGGTGGCTCACACCTGTAATCCCAGCACTTTGGGAGGCCAAGGTGGGCTGGTCATCTGAGGTCGGGAGTTCGAGACCAGCCTGAACAACATGGAGAAACACTGTCACTACTAAAAATACAAAATTAGACAGGTGTGGTGGCGCATGCCTGTAATCCCAGCTACTCAGGAGACTGAGGCAGGAGAATCGCTTGAGCTCGGGAGGCAGAGATTGCAGTGAGCCAAGATCGCGCCATTGCACTCCAGCCTAGGCAACAAGGGCAAAACTCCGTCTCAAAAAAGAAAAGAAAAGAAAACTGAATGCTCAATAAATATTGGATAAACAAATGAATGAGCCAAAAGACTAAATGAAGGCTGGGCGCAGTGGCTCATGCCTATAATCCCAGCACTTTGGGAGGCTGAGGCAGGCAGATAACGAGGTCAGGAGTTCAAGACCAGCCTGGCCAACATGGTGAAACCCTGCATCTCTACTAAAAACTGCAAAAATTAGCTGGGTGTGGTGGCACACACCTATAGTCCCAGCTACTCGGGAGGCTGAGGCAGGAGAATCATTGGAACCTGGGAGGTGGAGGTTGCAGTGAGCCGAGATTGCGCCACTGCACTCCAGCCTGGGTGATGGAGTGAGACTCAGTCTCAGAAAAAAAAAAAAAAAAAAGACTAAATGAGTAAATGGTAAATGAGTGAGCAAGATTCCACTTTGGACCATAGCAATTATAGAAATACTATAACGTAATTTGGTTATGATAGGCAATTCTTTTTTTTTTTTTTTTTTCTTTTCTTGAGATGGAGTCTTGCTCTGTCACCAGGCTGCAATGTAGCGGCACTACCTTGGCTCACTGCAATTTCTGCCTCCTGAGTTCAAGCAATTCTCCTGCCTCAGCCTCCAGAGTAGCTGGGATTATAGGTGTGTGCCACCACATCCAGCTAATTATTGTATTTTTAGTAGAGACAGAGTTTCACCATGTTGGCCAGGATGGTCTCAATCTCCTGACCTCGTGATCCGCCTGTCTCAGCCTCCCAAAATGCTAGGATTATAGGTGTGAGCCACTGTGCCCGGCTATGATAGGCAATTCTATGAAGAGGTAGTAAAATAGAGAATCTCCTGAAAATAAATTGTATTGCAACCTACCTATTTCTATCCAACTTTTAGGACTGCCTTTTTCCTTACAGATTCAGGGAAGCAGAGAGTAGAGAAGAGAATGACTTATACAGTGATTATTGAGAGACATCATCAATGGCCCCTCATCAATGCTCATTATATCTGCCTGTCACAATTCCTAAAATTTCCCCATTAGAGAGTTATTCCTTTGGCCGGGCACAGTGGCTCACACATGTAATCCCAGCACTTTGGAAGGCCAAGGCAGGCAGATCACCTGCAGTCAGGAGTTTGAGACCAGACTGGCCAACATGGTGAAACCTTGTCTCTACTAAAAATACAAAAGTTAGCCGGGCGGGTGGTGAGCACCTGTAATCCCAGCTACTTGGGAGGCTGAGGCAGGAAAATCGCTTGAACCTGGGAGGCGGAGGTTGCAGTGAGCCGAGATCACACCATTGCACTCCACCCTGGGTGACAGAGTGAGACTCCATCTGAAAAAAAAGAAAAAAAGAGAGTTATTCCTTTGAGCTCCTTTTCTTCTAATCCTCTCCTTAAAGTACATTGAGATATATATGTAAACAGATGCCCTCACAACAAACATCAAATAAGTACACAAAAGAGACATGGAGATACGGAGAGAGAAGAGGCTTTTAAAAATAAAATCAGAGGCCAGGGCAGTGGCTCATGCCTGTAATCCCAGCACTTTGGGAGGCTGAGGCAGGTGGATCATAAGGTCAAGAGATTGAGACCATCCTGGCTAAAATGGTGAAACCTCGTCTCTACTAAAAATACAAAAATTAGCTGGGCATGGTGGCGCGTGCCTGTAGTCCCAGCTACTCGGGAGGCTGAGGCAGGAGAATCGCTTGAACCCAGGAGGCAGAGGTTGCAGTGAGCCAAGATAGCGTCACTGCACTCCAGTCTGGTGACAGAGCGAGACTCTCTCTCAAAAAATATAAATAAATAAATAAAATAAAATCGGAAGCTTTCAGAGTTTGTAGCAAATTTCCCCCCTTTCCCAATGTGGAGAAAAGTATTAACAGTATTAACAGCTTCAAACATTAGATAAAGTTAAAGTTATGAATAAAATGCAATCATTTTCATTATCAAAGGAATGCTTATACTTCAGGAAATTCTTACTTTCTTCCTGTCCAAGTCTAATCTCTCTTGAAAAAGTCCTTGATCTCAATTTTTCTTTCTAGACATTTCAAGGGTCTTTTTTGTTCCCAATACTTTTTTCTTCAGCTTGGGATGATTCTTGAGCACCTTCTTCTTAAAGATGATGCAGCTGCTCTAGTCACTTAGTGAGCATCTGGATTTCCTGCTGAAAGGCTTTAGTTCTCTGTAAGAAAAAGACATTAAAAACTTCCTCATGCTCTATGCTTGCTTGCCCTTCCCCCCGCCCCCCCGCCCGCTTTCTTTCTTTCTTAAGACAGAGTCTCGCTCTTTCACCCAGGCTGGAGTGCAGTGGTGCCACGTTGGCTCACGGTAACCTCCGCCTCCCAGGTTCAAGCAATTATCCTGTCTCAGCCTCCCAAGTAGCTGGCACTACAGGTGCATGCCACCATGCCAGGCTAATTTTTGTATTTTTGGTAGAGACGGGGTTTTGCCATATTGGTCAGGCTGGTCTCGAACTCCTGAATTCAGGTGATCTGCCCACCTTAGCCTCCCAAAGTGCTGGGATTACAGGCGTGAGCCTACGCACCCAGCCTCCATGCTTTCTACGTAGTTTCAAAACTATGTGCAAGTTCTATTTATATCCACATTGGAGTGGCATTAAGTTACTAAGTAGATTAATACAGGCGATTTTAGGATTTGACATGTATACATTGGTTTAAAAAATAAATAGAAAGCTTCGATATATAAAAATAAGACATTTTAGTCAGTACTGAGAAATAAGGCTGTATAATGAATTTTAAAAAAGCAGAGTATTTTTAAAAATGGGGAACTCTAAACAGGCTACTGTGTAGCAGGTTTCACTAACACACTGAATCTAAGCCATATACAGGCGTCCCTAGCGTCCCTGGGAGACTGGTGTCAGAACCTCCTAGAGATGCCAAAATTTATGAATACTCAAGTCTTTGATACAAAATGGTATTGTGCTTGTATCTAACCTATTCACATCCTCCTGTACACTTTAAATCATCTCAATTTTTTTTTTTTTTTTTTTTGAGAGGAAGACTCGCTCTGGTCCCCCGGGCTGGAGTGCAATGGCGCGATCTCGGCTCACTGCAACCTCTGTCTCTCGGGAGACTTTTATAATACCTAATATAACGTAAATGTTATGTAAATAGTTGTACTCTGTTGTTTAGAGAATAATGAAAAGGAAGAATGTCTGTACATGTTCAGTACAGATGCAATTTTTTTTTTTTTTTGAGACAGTCTTGGCCGGGCACGGTGGCTCACGCTTGTAATCCCAGCACTTTGGGAGGCCGAGACGGGCGGATCACGAGGTCAGGAGATCGAGACCATCCTGGCTAACACGGTGAAACCCCGTCTCTACTAAAAATACAAAAAATTAGCCAGGCGTGGTGGTGGGCGCCTGTAGTCCCAGCTACTTGGGAGGCTGAGGCAGGAGAATGGCGTGAACCTGGGAGGCGGAGCTTGCAGTGAGCCGAGATTGCGCCACTGCGCTCTAGCCTGGGCGACTGAGCGAGACTTCGTCTCAAAAAAAAAAAAAAAAAGAGACAGTCTTGATTTGTTGCCCGGGCTAGAGTGTAGTGGTGAGATGTCGGCCCATTGCAACCTCCACCTCCTGGGTTCAAGCAATTCTCATCCCTCAGCCTCCCGAGTAGCTGGGACTACAAGTGCAAGCCACCACCACCCAGCTGATTTTTGTATTTTTAGTAGAGATGGGTTTTTGTCATGTTGGCCAGGCTGGTCTCAAACTCCTGGCCTCAAGCGGTCCACCCGCCTCAGCCTCCCAAAGTGCTGGGACTACAGATGTGAGCCACCATGCCTTGTTGTGATGCAATTTTTTATTTTTACTTGGTTGAATCCACAGATATGGAGGACTAACTGTACCTATTATCATTTGAATTTTAAAGTGAGGAGTCATGAATATACTAAAATGATCTGGACATAAATGAGATATATCCACTTAAACATGCTGATTCAATCATTTGATAGACTTGACCAGTAAATTAAAACAAACTGGCAATTAATTTTAGGTTATCATGTAAACACTATCTTTAACATACCACTATTTTGATATTTATTGAACTTACACTAAACTAAGCATTTATCATGTATTAACCCATTTGGTCCTTGCAACCACTCTGTGAGGTGGGAACTACACACCGTCCCCTACTTCACAAATGAAAATGAGGCACAGAGAGGATAAGTAGTCTGCCCAAGAGCACACACAGCTGGCAAATGGCAGAGCTAGGCTTCATGCTGGGGCTCTGCACTCTTAATAAACATGCTACACTACTTCCAATATAATAATGAACAGCCTCTTCTCTTCTTTCACTGTAATAGTAAAACTAGAATTATAACTATAATTCAGAGCCACAGAGTTTCCTAAATTGACGGATATTAAAATCTACATCATAAAAGAATCAAACTGGAAAGAATAACTTTTATATCTATATACTTACAGATTTCCAAGATTTCTCATTTGCACCAATTTCCCAAATCCTCTCTCTCACAGCCTCCTCTGTGGCTGGTAAGGAGACAATACTGTCATGCAGAAGAATGCTGTCCCGCAATAACCAACTGACCAAGGAAATTCTGATGTTGGGACTGCAGTTTTATTTTCCCAGTTGAATGAATATGGACGTCTGTCTAACTCGATGCTTGCTTTTCTTTAGGGTTCAAATCTTGTTGACATTTATCCCAAATTTTCTGCTCATTTTTTGGTCCTTCAGAGTGAATAGTATTGTCCTGTCAAAGTTCTTGTCCAGGATAGCTTCACTCTTACCCTAAATAAGCCAATATACAGGTTAAACTTCCCGTTTGAAATTTAATACTGAGACATCTATTTCCCTTCTTTTGAAATATCAAGTCATAGCACAAAACTTCAGGAGAAAAGACCCTCAATGGAATGAGTTAGTCATGGCCAGGCACTGTGGCTCACGCCTGGAATCCCAGCACTTTGTGGGGCCAAGGCGGGTGGATCCTCTGAGGTCAGGAGTTCAAGACCAGCCTGACCAGCATGGTGAAACCCCGTCTCTACTAAAAATACAAAAATTATCTGGGTGTGGTGGCAGGTGCCTGTAATCCCAGTTATTCGGGAAGCTGAGGTAGGAGAATTGCTTGAACTTGGGAGGCGGAGGTTGCAGTGAGCAGAGATGGTGCCATTGCACTCCAGCCTGGGCGACGAGAGAGAAACTCCATCTCAAAAAAAAAGTCAATCACATAAGTAAGACAAGGACATACTCAAAACAGCAAACTAGAACAGCAAGAGGTATTGAAATGATAGTATGGAGAAACTGCTTTGAGAATACAAGAAAAATTAGCTTAGAGGAGCAGCTAACCAAAGAGTCCCACTTGATAAGGGTAAACTCATTACAGAAAAATGTGAGCTAATAAGTGTATAAGAAATGATAGAAATTTTAAAAATCAGCATTTTTGAAATGCCTTGCCTTTTGAAATAAGATTCAGGCAAAGACCATCAATGAATGCTAAGATCATTAAGTGAAAAGTTTATGAAGATTTAATTATGGTTATAGAATACAATTTAAATAACAATTTCAATAATGTAAAAGTGAAAGAAGTCACATTTCTTTTCCCCAACCTTTCCCCTGCACTCTTGTAATCATCCTGTTTCCATTAGAAATATGACAGGAAAAAAACAATAATAATGTTCTACTTCTTTCTCCAAACTCCCACAGGAGAATTCTACCAAATCTTCTTTGTTTTGTTTTGTTTTGTTTTGTTTTGTTTTGAGACAGAGTCTCACTGTGTCGCCCAGGTTGGAGTGTGGTGCCATCATTGCTCACTGTAGCCTCCACCTCCTGGGCTCAAGCAATCCTCCCAACTTGGCCTCCTGAGTAGCTGGGACCACAGGTGTGCACTACCACACCCAGCTAATTTTTTCTTTTTTTTTTTTGTAGAGACAGGGTCTCACTATGTTCCCCAGGCTAGTCTCGAACTCCTGGCCTCAAGCGATCCTCCTGCCTTGGCCTCCCAAATTGTTAGGATTATAGGCGTGAGCCACCAGGCCTAGCCTGTCTAGGATTCTTACCACCTTCTTGCCACCTTCAACCTCGGGAGCTGAGTAAGCAAGTTCAGTTTCTGGGCTTCTTGTCGTGTAAAACCAAGACATAGAAGGAAAGCTGGAATTGTTAAAGTAATGATAAGTTTGCATCACTAAAAGCCTTGGAAAAACAAGCAGCATAAAAGAAGAAAAGATCAGAGCTGTATGGACTCTAATTCTGAGAGAGTTATTCAGAGATCTTAGAGATTAGTGACTTTTTTTTTTTTTTTTTTTTGAGATGGAGTCTTGCTCTGTCTCCCAGGCTGGAGTGCAATGGCACAACCTCAGCTCACTGCAACCTCCGTCTCCCAGGTTCAAGCGATTCCCCTGCTTCAGCTTCCCTAGTAGATGAGATTACAGGCACCTGCCACCGTGCCCAGCTAATTTTTTTGTATTTTTAGTAGAGGTGGGGTTTTGCCATGTTGGCCAGGCTGGTCTCAAACTCCTGACTTCAGGTGATCCACCTGCCTCTGCCTCCCAAAGTGCTGGGATTACAGGTGTGAGCCACCATGCCCGGTCTGTTTTTTTTTTTTTTTTTTTTTTTTTTTTGAGACAGTTTTGCTCTTGTTGCCCAGGCTGGAGTGCAATGGTGCCATCTCGGCTCAATGCAACCTCCACCTCCCGGGGTTCAAGCGATTCTCCTTCCTCAGCCTCCTAAGTAGCTGGAATTACAGGTGCCCACCACCATACCTGGCTAATTTTTGTATTTAGTAGAGACAGGGTTTCACCGTGTTGGTCAGGCTGGTCTCGAACTCCTGACCTCAGGTGATCCACCCGCCTCGGCTTCCCAAAGTGCTGGGATTACAGATGTGAGCCACCGCACCCAGCCTAGTGACAGCATTTTTTTTTTAAAGAAAGTGTTATCATTAATTACTTGAGAGAGGCAAATAAAGATTGGGATTACTTTAAACAAATTTGAAAGTCATTGGCCAGGTGTGGTGGCTCACGCCTGTAATCCTAGCACTTTGGGAGATCAAGGCAGGAGGATCACTTGAGCCCAGGAGTTTGAGACAAGCCTGGGCAACATGGTGAAACCCCGTCTCTCCACAAAATACAGGAAAATTAGCCGGGCATGGTGGCGCACGCCAGTAGTCCCAACTAAATTACCGAGGATGCTGAGGTGAGAAGATGGCTTGAGCCCAGGAGGCAGAGGTTTCAGTGAGCCAAGATTGCACCAACCCACTCCAGCCTGGGTGACAGAGTGAGACTCCATCTCAAAAAAAAAAAAAGGAAAGTAGTTGCTGAACTTTTTAAAGGGAACCCTGCACATTATTTGAGTCATATAGGACCTTGTTTTACATGCAGATTATATAACAAACTTATAGTCTAAGGATTTCTTTCTTTTTTTTGAGATGGAGTTTCGCCCTTATTGCCCAGGCAGGAGTGCAATGGCGCGATCTTGGCTCACCACAACCTCCGCCTCCCAGATTCAAGTGATTCTCCTGCCTCAGCCTCCCAAGTAGCTGGGATTACAGGCATGCACCACCACGCCTGGCTAATTTTGTATTTTTAATAAAGACCGAGTTTCTTCATGTTGGTCAGGCTGGTCTCGAACTCCTGACCTCAGGTGATCCGCCCGCCTCGGCCTCCCAAAGTGCTGGGATTACAGGTGTGACCCACTGAGCCCGGCATAGTCTAAGGATTTCAAAATAAACTTTTACTATCTCCTTGACAATAATCTGTCTCCCATCCTCCTCTACCAGACTTCTGTAACACTTTCTGCTTATCATATGAATCACTGTCTATTGGAGACCAGCCTCATTTCCTTCTTCTAAACCCAACTCATACCCTAATTCTAGATGTCAATGGCCAATGTAGATAACCCACTAAACAATTTATCTATCACAGAGATGATACTGAAGACCCTTCAGCCAGGTGCGGTGGCTCATGCCTGTAATCCCAGCACTTTGGGAGGCCGAGGTGGGTGGATCATTTAAGGTCAGGAGTTTGAGACCAGCCTGGCTAACATGGTGAAACCCCGTCTCTACTAGAAATGTAAAAATTAGCCGGGCGTGGTGGCACATGCCTGTAATCCCAGATACTTTGGAGGCTGAGGCAGGAGAATCACTTGAACCCAGGAGGCGGAGCTTGCAGTGAGCAGAGATCACTCCACTGCACTCCAGCCTCGGCAACAGAGCGAGACTTCATCTCAAACAAAACAAAACAAAAAAACAGAAATGCTTCTAGTCTGCCATGCTGTACTGCTTCTCTTGATCCTCCTTTAAGAAGAAGACCAACAAACTACTCAACATTTATCAATTATCTCCTGGAATAACCCAAGGTAATAAAAATCATGTTTCTTCAAAAAGCAATAAAAATTTCTCCTCACCTTTGCCATGAAAATATCCAAGAAATCTTATTGTCCATTCATATGCATATAAGGGATGAATCTGTTAGTGCCTGAGAACAACAACTCCAAAAAGTCTGCTTTTCTCTCTGCCTTTTCTCTTTCAACCAGATGTACTCGTACTCTGTGTAAGATATCAGTAGGCAACAATATCATGAAACCAACTCAGCCAATCTTCAAATTTCAACTTAAAATAACAAAAAGAGCCAACGACTCCAATATGGTGTATTGAGCAAGTCCTATGCAGAGCCCAAAGGTGCTACTATGGCTTCCAGCGGGGTCCCCATTGGCACTGCCAACTGGGCAAATGAAGCTCCCAAAATTCCAGACAATGTGGGAGATTGGCTTCAGGGAATCTACTGCTTTGCCACCCATAGCAATGATTTCTGGAGGAACTTGATCCTCAATTTGGGACTCCTTGCTTTCAGAGTTTGGCTGGCCAGGAACTTGAGTGACGTTGACCTCATGGTGTTAGAGGAACCTCTCCTTACCAGACCTCTGGTTTGGTAAAACATGGCCAGAGTGACTCCACCTTGAAATGAGTAGCTAGGCACTCTGTAAGGTTAATGCTTGTGGTCTGAAAATAGCCACATCCCAAGCTGACCACCAATTATAATTACAGAATATTGGTGGCCATACAGAACATCTCCCACCAATCCTGCAGAATGTCCAGATGTCCTAAGAGTGTAGCCCACTTTATTAAAGATGCCATTAATGAGCAGGCTTAGGTTGAAAGATTAATGGTCATCTATAACACCAATAGCCCCTACCTTTAGTGAGCACATCTGCATGTTCCAAGTTTAATTATAGCTTCTCATAAGTTTCTTATAAATAGAGACACTAACAAGGATGGCGTGTTCCTCCTCCTGCTTTCTGGCGATAACTTACTCAGTAACATTGTATGAACTTGCTTTTTCTCTGTGCTGTGTGACTTCCCTTGAATTATTTCCTGTGCAAGATCCAGTAACCTGCTCTTGGGGTCTGGATTGGGACCCTCTTTTCTGGCAACAGTGTACCTCAGGCAGAGGTGTAGCCAAGTAGACAAATGGAATCCTGCGCTATACCCAAACCTTCCAAAAACAGAGCCTACAACTTGTGACCACCACAAGATATCCTGATGGCCGCTGAAGTTTGCTTCAGATGGGCGCCTTCCCTTTCCCTGCCTAGTTTTCTTTTATTCCTTGAGCCCTCTCAGAATTCCATTCTCTGGTCAGTAGTCAGCCTTCAGTTAAAGCATCGCCCCTGTTCTGTAAAGTTCTGTGCATAGTTCCTAAGCTTCTGCAGGGGATGATCTTTGCTCTTACTCTGAGGAATAACAATGATTTTTTGTTTGTTTGTTCATTTGTTTATTTGTTTTTTGAGACAAAGTTTCACTCTTGTTGCTCAGACTGGCATGCAATGGCGCAATGTTGGGTCACTGCAACCTCCGCCTCCTGGGTTCAGGTGATTCTCCTGCCTCAGCCTCCTGAGTAGCTGGGATTACAGGCATGCACCACCACTCCTGACTAATTTTTTGTATTTTTAGTGGAGATGGGGTTTCACCATCTTGGCCAGGCTGGTCTTGAACTCCTGACCTCGGTTGATCCACCTGCCGCGGCCTCCCAAAGTGCTGAGATTACAGGCATAAGCCACCACACCCGGCCCTAAAATATATTTCTTATGAAAGGAGCTGTGCAGTTATCCAAGTGTTTCTAGAGAGAGATCAGAAATGGTAGAGAAATGGGCCTGGTGCAGTGGCTCACTCCTGTAATCCCAGCACTTCAGGAGGCTGAGGCCAGTGGATCGCTTGAGCCCAGGAGTTAGAAACCAGCCTGGGCAACACAGCAAGACCCTGTCCCAAAAAGAAATGGTAGGCTGGGTGCAGTGGCTCACGCCTGTAATCCCAGCACTTTGGGAGGCCGAGGTGGGCGGGTCACCTGAGGTTGCAACATGGAGAAACACCGTCTCTACTAAAAATACAAAATTAGCCTGGCGTGGTGGCGCATGCCTGTAATCCCAGCTACTCGGGAGGCTGAGGCAGGAGAATTGCTTGAACCCAGGAGACAGAGGTTGTGGTGAGCCAAGATTGCACCAGTGCACTCCAGCCTGGGCAAAAAGAGAGAAACTCCACCTCGGAAAAAAGGAAAAAAAAAGAAAGAAAGAAATCGTAGAGAAATGAAGAGAAAAACAATTCTGTGTTAAGTCCTGCAATATTTCCCATGGGGGAGGTCAATTTTGAAGCCATTCTTTTTAAGGTGAAATTTGGGTGTGAATAGCTGCCTGCTGCTACTGGTAATATTGTGACAATCAGGAGGTTCTGTCAGAGGCATTAGAACCAGAGCAACTCCATCTTGAATAGGGGCTGGGTAAAGTAAGGCTCAGAACTACTGGCTGCATTCCCAGGAGCTTAGGCATTCTTAGTCACAGGATGAGATAGGAGGTCAGCACAAGATACAGACCACAAAGACCCTGCTGATGAAACAGAATGCGATAAAGATAGCCCAAACCTACCAAAACCAAGATGGTGACAAAGGTGACCTCTGGTTGTCCTCAGTGCTCATTATACACTAATTATAATGCATTAGCATGTTAAAAGACTCTCCCACTAGGGCCATGACAGTTTATAAATACCATGGCAACATCAGGAAGTTACCCTATACAGTCTAAAAAAAGAAGGAACCCTCAGTTCCGAGAAATGCCTGCCCCTTTTCCAGAAAACTGATGAATAATCCACCCCTTGTTTAGCATATAATCAAGAAATAACTGAGTATACTCAGTTAAGCAGCCCATACTGTGACTCTACCTATGGAGTAGCCATTCTTTATTCCTTTACTTTCCCAATAAACTTGCTTTCACTTTATGGATTTGCCCCTAATTCTTTCTTGCGTGAGGTCCAAGAACCCTCTCTTGGGGTCTAGATTGGGACCCATTCCCGGTAACAGTTCCACATAGATGCAGCTTTCTTTAGGGTAATATTCACATTACCCAAATGTCATTTTTTTATTTTTAATAACATCTTTCTGTGTTCTTATATGTAAAATATATCTCTTTTTAAACATTTTTAAATTTTGGAGACAGGGTCTTGCTATGTTGCTCAGGCTGGTCTCAAACTGGTCCCAAGCTATCCTCCTGCCTCAGCCTCCCAAGTATCTGGGACTATAGGTGGCGTCTGGCTACAGTATGTTTCCTTCTTTTTTTTTATTTGAGACAGAGTCTCGCTCTGTCACCCAGGCTGGAGTGCAGTGGCAGGATCTTGGCTCACTGCAAGCTCTGCCTCCTGGGTTGACCCATTCTCCTGCCTCAGCCTCCCGAGTAGCTGGGACTACAGGTGCCCACCACCACACCCGGCTAATTTTTTTGTGTTTTTAGTAGAGACGGGGTTTCACCATGTTAGCCAGGATGGTCTCGATCTCCTGACCTCGTGATCCGCCCGCCTCAGCCTCCCAAGGTGCTGGAATTACAGGCGTGAGCCACTGCACCCGGCCTACAGTATGTTTCTTGAAAAATGCTTAGCATTAGTTTTCTTTTTTAAAATCTTGTCTTGTACTGAAATGATTATACTGAAACCGCCTGTGCAAAATTATGCCTGAGACAGTGAAAGAGATCTAACTTAACTGACCCCATCTTGTTTCTAACCTCCAAACTGTCCTTGTGCATTCCTGGGTGTAGGCTGAACTAACTTTGGGAGAAACTTACTTTATAGTTTATAGTTTAAAACAAAGATGACAGCCCTTTCCCAAAGCAGCCCTCCTTCTTGCCTGGAGACTAGATTGCCTTGGTAGGACTAACATTAACCACAAGATTAGAAATTATGGTTTAGGAGTCTTGCAGCTGGAGGCTACAAGATTCTGACCCTCCCTAAACTGCTCCTAAGATCAGTGCTTGAGATATTTTGCAGACCCTGCATTTGATGGGTCAGCTGGCACCACGTAGATTGATAACCTGACTCATCTGATCTTGCAGTCCCCACCCAGGAATTGACTCAGCTCAAGAAGACAGCTTCCATTCCCTATGATTTCAGCTCTGACCAATCAGCACTCCCAGCTTACTGGCTTCCTCCCACCCAACATGTTGTCCTTAAAAATTCTGAAGGCGGAATGCTTGTGGATACTGATTTGAGTAATAATAAAACTCTGGTCTCCCATACAGCCAGCTCTGCGTGAATTTATCTTTCTCTATTGCAATTCCCCTGTCTTGAGAAATCGTCTCTGTCTAGGCAGCGGGCAAGGTGAACCCATTGGGCAGTTACAATACCATCTATCTTTAAAGTTATTATTGAAATTGTCGGGTTTATCATGTTATTTATTGTTTTTACCATCTATTCTCTGTTCCTTTACTACTACTCTACCATTTTAATTTGGATTAATAAAGTTTTTGTTTGTTTGTTTGTTTGTTTTTTGAGAGGGAGTCTCACTCTGTCGCCCAGGCTGGAATGCAGTGGTGTGATCGCTGCTCACTGCACCTCCGCCGCCCTGGGTTCAAGTGATTCTCGTGTCTCAGCCTCCTGAGTAGCTCAGATTATAGGCATGCTCTAATTTTTTTTTTTTTTTTTGAGACAGAATCTCGCTCTGTCGCCAGATTGCAATGCAGTGGCATGATCTCAGCTCACTGCAACCTGATTCCCTGGTTCAAGCAATTCTCCTGCCTCAGCTTCCAGAGTAGCTGGAATTACAGGCATGTGCCACCATGCCCAGTTAATTCTTGTATTTTTAGTAGAGACAGGGTTTCACCATGTTGGCCAGGATGGTCTCGATCTCCTGACCTCATGATCCACCTGTCTCAGCCTCCCAAAGTGCTGGGATTACAGGCATGAGCCACTGCGCCCGGCCAGGCATGCTCTACTTTGCCCAGGTATTTTTAGTAGAGACGGGGTTTCATCATGTTGGCCAGGCTGGTCTGGAACTCCTGGCCTCAAGTGGTCCACCCGCCTCGGCCTCCCAAAGTGCTGGGATTACAGGCATGAGCCACCGCGCCCGGCCTTGGATTAATAAAGTTTTTTATTTCATTTTTCTTCCATATTAAGTTTTTAATATCTTTTAAATTATTATTTAGTTGTTAAGCTGGATTTTGTGATTACATAATGCATATTTGATTTATTACGTGCTTTTTTTTTTTTTTTTTTTGAGAGTCTCGCTTTGTCGCCCAGGCTGGAGTGCAGTGACAGGATCTCGGCTCACTGCAACCTCCGCCTCCCACGTGCAAGCTATTCTCATGCTTCAGCCTCCCAAGTAGCTGGGATTACAGACGTGTGCCACCACACCTGGCTAATTTTTGTATTTTTAGTAGAGGTGGGGTTTCACCATGTTGGCCAGGCTGATCTCGAACTCTTGACCTCAAGTGATCCGCCCTCCTTAGCCTCCCAAGGTACTCGGATTACAGGTGTGAGCTACCCCGCCCGGCCTATTACATTCTACTTTAATACTTTTGTGATACTCCCTAAATAAAACACTTATGATAGCTTAACTCCATTTACCATTTCTTGCCCTTGTACTACTGATATGTTTTACTTTTTCATATATTATAAATTGTATAGGATTTTTAAAAATTAATTGTCAGTATTAATTTCTATTTACCCTTTCTTTACTCCTTATTCTACCCTACATTTCTCTGTAGCCACCAAGGATCATTTTCCTTCATCCTGAAAAATTGCCTGGTGTGTTTCTTAATAGTGTAGTTCTTCTGACAATAAATGATTTCTTTTTTTTTCTTCTGAAACCATGTTTATTTCATCTTCAATTTTTTTTTTTTTTTTTTTTTTTTTTTGAGACGGAGTCTCACTCTCGCCCAGGCTGGAGTGCAGTGGCGCGATCTCGGCTCACTGCAAGCTCCGCCTCCTGGGTTCACGCCATTCTCCCGCCTCAGCCTCCCGAGTAGCTGGGACTACAGGCACCCGTTACCATGCCCGGCTAATTTTTTTTGTATTTTTAGTACTGACGGGGTTTCACCATGTTAGCCAGGATGATCTCGATCTCCTGACCTCGTGATCCGCCCGCCTCGGCCTCCCAAAGTGCTAGGATTACAGGCGTGAGCCACCGCGCCCGGCCTCATCTTCAATTTTGAAGGATAATTTCACTGAGTATAGATTCTGGGTTGTCAGTATTTTTTCTTTCAGCACTTTAAGATGCCATTCAATTATCTTCTGACTTTTGGCTGGGCACAGTGGCTCATGCCTATAATCCCAGCACCTTGGGAGGCTGAGGTGGAAGGATAGCTTGAGCCCAGCAGTTCAAGACCAGCCTGGGCAACAAAGTGAGACCTTGTATCTACAAAAAATTTTTAAAAAATTAGCTGGGCATGGTGGCATGTGCCTGTGGTCCCTGCTACTCAGGAGGCTGAGTCAGGAGCATCACTTATGCCCAGGTGTTTGAGGTTGCAGTAAGCCATGATCGTACCACTACACTCCAGTGTGGGTGACAGAGGAAGATCCCATCTCAAAAAAAGGAACTGCCTCAGCAATTATGAAGGCTGGCAATTCCCAAGATCTGCTGGGATCTGGGAGACCCAGGGGAGCCAATAATGTAGTTTGAGTCTAAGTTTGAAGGCCTGAAAATCAAGAGAGCTAATAGTGTAGCTCCAGTCCAAAGGCCAGCAGGCTCAAGACCCAGGAAGAGCCAATGGTTTGAGTCCAAAGGCAGGAAAAAGAGCTGATGTCCCATTTTGAAGGCCATCAGGCAGGAAGAATTCGCTCTTACCTGGGGGAGGGTTAATCTTTTTGTTCTATTCAGGCCTTTAACTCAGTGGATGAGGCCTACTCACAATAGGGAGTATCATCTGCTTTACTCAGTATACCAATTTAAATGTTAAAATTATCCAAAACACTCTCACAGAAACACCTAAAATAATGTTTGACCATATATTGGGCACCCTATGGCCCAGTCAAGTAGACATATAAAATTAATCCTCATAGTATGCCATATAGCCATTGTTTCTCTTTAGCTCTGAGGACAAAAACAAAAAGTCTGTAGTATACTATGTTACGTTCAAAACTGAGTTGAAGAGTTTACCTGATTAGCTGTTAAGGGTCGAGCTATAGCTAACTTCATGTGCTTGCTTAACACTGAGAAGATATTTGGATGATGAATTTCTTTTAATCAGTCTTTCACTTGAACTTTGTGAGTTCTTTTTATTCATACACTCTCTGCACAACCAGAAAAAAGCAAACCCCATTTTCCTTGTTTCAGGCCCTTAAGTTTAACTAATATCTCAATCTGAGTAAAGGTTTGTTTCTTTTTTCAATTTTAGTCTCCTATATAATTTCTTTTAAAAAGTAGTCTGGGCGCAGTGGTTTACGCCTGTAATCCCAGCACTTTGAAAGTCTGAGGTGGGTGGCTTGCCTGAGGTCAGGAGTTCGAGACCAGCCTGGCCAACATGGTGAAACCCCATCTCTACTAAAAATACAAAAATTAGCTGGGCAGAGTGGCGTGCACCTGTCGTCCCAGCTACTTGGGAGGCTGAGGCAGGAGAATCGCTTGAACCTGGGAGGCAGAGGTTGCAGTGAGCCAAGATCACTCTACTGCACTCCAGCCTCGGCAACAGAGTGAGATTCCGACTCCAACCAACCAACCAACCAACCAACCAACCAACCAACCAACAAACAAACAAAAAGTGACTTGGTATAAATACAGCAAAAGAAAAAAAAGTGTTTTGAGAAATGCAAGACTCAGAAGAGCCCCAACCTATGAGATGACCTGATACATACTAACCAATACAAAATAGAAATAGGCTACAGTAGTGTGCACATCTGAATAGAATAGCTTTTCATATTGTGTGAGTTTCTCAAATATTATTCTTATTATAAGAGGAAAAATTAATGACTTTGTTTCTCCTGTCAACTGAGGGCACATTATCAAATATCTCCTCTCTCTGTATACCAACTAATACAATAAGTCTAACAATAACAAATTCTATAGAGGATAAAATCACATGATTATTTCAGTAAGATGCAAAAAAAAAAAAAGCATTGGACAAAAAATCCAACACACTTTTGTGATTAAAAACACTCAACAATATTTGGGTGTGGTGGCTCACGCCTATAATTCCAGCACTTTGGGAGGCCAAGGCAAGTGGGTAGCCTGAACCCAGGAGTTTGAGACAAGCCTAGGCAACATGGCAAAACCCCATCTCTACTAAAAATGCAAAAATTAGTCAGGCATGGTGGTTCACTCCTGTAATCTCAGCTACAGGAGGCTGAGGCAGGGGAATTGCTTGAGCCTGGGAGGCAGAAGTTGTTGTGAGCTGTGATCGTGCCACTGCACTCCAGCCTGGATGACAGAGTATGACTCCATCTCAAAAATAATAATAATAGTAAATTTTTAAAAACCCACATATTTGCAGATTCATAGTCTTGTATGGAGAAAATCCCAAGGAAACCACACACACATACCAAAAAAACCCTAGAGCTAATAAGTGAGTTCAGCAAGCTTGCAGGACAAAGACTGATATACACGAATCAATTGTATTTCTACTCTCTAAAAATAAACAATCAAAAAATGAAATATGGAAACAGTTTCATTTACAATGCATAAAAGGAATAAAATATTAGTAATAAATTTAACAAAAGAAATGTAACACACATACACTGAAAACTACAAAACATTGTTAAAACAATTTAAAGAGGCTGGGTGTGGTGGTGCATGCCTGTAATCTCAGTGCTTTGGAAGGCCAAGGCAGTAAGATTGATTGAGGCCAGGAGTTTGAGACCAGCCTGGGTAACACAGCAAGACCCCAAATCTATATAAAAAAAAAATTAAAAATTAGCCAAGCATGGAGGCATGCATCTGTAGTCCTATCTACTTGGGAAGCTGAGGCAGGAGGATTGCTTGAGCCCAGGAATTCAAGATTACACTGAACTATGATTGTGCCACTGCACTGCAGCCTGGGTAACAGAGTGAGACCCTGTCTCTAAGAAAAAGAAAAAGAAGGCCAGGCGCGGTGCTCACGCCTGTAATCCCAGCACTTTGGGAGGCCAAGGCGGGTGGATCACAAGGTCAGGAGTTCAAGACCAGTCTGGCTAACATGGTGAAACCCTGTCTCTACTAAAAATACAAAAATTAGCTGGGCATGGTGGTGAGCATCTGTAATCCTAGCAATTCAGGAGGCTGAGGCAGGAGAATTGCTTGAACCCAGGAGGCAGAGGTTGCAGTGAGCCGAGATCGTGCCACTGCACTCCAGCCTGGACGACAGAGCATGACGCCATCTCGGGGAAAAAAAAAAAAAGAAATTAAAGAAGACTTAAATAAATGGAAAAATATTCCATGTTCATGGAAAAGCTGATCTTAAAATACATATGGAAAAGCAAGGGACCCAAAATAGCCAGAATGATCTTGAAAAAAATGAGATTAAGTTGGAATTTTTCACACTTACCCATTTCAAAACTTACTACAAAGCTACATTAATCAAGACAGTGTGGTGCTGGTATAAGGACAGACATACAGACCAATGAAATAGAATTGGGTGCCCAAAGATAAACCCATACATTTATGGTCAATTGATTCTTGGCAAGAATGCCAAGATAGTTCCACAGAGGTGCTAAGGACAACTGGATATTTATATGAAAAACAATGAATCTGGACTCCTACCTCACATCATACATAAAAATTTGCCAAAAGAAGTCAAAGACATAAATGTAAGTGCTAAAACTATAACTTTATAGTTATATTTTATAACTAAAACTATAGTTAATTATAAACTAACTATAGTTTTAGAAAGACTATGGCTTTTTTTTTGTTTTTGTTTTTGTTTTTTTTTTTGAGACGGAGTCTCGCTCTGCCGCCCAGGCTGGAGGTGCATTGGTGCGATCTCGGCTCACTGCAAGCCCCGCCTCCCGGGTTCACGCCATTCTCCTGCCTCAGCCTCCCGACTAGCTGGGACCACAGGCGCCCGCCACCACGCCCGCCTAATTTTTTGTATTTTTTAGTAGAGACGGGGTTTCACCTTGTTAGCCAGGATGGTCTCGATCTCCTTATTCTCGTGATCCGCCCGCCTCGGCCTCCCAAAGTGCTGGGATTACAGGCGTGAGCCACCGCGCCTGGCTCAAACTAACTATAGTTTTAACTAAAAACTATATATAAACTAACTGTAGTTTTAGTTAGTTAGTTAGTTAGTTGCTCTGTCACCCAGGCTGGAGTGCAGTGTCACCCAGGCTGGGGTGCAGTCACCCAGTCTGGAGTACACCTGTCTTGCTCTGTCACCCAGGCTGGAGTGCAGTGGCACAATCTTGGCTCACTGCAACCTCCACCTTCTGGGTTCAAGCAATTCTCCTGCTTCAGCCTTCCACGTAGCTGGGACTACAGGTGTGCACCACCATGTCCAGCTATTATTATTATTATTATTATTATTATTGTTATTTTGAGACAGAGTCTCGTTCTATCACCCGGGCTGAAGTGTAGTGGCATGATCTCAATTCACTGCCACCTCTGCCTCCTGGGTTCAAGCAATTCTCCCGCCTCAGCCTCCCGAGTAGCTGAAATTACAGGTGCGTGCCACCACGCCCAGCTGATTTTTGTATTTTTAGTAGAGACAGGGTTTTACCATGTTGGCCAGGCTGGTCTCCAATGCCTGGCCTCAAATTATCTGCCCATCTCGGCCTCCCAGAGTGCTGGGATTACAGGCATGAGTCACTGTGCCCAGCCTAAGTTTTGTACTTTTAGTAGAGATCAGGTTTTGTTATGTCAGCCCGGCTGGTCTCAAACTCCTGGCCTAAAGTTATCCACCTGCCTTGGCCTCCCAAAATGCTGGGATTATAGGCATGAGCCACCACGCCCAGCCAAAACTATAAATCTTTTTTTTTTTTTGAGACAGAGTCTGTCGGCCAGGCTGGAGTGCCGTGGCATGATTTTGGCCCACTGCAACCTCTGTCTCCCGGGCTCAAGCTATTCTTCTGCCTCAGCCTCACGAGCAGCTGGGATTACAGGCGTGTGCCACCATGCTCAGCTAATTTTTGTATTTTTAGTAGGGACGGAGTTTCACCATGTTGGCCAGGCTGGTCTCGAACTCCACCTGCCTTGGCCTCCCAAAGTGCTGGAATTACAGGCATGAGCCACCACGCCCGGCCAAAACTATAACTCTTAAAAGAAAATATAGATGTAAATCTTTCATGATCCTGGATTTGACAATAATTTCTCAGCTATGACACCAAAGACACACATACACATACACACACACACACACACACAACTCCATCAAAATTAAAATTTTTGCTTGAAATGACACTTTTAGGAAAGTGGAAAGATGACCCACAAATTGGGAGAAAATATTTACAAATTATACACTTAATAAAAGTCCAGTATCCAGAAAATATAAAGAACACTTACAACTCAGCAATAAAAAGCCAACCCAATTTTAAAAGGGACAACAAATATGAATAGGTATTTCTACAAAGAAGATATACACATGGCCAATAAGCACATGAAGAGATGTTCAATGTATTAGTCTGTTCTTGCACTTCTGTAAAGAAATGCTTCAGACTAGGTAATTTACAAAGAAAAGAGGTTTAATTGGCTCACAGTTCCACAGGCTGCATGGGAAGCATGGCTAGGGAAGCCTCAGGAAACTTACAATCATGGCAGAAGGTGAAGGGGAAGCAGGCACATCTTACATGGCCAGAGCAGAAGGAATAGAGTGAGGTGAGAGGTGCTACACACTTTTAAACAACCAGATCTCATGGTAACTCACTCACTATCATGAGAACAGCACCAAAGGGGAAATACACCCCCATGATCCAATCAGCTCCCACCAGGCCCTAACACTGGGGATTATACTTTGACATCAGATTTGGGCAGGGACACAGACTCAAGCCTTATCCCATTCTCCCACTGGGCCCTCTCAAATCTCATGTCCTTCTCACATTTCAAAATACAATCTGCCTTCCCAACAGTTCCCCCAAAGTTCTAACTCATTCCAGCATTAACTCAAAAGCCCAAAGAACAAAGTCTCATCTGAGACAAGGCAAGTCCCTTCTGCCTGTGAGCCCGTAAAATCCAAAACAAGTTAGTAACTTCGGGCTGGGCACGGTGGCTCATGCCTGTAATCCCAGCACTTTGGGAGGCCAAGGCCGGTGGATCACCTGAAGTCAGGAGTTGGAGACTAGCCTGGCCAACATGGTGAAACCCCCATCTCTGCTAAAAATACAAAAATTAGCCGGGGGTGGTGGTGCATGCCTGTGATCTCAGCTACTTGGGAGGCCGAGGCAGGAGAATCACTTGAACCCGGGAGGCAGAGGTTGCAGTGAGCCGAGATTGTGCCATTGCATTCCAGCCTGGGCAACAGAGCAAGACTCTGTCTCAAACAACAACAACAACAACAACAACAAAACAAGTTAGTGACTTCCGAAATATAATGGGAATTGCAGGCATTGGGTAAATACTCTCATTCCAAAAGGGAGAATTTGGCCAAAAGAAAGAGGCTATAGGCCCCATGCAAGTTCAAAATCCAGCAGGTCAATCATTAAATCTTTTTTTTTTTTTTTTTTTTTTTTTTGAGACAGAGTTTCACTCTTGCTGCTCAGGCTGGAGTGCAATGGCATGATCTCAGCTCACCACAACCTCCGCCTCCTGGATTTAAGCTATTCTCCTGCCTCAGCCTCCTGAGTAGCTGGGATTACAGGCACCTGCCTGTAGTTAGTAGAGATGGGGTTTCGCCATGTTGGCCAGGCTGGTCTCGAACTCCTGACCTTGTGATCCGCCTGTCTCGGCCTCCCAAAGTGCTGGGATCTCAGGCATGAGCCACCGTGCCCAGCCGGGCATGGGTTTTTTTTTGCAGTGGGGGGTGGGGAGGTGTGATGAAATTGTTCTGAAATTAGACAGTGGTGATGATTGTACAACCATTGAATTGTACACTTTAACTGAATCTTGAGGTATGTAAGTTATATCTCAAATTGGATTTTTTTTTTTTAGACAGAGTCTCGCACCTCCTGGATTCAAGTGATTCTTCTACCTCAGCCTCCTGAGTAGCTGGGATTACAGGTGCATGCCACCATGCCCAGCTAATTTTTTGTATTTTTAGTAGAGACAGGGTTTTGTCATGTTGGCCAGGCTGGTTTTGAACTCCTGACCTCAAGTGATTCACCAGCCCTGGCCTCCCAAAGTGCTGGGATTATAGGCATGAGCCACCACACCTGGCCCGAGGTATTTAAGTTATATCTCAATACAAAATATAATAATGTTGGGTCAGGTATTAAGTGAAATTCTGCAGATTTAAATTCTATGATCAATCAGGAGTATGGAGTTCATATGCTATTTGCAAGCTTACAACAAAAGACATGTTTGAAAACAAACTGGAAAAATCCCTACCTTAGACAGTTTCTAGCTCAATAATTCATTTAGTTAAATTCCAGTTGCCTCTTTGAAGCCTCTGAATATTGGTGTTTCTCAAATATTTAATTCTGGTTAGAGAAGCAGTAAGTTTCTGTAGGTCCTTGATATTATCTTTCAGGGACATTATCTGGAACGACTGTCGTACATTATTTTCTTTGTAACTTTCTAGCTCAGGCTTCAACTCTTGCAGTGAAGTTTCTTTTATGAAAAGTTTGTTCTGAAGATTTCTTAGCTAATGAGAAAGTGTTAAAATCATTTATAATTTTGTTTTTAAAAACTTCATAATGTTAGGTCACATTTAAATTATACATTTATTATTATTATTTTTGAGGCATGGTCTCACTCTTGTCACCCAGTTTGGAGTACAATGGCGATCACAGCTCACTGCAGCCTTGACCTCCCAGGCCCAGGTGATCCTCCCATCTCAGCCTCCCCAGTAGCTGGGACTACAGGTAGGTGCCACTACGCCCGGCTAATTTTTTTAATGATTATTTGTAGAGATGGAGTCTTACTATGTTGTCAGGCTGGTCTTGAACTCCTAAGCTCAAGAGATCCTCCCGCCTCAGACTCCCATAGTGTTGGGATTACAGGCATGAGCCACTGTGCTCTGCTGCTACTAACATTTTTTTTTTTTTTCAGACAGGGTCTAGCTCTGTCACCCAGGCTGGAGTGCAGTGCTATGATCCTGGCTCCCCGCAGCCTCTGCCTCCTGGGTTCAAGCGATTCTCATGCCTCAGCCTCCCAAATAGCTAGGATTACAGGTATGCACCACCACACCTGGCAAATTTTTTTTTTTTTTAGTAGAGATGTGGTTTCACCTTGTTGGCCAGGCTGCTCTCAAACTCCTGACCTCAAGTGATCCACCTGCCTCAGCTTCCCAAAGTGCTGGGATTATAGGTGTGAGCCACAGCGCCCGTCCTGCTACTTTAACTTGTTAGTTCACATTTCTTAATAGCCTGCATGTGATCTGGAGAACTAGTAAGAGAGTAGAAAAAAAAATTGAGGACACTGTGAAAGATTACCAGCTTGATAACCAGAAACGTTCAGAAGCATTTTGTATTTGACAAAAAATTACATTAATTAGAAACTATATTTCCTAGCAGCAAAGGCTGTATGAAGACCATTTTATTTATTTATTTATTTATTTTTGAAACAGAGTCTCACTCTGTTGCCCAGGCTGGAGTGAAGTGGCACACTCTCGGCTCACTGCAAGCTCTGCCTCCTGGGTTCAAGCAATTCTCCTGCCTCAGCTTCCCAAGCACCTGGGATTACAGGTGTGCACAACCACTCCCAGCTAATTTTTGTATTTTTAGTAGAGACCGTATATCCAAAGTGCTGGGATTACAGGCATGAGCCACCGCCCCCAGCCAAGTATGTAACATTTTTGAAATCACATTTTAGAAATGGAAAAGGGATTAGTGGTTGTCAATAGTTGGGGATGAGAAGGAAGTGGATGTGGATACAAAAGGGCTACCTGAAGGATACTTGTGATGTTAGAACTGTTCAGTATATTGACTAGTTATATCGAACTTAATACACAAACACACAATTGAATACAAGTAAAACTGGGGAAATCTGAATAAACTCAGTGGATTGTATTAATGTCAATATTCACGCTGTTACATTAGACTATAATTTTGCAAAATTTTACCTTTGGGGGACACTGGGCTAAGTATACAAGTGATATCTCTGAATTATTTCTTATAATGGCAAGTGAATCTACAATTATCTCAGTAAAATTTTCAATTAAAAATGATAACAGGCCATGAGCAGTGGCTCATGCCTGTAATACCAGCATTTGGGAGACTGAGGCGGGTGGATCATTTGAGGTCAGGAGTTCGAGCCCGTCTACATTTGCTTTGACAAACAGATTCAAAAAATTACAATGAGCAAATAATTTATCGACATGTACAGAGCTGCTTTTAAAAAATATTTTGGAATTCTTGAAACTAGCTTATATATTTTCTTTAAACAAGGTACCTACAATCTTTTTTGACAATTTGGTTTAAAAAGTTTTTAATGAATTATGCATAGACATAAATCTTAATCTAATCCAAATCTGAATTATCAAAAATTATAAACTTCTTAGCATTAGTAGTAAGTTAATACTATAGTAAGTACAGGGAAAGAAGAATGCTACCCATAATTAAATTGCTACACATTTCAGGGACTGGCATCACATTTTGCTGAAAGAAAAGACAAATGTAAGACATCTCTCAAAGGTATCATCAGATATATTGTGTTTATACAAGTTCCATTTAAGTTTAAGCTTTATTAGCTTTTCTATGCCAAAAGAGGGAAAGCATTAACATAAGTAAAATGGAAATATATATATATATATATATATATATATATATATATATAAAATCCCAGCACTTTGGGAGGCCAAGGTAGGAGGATCACTTGAGCCCAGGAATTCAATATCAGCCTGGGCAAGATAGTGAGACACATCTTTACAAAAAAACAAAGAAAAAAAAATAGCTGGGCATGGTGGCAAGCACCTGTGGTCCCAGCTACTCAGGAAGCTGAGGCAGGAGAATCACTTGAGGCTAAGAGATCAAGGCTGCAGAGATCCGTGATTGTGCCACTGGATTTCTTTTTTTAGGATCAGAGAATGGAAAAAAAAGCGGGGGGGCATTTAGAAACTGTGCAATGGAGGGGTTGCATGTAAGTGCGGTGTGTTTCTGCTGGGTGGTGTCTCCCAAAAAATCAAACAGGCCCAAAATGAGAGGAATTTTCATACGAAGAGGAAAAAATCAGGATTATGTGATTTGAGGAATGTAGAACAGGAGGCATAGGGCTTGACTTTCTTTTACTAATCCTGAAATCTGTTTTCAAATTCTTCTAATTCATTCTAGGTGTATTGGTATTGCAGGCAGCTATTAAAGTATAAATATCTCTAGGCTGGACGTGGTGGCTCATGCCTGTAATCTCAGCGCTTTAGGAGGCTGAGGTGGACAGATCTCTTGAGCCCAGGAGTTTGAGACCAGCCTGGGCAACATGGCGAAATCTCATCTTTATACACGAAAAAGCACAAAAATTAGCCAGGCATGGTGGCATGCACCTGTAGTCCCAGCTGCTCGGGATGCTGAGGTGGGAGGATTGCTTGGGCCCCTGAGTTCAAGGCTGCAGGGAACCATAATGGAGCCACTACACTCCAGCCTGGGTGACAGAGCGAGACCTTGTCTCAAATAAAATAAAATAAGAATAAAAAAAAAAATCTATAATGAGACTAGTCTCTTTTCTCATTTTCATTACTTGATACCTAAGAAAATTACTCTATTAATTCTTTTTCCAAGACCTAAAGAAGAAAATCAAAGAACTTAAATTTTAGTAGACGAAAATGAAGAATGAACTGTTTCTCAGTCCTAGAACAAGAATGATACTGGAGACAAAGTTCTTTATTTTTCAAGATGGAGTTTTTTGCTCTTGGCACCCAGGCTGGAGTGGAATGATGTGATCTCGGCTCACTGCAACCTCCGCCTCCTGGGTTCAAGCGATTCTCCTGCCTCAGCCTCCCGAGTAGCTGGGATTATAGGCACCCGCCAGCATGCCCAGCTAATTTTTGTATTTTTAGAGAGACAGGGTTTTGCCATGTTGGCCAGGCTGGTCTCAAACTCCTGACCTCAGGTGATCCACCCACCTCGGCCTCCCAAAGTGCTGGGATTACAGGCATGAGCCACCACGCCTGGCCTGACAAAGTTCTTAAGAATTTCATCCTTTACTTTTATTTCTATTTCTTTACCATTTTATGAAACTTGTGCTGTATTGACTTTACTTAATGAGTTTCACTCACACTGTCTCTAAGAAACAAGCTACTAGGGAGGCTGAGGCAGGAGAATCGCTTGAACCCAGGAGGTGGAGGTTGCAGTGAGCCGAGATCGCGCCACTGCACTCTAGCCTGGGCAACAGAGCAAAACTCTGCCTCAAAAAAAAAAAAAGAAAAAGAAAAAAAAGAAAAAAGAAACAAGCTACCGTGTGGGACAAAATATAAACCAAGAAGGATGAACATATAAATCCTCCAGTATAAGTTCAAGTACCATCTCCTCCAGGGAGTTTTCTTGATTCCTAAAAGGTAAGGGTAATCTCTTCTCTTATAGTATGTGATTTTCTTTTGACTGTTGTCTCATTCAATATTATACTATGTAAAAATCTCATCTCCTCTACTACATTAAATGTATCTAGGCCAGGGCAGTGGTTCATGCCTGCAATCCTAGTACTTCAGGAGGCTGGGGTGGGAGGATCACTTGAGACCAGGAGTTTGAGATCAGTCTGGCCAACCAAGTGAGATCCTGTCTCTATGAAAATTTTAATAATTAGCCAGAGGTGGTGGTGTGCACCTGTAATCTCAGTTACTTGGGAGGCTGAGGTGGAGGATGGCTTGAGCCAGGAGTTAGTCTGTAGTAAGCTATGATTGTGCCACCAGCCTGGGTGACAGAGTAAGACCCTGTCTCCAAACAAACAAACAAATAAAGGTACCTAAAAACAGGAGCTATTTCTGTTATCTTTATCATCCCATACCAGGCACAAAAAATATGGATCGTAAAATGAAAGAACCAAACAGGGGAAAAACCTTAATGAAAAACCTTAATGCAAAGTTAACTAATATAGATGATGATAGTGCTATTCTCCCAAACTAACCTTATAAAGATACAATAAAAATGTATTAGGAATCTAAAGTAAAAATAAAATATAGCACCGTTACATGATTATTCTGTGATTTTAGGTTTGTACATGACTACTTTATTTTTTACACACTCAAAAGATGTAGTATGCTATGCTGCATTTAGTAAGAAGTGAAAAGTATAAATTTTTACCACATCAGACTCTGGAGAAAATTCCAAATACAAGGCCAGTTTCCAGAAGAGACCTGAATTGTCCAACATGAGTAGCTGCTCTGAGCAATTTGCCTGTAGAATGTTTGCATATCAAAGAAGCTGTTGCTAGGTGAACACATCACAGAGGTACAAAGAAAAAGGACCTTCTAAAGTGTTACAGTAAAACCTGTAGCTCTGGCTGGGCGCAGTGGCTCACGCCTGTAATCCCAGCACTTTGGGAGGCCAAGGCGGGTGGATCACAAGGTCAAGAGATTGAGACCATCCTGGCCAATATGGTGAAACCCTGTCTCTATTAAAAGTATAAAAATTAGCTGGGCGTGGTGGCAGGCGCCTGTAGTCCCAGCTACTCAGGAGGCTGAGGCAGGAGAATCGCTTGAACCCGGGAGGCGGAGGTTGCAGTGAGCTGAGATCACGCCATTGCACTCCAGCCTGGGAGACAGAGCAAGACACCATCTCAAAACAACAACAACAACAACAAAAACATGTAGCTCTTTCTCCAATTAATGAAGTGAAAACACAAATGATTTTCATCAAGCATTAGTACTTTAAGTAATCTTAAGAAAGTGATCCCACCAAAAGTGAACAGTCCAGTAAACGTGAAAATCATATTTTGGGCTTCTTTTGTGAAATTCTTGGCTAGGTCAAATATTGTACTCCAATACATACATCTCATCAAGGTAGAAGTACTTCGAAAGAAGGGGAAATGATGTTTCCATTTACTATTCCTAAAGCATTAGATGTGTTAAAAAACTGGGATTCTGGCCAGGCGCGGTGGCTCACGCCTGTAATCCCAACACTTTGGAAGGCTGAGGCGGGCGGATCACGAAGTCAGGAGCTCGAGACTAACCTGACCAACATAGTGAAACCCTGTCTCTACTAAAAATACAAAAATTAGCCAGGCGTGGTGGTGCACGCCTGTAATCCCAGCTACTCAGGGGGCTGAGGCAGGAGAATTGCTTGAACCTGGGAGGTGGAGGTTGCAGTGAGCCGAGATCATGCCATTGCACTCCAGCTTGGGCAACAGAGCAAGACTTCATCTCAAAAATAAATAAATAAATAAAGGCCGAGTGCAGTGGCTCATGCTTGTAATTCCAGCACTTTGGGAGAATGAGCTGGGTGGATCACCTGACGTCAGGAGTTCGAGACCAGCTTGGCCAACATGGTAAAACCCAGTCTCTACTAAAAATACAAAAATTAGCTGGGCATGGTGGCAGGTGCCTGTAATCCCAGCTATTCGGGAGGCTGAGGCAGGAGGATTGCTTGAACTCAGGAGGCAGAGGTTGCAATGAGCCGAGATCATGGCATTGCACTCCAGCCTGGGCGACAGGAGTGAAACTCTGTCTCAAAAACAAACAAACAAACAAACAAACAAAACAAAAAAAACCCCTGCGATTCTAATTCTAGGAAATTCTTTTTTTTTTTTTTTTTTTTTCTGAGACAGAGTTTTGATCTGTCACCCAGGCTGGAGTGCAGTGCTGCAATATCGGCTCACTGCAACCTCTGCCTCCCGGGTTCAAAGGATTCTCCTGCCTCAGCCTCTTGAGTAGCTGGGACTACAGGCACGTGCCACCATGCCTGGCTAATTTTTTCTATTTTTAGTAGAGACTGGGTTTCACCATGTTGGCCAGACTGGTCTTGAACTCCTGGCCTCAAGTGATCCGCCGCCTCCGTCTCCCAAAGTGCTAGGATTACAGGCGTGAGCCACTGCGCCTGGCCTTAGGAAAATATTTTTACAGCAGAAAAAGTATGTCCCAAATTTGTATTTTTGATACCAGAATCACCAGGAATTTTATTCAAACATCATCTTATCTTCAAAGAATAATGAACCTTGAACCCACCCAAGTTCTGACTTAGTTGGTCAAGGGTGGAACCTAGACATAAATATATTTTTTAAAGCTATACAAGTTGGTCTAATGTGAATTTACTGCTAAATTCACTATAATTGAAGACAGTGCCCACTGTCTACAATTATGTATGATAAAAATTAAGTGGGGAGAAACAAGTTATGTTCATAGGAATGAGAGTAATAGATAATAACTAAACAAAGAGAAGAAGAAATAGGCCGGGCGCAGTGGCTCACACCTGTAATCCCAGCACTTTGGGAGGCCGAGGTGGGCAGATCACAAGGTCAGGAGTTCGAGACCAGCCTGGCCAACATAGTGAAACCCCATCTGCACTAAAAATACAAAAATTAGCAGGGCATGGTGGCTCACGCCTATAGTTCCAACTACTCGGGAGGCTGAGGCAGGAGAATTGCTTGAACCCGGGAGGCTGAGGTTGCGGTGAGCCAAGATTGTGCCACTGTACTCCAGCCTGGGCAATAGAGTGAGAATCCATCTAATAAAAAAAAAAAAAGAAATACTCTGTTTTTCCTCTAAAACAAGATTTTTAAAAATATGTTTCTGGCCTGGCGTGGTGGCTCACGCCTGTAATCCCAGCATTTGAGAGACTGAGGCAGGTGGATCACCTGAGGTCAGGAGTTTATAATTATAATATATAAAAATATATATATAATGTATGTAATATATACATATAAACATATATATGTTTCCAAGCTGCAGGTATTTAAGTATAAACAGACAGGAAATCTCTTATAAAGCTTAAATTCTGGCAGGGCACAGTGACTCATGCTTGTAATCCCAGCACTTTGTGAGGCCGAGGCAGGCAGACTACCTGAGGTCAAGAGCTCGAGACCAGCCTGACCAACATGGAGAAACTCTGTCTCTACTAAAAATACAAAATTAGCCAGGCATGGTGGCACGTGCCTGTAATTCCAACTACTCTGGAGGCTGAGGCAGGAGAATTGCTTGAACCCGGGGGGCAGAGGTTGTGGTGAGCCGAGATCACGCCATTGCACTCCAGTCTGGGCAACAAGAGTGAAACTCCATCTCTCTATATATAATTTAAAATATATCTATTATATATATTAAACATATATATATGTTTCGAAGCTGCAGGTATATAAGTATGAACAAGACAGGAAATCTCTTATAAAGTTTAAATTCTGGCTGGGTGCTGTGGCTCACGCCTGTAATCCCAACACTTTGGGAGGCCAAGGCTGACGGATCTCCTGAGGTCAGGAGTTTGAGACCAGCT
The DNA here is from genome assembly GCF_000001405.40 of Homo sapiens. Lineage (NCBI taxonomy): Eukaryota > Metazoa > Chordata > Mammalia > Primates > Hominidae > Homo > Homo sapiens. The sequence continues at coordinate 64,382,354 of NC_000014.9, forward strand.
TGACCAACATGGTGAAACCCTGCTGTACTAAAAATGCAAAAATTAGCTGGGCATGGTGGCACATGCCTGTAATCCCAGCTACTTGGGAGGCTGAGGCAGGAGGATTGATTGAACCCAGGAGGCAGAGGTTGCAGTGAGCTGAGATCGCACCACTGCACTCCAGTCTGGGCAACAGAGCAAGACTCCATCTCAAAACAAACAAACAAACAAACAAAAAAAGCTTAAAAATTAAATTCTGGTGTAAAAGACAGGTAGCAAACAAAAATATAAAGAAATAAAGTCATTTTAGATGGTAGTAAGTGCTATGAATAAAACAGGTTAATGAGATAGTAATGGGGATGTAGATGGAGAGGTAACTTTTGATAGTGTAATCAAAGAAGGCCTTTTTTTGGATATAGCAACATAATATTATACATTTTATTAACCTGTCTTTATCATTTAAAAATGTATAAAAGCTGGTCACGCGTGGTGGGTGATGCCTGTAATCCCAACACTTTTGGAGGTGGGTGGATCACCTGAGGTCAGGAGTTTGAGACAAGCCTCGCCAATATGGCGAAACCCTGTCTCTACTAAACATACAAAAATTACCTGGGCGTGGTGGCGGGCGCCTGTATTCCCAGCTTACTCAGGAGGCTGAGGCAGGAGAATCACTTGAACCTGAGAAGCGGAGCCTAGATCTCACCATTGCATTCCAGCCTGGGTGACAAGAACGAAATTCCATCTCAAAAAAAAAAGTATGAAAGCTATCTTACATGTCTATACATATGTATCTGCTGTTCCTTTAACAACTGCATCCATCCTGACAGAAATTTTGTTTTTTGCTATTGAAATCAGTGTTGTGATTAACAGTTTTACACATGGTTTTTTTGTTTTGTTTAGTTTTAGTTTTTGTTTTTTTGAGATGGAGTTTCGCTTTTGTTGCTCAGGCTGGAGTGCAATGGTGTAATCTTGGCTCACTGCAACCTTCGTCTCCTGGGTTTAAGCTATCCTCCTGCCTCAGCCTCCCGAGTAGCTGGGATTACAGGGGCTGGCCACCACGCCCAGCTAATTTTTGTATTTTTAGTAGAGATGGGGTTTCGCCATGTTAGCCAGGTTGGTCTTGAACTCCTGACCTCAGTTGATCCACCAGCCTCGGCCTTCCAAAGTGCTGGGATTACAGGCGTGAACCACTGCACCCAGCCTATACATCTTTCTTTATATGTAAATATTACTTTAAGATAAATTCCTAAACTGGGAGAGGTGGCTCACGCCTGTAATCCCAACGTTTTGGAAGGTCAAGGTGGGAGGATGGTTTGAGGCCAGGAGCTGGAGACCAGTCTGGGCAACATAGCAAGACTATCTCTACAGGAAAATTTTTTAATTAATCAGGGGTGGTGGCATGTGCCTATAGTCCCAACTACTCAGAAGGATCACTTTAGCCCAGGAGTTCAGGGTTGCAGTGAGCTGATTGTGTTACTGCACTCCAGCCTGGGTGACAGAGTAAAATCCTGTCCAAAAAAAAAAAATCCTGGAAGTGGAATTACAATGTCAAAGAAAATACAAATTTAAAATTTTCGGGCCAGGTATGGTGGTTCACACCTGTACCAATCCCAGCACTTTGGGAGGCCAAGGAAGGCAGATCACGAGGTCAAGATTGAGACCATCCTGGCCAACATGGTGAAACCCCGTCTCTACTAAAAATACAAAAATTAGCTGGGTGTGGTGGCGCCCACCTGTAGTCCCAGCTACTTGGGAGGCTGAGGCAGAAGAATTGCTTGAACCTGGGAGGCGGAGGTTTCAGTGAGCCGAGATCATGCCACTGCACTCCAGCCTGGTGACAGAGCGACTCAAAAAAAAAAACATTTTTTTTCCCGTAGATATTATCATATCAAATTACCCCTGAAAAAGGTTGTAAAAACGGGGCCTCTGCAAAAAGTAAACATTTTTTCTAGCAACTGCCTTTATAAGCATTTAAATAAAAATATTTTTTCCTTCTATTTGCTGTGAAAGGTTGATTTTCATTCTTTATTTGACCAATTTGCAACACTTGACAGAATTAATTACCTCTTTTTCCATGAAACACATTCTTCACTTGTCTTGTTTTTTTTTTTGTTTGTTTACTTGTTTGTTTTTGAGACAGAGTCTCACTCTGTTGCTCAGGCTGGAGTGCAGTGGCACTATCTCGGCTCACTGCAAACTCTGCCCCCTGAGTTCAAGCAGTTCTCCTGCCTCAGCCTCCCTAGTAGCTGGGATTACAGGCACGCGCTACCACACCTGGCTAATTTTTGTATTTTTATAGAGACGGAGGTTTCGCCATGTTTGTCAGGCTGGTCTAGAACTCCTGACCTCAAGTGATCCACCCACCTTGGCCTCCCAAAGTGCTGGGATTACAGGCATGAGACACCATGCCAGGCCTCCTCACTTGTATTCTAAGGTGGGATGCTCTTGGGGTTTTCCTTAGAACACACTGGACTCTCCTTTCCTTTTAAGAGACAGGGTCTTGCTCTGTTGCCTAGGTTGGAGTGCAGTGTGATGATTATAGCTTACTGAAGTTTCCAACTCCTAGGCTCACAGGATCCTCCCACCTCAGCCTTCTGAGTAACTGGGACTACAGGTACATGCCACCACGCCCAGCTAACTTTTTAAATTTTTATTTATTTATTTATTTTGAGATGGAGTCTCGCTCTGTCTCCCAGGCTGGAGTGCAGTGGCGTGATCTCGGCTCACTGCAACCTCTGCCTCCTAGGTTCAAGGGATTCTCCTGCCTCGGCCTCCCGAGTAGCTGGGATTACAGGTGCCAGCCATCACGCCCAGCTAATTTTTGTATTTTTAGTAGAGACGGGGTTTCACTGTGTTGGCCAAGTTGGTCTCAAACTCCTGACCTCAGCTGATCCACCCACCTCGGCCTCCAAAATGCTCGGATTACAGGCAAATTTTTTAATTTTTATTTTTGTAGAGACAGGGTCTTGCTATGTTGCTAAGGCTGTTCTACAAACTCCTGGATTCAAGTGATCTTCCTGTATTTGGTCTCCCAAAGTGCTGGGATTAGTAAAGGTGTAGCCACAGCTCCCAGCTGGACTCTCCTTTTCAATCTTCCCTCTTGGTTCCTCCTGTCTCCTTGCATTCTGAACACTGAAAGGTTCTAGGTGTCAGTCTTTGGTCCTCTCTCTACCTACAATACCCTTGGTTGGATCTCATTCAATCCCATGGATTTAAATATCTTCTCTCCATTTGGATGTCTAAGAGAAATCTAAAAATGTCTAAAGCCGAATTCATAATCTTAACCCCAAAACCTAGTCCTACATTTTACTTTATTTCAACTCAGCGAATGGCAATTCCATCTTTCCAGTTGCTCAGAGCAAATCCCTGCTTTCTTTCTTTTACATTCCAAGTTCCTCTCTTCATTAAGGTTTCTGCTGAAGTCAGATGCCCAAAGAAATCTCTTACCACATTTCTGAGACAAAACTTTCCCACCTCCCAGCATCACTGCCTATCCTCTTAGCTTGCCTATTTTTAAAATATAGCATGTCATAATCTCTAAAATTAGCCTATGTATTTCTTTAACTTGATCGTTGTCTCCTCCACCAGAATATGAGCTGAGAGCAGAAACTTTGCTGGTTCACTAGGGTATCTCTAGCATCTATAGCAGTGCTGTTGGCATAGTGGCCACTCAATAATTATTTGCTCCATGAATGAACGATTTATGCAACTCATACATAGATAACTGTCAAAAACCAGGCTGTTGAGATGGCAAAGGCAGTAGATTTAGAGAAGAAACATCAGGTTTGGGGCCTATACCAGCCACAGCTATGCAGCTTTGGGTATTATCCTTCAAAGTCTATCCCTCTGTAAAACGGGATTTCTGCCATCTTCCTCAACAAATAAGAAAGCTGGAATAGTCAATACCTATTTGATAGTATAAGACAAAAGATTCACTATCTGCAATTTACCAGAAACATTTCCTTCAATTTTCTTCTTAATTTCACTTGTTTAGGTACAACACAATATGAGACAATGTGTTTTAGGGTTATTATTATAATGACATTATATTACTAAGTCTGTGCCTTTAACATATCACTTGTGCAAACTTTAAGAATAGTAACTTTAAGGCCACGCACGGTGGCTCATGCCCATTATCCCAGCATTTTGGGAGGCCAAGGGAGACTAATCCCTTGAGATCTAGACCAGTCTGGTCAACATAGTGAAACCCCAACTCTACCAAAAATAGAAAAATTAGCCGGCGTGGTGGCATGCACCTGTGGTCCAAGCTACTCGGGGGGCTGAGGTGGGAGGATCATTTGAACCCGGGAGGCAGAGGCTACAAAGAGCGGAGATCATGCCACTGCACTCCACCCTGAGCGACATAGCGAGACTCCGTCTCAAAAACAAAAAAACATATATTAGAAATAATTACCAGAAATAGAAAATCACAAGAGATTATCTAATCCCGTATATGGGGCTACTATAAATAACCTCAGAATTTAGAAATAAGAAAAAAATATTAAAAGCCCCAAAATTAATAAAAAATCAGTTTTAGGCCAGGTGCGGTGGCTCACGCCTGTAATCCCAGCACTCTGGGAGGCCGAGGCGGGTGGATCACGAGGTCAGGAGTTCAAGACCAGCCTAGCCAAGATGGTGAAACCCCGTCTCTACTAAAAATACAAAAATTAGCCGGGCGTGGTGGCGGGCTAATTAGGTGGTGCCTGTAATCCCAGCTACTCGGGAGGCTGAGGCAGAGAACTGCTTGAACCCGGGAAGCGGAGGTTGCAGTGAGCCAAAATCGTGCCACTGCACTCCAGCCTGGGCGACAGAATGAGACTCCGTCTCAAACAAACAAACAAAAAAAGTTTTAGATGAGCTCTGCCAGTAGTAAACGGCTTGTAAAAGAAACCCGGTATCTGGTCAAGTCCTAAGTGACCTGAACCACGCATCTTCAGGACTCTACTGGGATGACTGTAACCTGAACGCGGTTCCTAGAGCAGAGCAAGCATATTCCTTGGACTCAGTAACACAAGGGGCCAGTCCTCTCCAGCATCCCAGCTGCCACCGCCCTGTCAGGCTCCCCAGGCAATTGTCCATCTTACTCCTTCTCCAGCGTGGACGCTTAAGGGGAGGGAGCATCCCTCCTCGAGGGTCAACTGGCATGTAGCTTACGAAGACCGCGTGAGTTCTCCAACCCCAGACTTGCTGCGGGGCGGGGACGTGGGGGTGACAAAATCCAGACTACGACCCTCCATGAGCCCTGGCAACCCCGGGGTGACCCCAACACCGATGAGGCCACGCGCGCTCCAGCTCTGACACTCCTTCCAGATCGGCGGGGCCTGAAACAGCGGGCTAAGCTTCACCTACGGCTGAGCGTCAGATTCAGCTGAGGAGATTCTAAAAGCGCTATGCTGGGCCCAGACCCAGGCCCTCCAGAGCAGAACGCGGAGGGGCCCGACCCCAGTCTGGTGGCGTAGGTGTGTGACAAAGTATGAGGGCGCGCCAAGCTCTCCAGTTCCACATCTGCTGTCGAGTCCAGCGCCTGCCACGCTCCCGTGCGGGGACCCGCCCAAAACTCCCTGGAAGCCAGGCGATTCAGACCCCGCCACCGCGTCCCCAGAGACTGGGCGGAAACCGGAGACTCGCCTCCCGAACCCGCGAAACTATCTCCCGCGAGACTGCCCCGCCCCAACCCCGCCCCGCAACTCTACTCCCTGATTGGCTGGAATTACGGCCGGATTCCGGAGTCCTTTCCAGCTCCCTCTTCGGCCGGGTTTCCCGCCGAATACAAAGGCGCACTGTGAACTGGCTCTTTCTTTCCGCCAATCATTTCCGCCAGCCATTCATCACCGATTTTCTTCATCTTCCCCTCCCTCTTCCGTCCCGCAGTCCCCGACCTGTTAGCTCTCGGTTAGTTAAGGGACTCGGGTCCTTCCGAACTGCGCATGCGCCACCGCGTCTGCAGGGGGAGAAGCGGGCAGGGGCGCAGGCGCAGTAGTGTGATCCCCTGGCCAGTCCCTAAGCACGTGGGTTGGGTTGTCCTGCTTGGCTGCGGAGGGAGTGGAACCTCGATATTGGTGGTGTCCATCGTGGGCAGCGGACTAATAAAGGCCATGGCGCCAGCAGAAATCCTGAACGGGAAGGAGATCTCCGCGTAAGCACCTGACATTGTTGTTGAGTGTGGGGCTGTGGACGAGGGCTCTGAGGGTGTGCAGGTCCCCCGGACCCATTTTTTGCGGGAGGGACACTTGTAGCGGAAGAGTTAGGCCCATAACACCTGAAGACCTGCAGCCAAAGAAAGAGAACCCGGGCACAACCTGCGTTTGCAAGTGGACTGCCTAGTGGCTGTAGCCGCTGGCTCCTGTGCTTCGGGGAAAAGTCCTGTGCCGACTATGCTCCCAAACGCGCAGCTGCTGGTGACTTTCTGCCGGGAGAGTGGGTAGTTGCGGCTTCCTGGAGCCCCCCTAGTCAGAACTCAGAAATCCAATCTACTTAATTCCCGTTAATTTGGAGGTGAGTAGATGGAGACTAGTGAGGTGACAAGGCTTGACAAGACTACAAGGCTGATAATGACAGAGGGTCCTTCCAGCTCATAGCTTTTCCCACTATACCATAGTCTTATCATACGCTAAGTGAAATCTAATACATTTTTCCTTTCTCTTCAATCTCGTGCTTCTCTCTAACAGCCATCTCTCTGCCCTGGTCCTAGAGTTACTTGAAACGTAATTTGGCTCCTGAGTCCTGAGAATATTCTGCATTCCACTTGACCTCTGCCTGTTCTACCCTTGCGGGACATCTGAATGCTTAATTAGTGGGTATCGTTGCCAGCTTTACTCCCAGGAAGTAACACTGGCTGCTTTTTGTCTGGGAGGTGACTGGTGAGGAAAAATGAGAGTAGAAGGAAGAGGGAAAAATATATTCCCTCTAGTAGATGAAGGAGGGAAAGATATATTCTGTGTGACCTTACTGAGTTTGCTCTTGGGACCTTTCACATCACCCGTTATGTAAGTAACTGTTGCCAGCCACAGCAGTTACTAAATTGTAATTGTCCTGTAACTCCTAACTTTGTAATAGGTTTTTGAGTGAATTACAAAGTCATCGGTGGTGAAAAGTCCGGGCCCAGTGGCTCATGCCTGTAATCCCAGCACTTTGGGAGGCCGAGGTGGGTGGATCACCTGAGGTCTGGAGTTCAAGACCAGCCTATCCAAAATGGTGAAACCCCATCTCTACTAAAAATACAAAAAATTAGCCGAGTGTGGTGGCAGGCATCTGTAATCCCAGCTACTTGGGAGGCTGAGGCAGGAGAATCACTTGAACCTGGGGGGCAGAGGTTGCAGTGAGCTGAGATGCGCCATTGCACTCCAGCCTGGGCAACAAGAGCGAAACTCCGTCTAAGAAAAAAAAAAAAAGAAATCACAATACTTACTGCTTAGTGCTTTTCAACATGTGGCTTGCTAAACTGTATTTCTGCTTTACTTTCTGTTTTTGTTTGCTTGTATTCAAACTTACTTCCTTTTCCAGTGGCTTTTTGTTTTAATATAAAAATCTTCCTTTTAGAAAGACTGATTGTGAAGAGATAATTTAGTGCATAATAATAGTGCAGATAATTTAGTACAATAATAATGCATCTGGGCCAGTACTGAGAATAGGTGCTCACTGAATATACTTTCGTTAATTGGAGAGCAAATTAAATATGTTTATCAACTCCATAAGGGCAAATACATGTATTGTCTTATTTTTGTCTATATCCTAAACACCTGGAAACCCTGTTTCCTGCCTTACTACTTGTGTGGTTTTAAGCAAATTAATTAACCTTTCTGTGCCAAAGTTTCCTCAAATGTTAAGTAAAAGTAATGTCTAGGTCATTGGGATGTTAGTAGAATTAAATGGGTTCCTAACAGATGATCATTTATAATTCTTCCTGGCACATAATAAGTATTCGATATATGTTGTATTAATAATCAGTAATTAGTTAATGTATATATGAATGATTCATTATCTTTTTTTTTTTTTACATGGTAGCTGCTGCCTTGAGATCTATTTTTTTTTTTGAGATGAAGTCTTGCTGTGTCCAATCTTGGCTCACTGCAACCTCTGCCTCCTGCATACAAGCAATTCTCTCATATCAGCCTCCTGAGTACCTGGGATTACAGGTGCCCGCCATCACGCCTAGCTAATTTTTTTTTTTGAGATGGAGTTTCACTCGTCGCCCAGACTGGAGTACAATGGCGTGATCTCGGCTCACTGCAACCTCTGCCTCCTGGGTTCAAGCGATTCTCCTGCCTCAGCCTCCCAAGTAGCTGGGATTACAGGCGTCCGCCACCATGTCCAGCTAGTTTGTTTGTTTGTTTGAGACAGAGTTTCACTCTTGTTGCCCAGGCTGGAGTGCAATGGCATGATCTTGGCTCACTGCAACCTCCACCTCCCAGGTTCAAGCGATTCTCCTGCCTCAGCCTCCCGAGTAGCTGAGACTACAGGTGTGTGCCACCCCGTCCGGCTAATTTTTGTATTTTTAGTAGAGACGGGCTTTCACCATGTTGGTCAGGCTGGTCTGTAACTCCTGACCCCATGTGATCCACCCACCTCGGCCTCCCAAAGTGCTGGGATTACAGGCATGAGCCACTGCACCGGTCCTAGAATTTCTTAAAAATCCAGCCCACTTCCCACATTCCATCCTGCGGATTAGGAAATCATTTGAGGCCAGAAAAGTGATGTGATTTGTCCAAGGGTGAATGGCAATGGCTCAACTAAAACTAAGGTCTTCACCCAGTATATGATGTTTTTCATTCTAACCAGCACTTACTACTTGCTAAAAGGAATTTCGTAAGCTTTTCTTTTTCTTTTCTTTCTTTCTTTCTTTTTATTTTTCAGACAAGGTCTTGCTCTGTTGCTCAGGCTGGAGTGCAATGGCACGATGTTGTCTCACTGTAACCTCCACTTCCTGGGTTCAAACGATTCTCCTGCCTCAGCCTCCCAGGTAGCTGGGACTACGGGCATGCACTACTATGCCCGGCTAATTTTTGAATTTTTAGTAGAGATGGGGTTTCGCCATGTTGGTCAAGCTGGTCTTGAACTCCTGACCTCAAGTGATCTGTCCACCTCCACCTCCTAAAGTGCTAGGATTACAGGTGTGAGCCACTGCGCCCCCGCTGGCGCTTTGCTTTTTCTTTACAGTCTTCCTCTCATTAGCATGTTTCCCACCCTGCTGAGAATGCTATCCCTGACTCGTCCTCTTCTATTATTATTCTCCTTTTATGCCTTCCTGGGAGCTCGGACATCAACAAAGTTCAGCATTCCAGATTCCTTCTCTACCTGCTCTACTCTGTGGGAAACTGGGTACTTACATGATGGATTTAGTTGCCAAATTATCTTTCTTTGGAAGTAACAGCCCCTTTTCTCCCTCACGGGGAATTCTAAGTTTGCAGCCTGAATTTGACAACCGGGGGAAGGTCTGAGAGTTAGAGACAAGTATCTGTTCTTTGTGGGTATTTATTCACTTACTCAACAAGTAGCTGTATGTGTCCCCTAAGCCAGGCAATCTTCAAAGCTCTGAGAGTCTAATAGTGAACAAAACAGCCCAAATCCCTACCCTCATGAAACTTGCATACTGATGGGTAGAGACAGACATTTAAATAGGTGAAACACATTGTGAGCTGGTGGGAAGCACAAAGAGAACACCAGAGCAGAAAAGAGGGACAGGAGTTTCTGTGGTATGGTGGCTGCAATTTTAAATATGGGAGTCATAGTCTTTGTAAAAGTGACTTACGGGCAAAGACTTGAAGGAGGTGGAGCCTTAAGCCTGCCAATGTTGTGAGGGAAATAGCTCCTGACCAAAAACACAGCCTGTGCCATAGACCTTTGTCCTCACCAGTTACTAACTTACTGCTTTGGGGGGTCAATGGCAATGGCCCTGTGAGAAGCTGACCGAGTGGAGGCTCCTGAGTAGAGGAACCTGACCCTGCCCTGGGCAGAAGGGTGGTGTCTTTTAAAAGATTATGCAAAGTGGGAGAAGGATGTGCATTAGTGTTGGAAGACCCACCTTGCTTTGTAGGCAAGAAAGCATAGTTGTTCTATAAGTGGGCCTTTCAAAGGGGGGCTTACTACATTTATATGATTTGTTTGGTTTTTCCTTCCCTTAGTTTGCTATAATTAAGCCTGCTCTCTCCATTGGTGGCATTTTTCTTGATTAAGTCTCCTTTCTAAAGAGACTGGTTGTGAAGAGGCAGATGGTTTGAGTAGGTGCTGCGAGTGTTTGCTGGCCAAGTGCAGGGCAAGTTGGGTATATTTGTAAGCTCGCTGTGGATGGTAGCTCCAGAGCCTAAGCACGGTGCTGCCTCCTCTGTGCATCACTGGGTCATGCAATTTACCTCTGTGCCTTAGCTTCTGTATATTGGGGTAGTAATGTCACCTAACTCATAAGGTTGTTAGAATTAAATGAGTTTAATACCTATAAAGCATTTAGAGAAGTTGTTGGTACATGGTAAGTTTTAATAAATAGGTACTTAGAAAGTACTCATTGAATAAAAAAGTGATGTTTGTGTTTATCCAGGCTGTACCTTTGGGAGCTGGCTTATAATCTTGAGACTTAAAATTAGAATTTATCCTAGTGATCAAAGATAAAAGTTTGGAACCTTGGCTGTACATTTAGCTACAGGGCTAGAAGAACTGTTTTTGTGAAAATAATTTGCTTACCATAGTGAAGGGCAGGTCTTCTTGGTTACTAAGTTAACATGGATAAGACTTTTACTTTGTCCTGTAGATTAAATACATGTAGGCCCTTTTGTGCTTAAAAAGATTTGTCTGGGCAGGGCGTGGTGGCTCATGCCTGTAATCCTAGGACTTTGGGAGGCCCAGGCAGGAGGATCACCTGAGATCAGGAGTTGGAGACCAGCCTGACTAACATGGTGAAACCCCATCTCTACTAAAAATACAAAATTAGCTGGGCATGGTGGCCCATGCCTGTAATCCCAGCTACTCCAGAGGCTGAGACAGGAGAATGGCTTGAACCTGGGAGGAGGAGGTTGCAGTGAGCCAGTGAGCCAAGATGGCGCCATTGCACTCCAGCCTGGGCAACAAGAGCAAAACTTCATCTCAGAAAGAAAAAAAAAAAAAATTTGCCTGTAATGAACTCCAAAGTGCAGGTTGCTCAAAAGTTACATGGAAACTTGACTGTCATAGCTGGATTGATTCTGGAAGCCTGTGCAGGAGAGGTCGGAGTTCCAGAGAGGCTGGGACCTTCAGCTAGGACCCCAGCCAGGCTGTTGGGCAGGTTGCAGCGATAGTGCAGCAGAGCCCAGAGCTGGCAGCCAACTACTATGGTCATGGCACCTGATTGGGGATGTGGTTTGCAAATAAGTGTCTGTCCTTGTCCATCAGGGGAGTTGGGATCAGGCAGTTTGGGATTTGGGTAGTGGGGTTTTGAGCAGAGGTCTGTGGTTCCCTGTTACATCCCCTATTTGCATGAAGAATCTTCTAGAAGGAAAGCTGGCCTAGTACAGAGGAGGGTCCTTGGAGTGGAAGCAAATGGCTCCCTTCTCCTCTAATTGACTCAGTAGAGGTTGGTAGAATAGAGGTTAAGGGGCAGGGATGCTTGTGTGGCCTTGGAAAAGTTAGCTTCACTTTCCTTTCTGTGCAGTAGGGATGATGAGAACTGTCTACTTCCTGACGTTGCCCCAAGGATTAAAAGAATGTAAGACTCTCAAAACAAGCTTCTTTGACGTCCCATCCACAGTGCAGAAGGCCCCCATTACCCCTGCACTGTGCGGTTGGCTCTCCTTTGCACCCCTTAATTGACCAAAAAGCAGCTTCTGTCACCCTGTAAATCCTTGACCTTGAAGAAGTGGGTGGCTAAAGGTGCCACAGTCAAGATTCCTCAGCCACTCGGCTACTACCCTTACCCTCAATTTTGCAGTTTATGACACTTTAGCCAGAAGCTAAGTGACTTGCCCAGGTGTTCCAAGGTAGGTGGCAGAGGCTCGATGGTGCATTTCTTTCCCTACCATGGGCTTGTCATTGGCTTGCTAGAAGGAATTGCAAACTTCTACCCTCCAGCAGGAGACACCCTGGGTTTGGTTCTCCCTGAGGCCTTTCCATTGTGAGGAAATCATTCCACCCATCAGTCTGGTTGGGAAGCACCCAAACAGATTCTCTTCAAAAAGTCATTTTTGAAGTTATAGTCCAATTTTGACTGGTTAGAGACAGGTCAGACCTACTTACTTTGCTGGCTAAGCTTTTTTTTTTTCTTTGCCCCTCACCACAAGCCTGGACGGGAGACGTACTGCTTGGTATCTGGTGCTTGAGAGGTCCCAGGAGATAAGGGAGCATTTCTGTGAAAGGTTTTGCCAGAGCCTGTCAGGAACTTAATCTTGACTGCAATGAATGACTTAACATTATAAGTGATCTTTGGGTTTAGGTGCCCAAATACCAGTCCCTCCTTAGTAAGCAGCCTTTTAGACCTAACCTTTTCTACCTAAGGTTTTGTTCAGTCTTTTTGAAAAGCAGGAAGGCCAGGTCCTTGTGAGGCTTTTCTCATTACAAGCTCTTGGCAGGTTCTTCCCTCCAAGTGGAGAACCCTTACCTTCCCCATTCTTTCTACCTTCCCCTCTGATGATCCAGAGGGCTGCAAGGGACCTAGAGCTGTTCATTGGAGCCCTAGTCAGCTCTAGCGGCCAGATCTATGGTTAGGTAATCCTCCAATAGTGAGACTAATTCTCAGTGTTAGAATTAGGGGTCTGCCTGTTCTCACCAGCAGACCCACTGGCATCAACTCTCCTTTGTTGACATATAGTTAAGCACCGCTTCTTACAGATCCTCATACTCAGAGCCAACCTTGTCTTGTCTCATAACTCTTGCTACTGGCAGAAGGTGATAAAATTGTGGCCTAGAGGCCAAATGTTTTTTGTTTGGCTTACAGAATTAGATTACTTCTCAACACATTTATTACTTTACAACATTAGATTACTTCTTAACACACTTATGCCTGTAGTTACACATAAAAATCTGGATGCTTGACTTTTTGAAAGATGTGAACAGTTTAGCAATACTGTACTGTCTATCTTCATGCCATCAATTTGTTGGATCTGAGTAGATGCTGCCTACCCCCTCATCCTTGAGTGGGTGGGGGTGGGGGAGGTGGGACCTCATTGTTCAGGAATCCTACCACACTTGGTTGCCTGTACCAGGACTCCGAAGGTTCTTTCCTCTTTGAGACCTTTTTCTGAATGAACTTATGGTCCACTTTTAAAATCCTAAATTTTATAAAGCCTTAACCAGTCCAACCTAGTCCGTTTATTGCATTAGATCAGAGGTTGTCAAATGGGGCAGTTTTTTCCTCCCTCTACCTCAGGGCATTGGGCATGCCTGGAGTCTTTTGGGTTGTCATATGGGGAAGGGGTATGCTATTGGCATCTAGCAGTAGAGGCCAGGACTGGTGCCGAGCATCCTGCAGTGCACAGGATAGTCCCCATAACAAAGGATGATCTGGTCCAAATGTCAGTGGTGCTGAGATCGAAAAACCCTGATCAAGAAGCTTAATGTGAGTTATTGTGTCATTGTGTGTGTGGATTAATGATGGACTTTACCCTCACTAAGAATTATAGGATTCATTAAAATTTTACACTATTCTGACTTATTTTCATGTCATAAATATCAAGCAGTTTACCTTTGCTTTCTTAGGGCTTTGAGTTAGAGACAATTGGATGGAAGAACTTTACATTATAAACTTTCAATGAAGCATAAAATAGCTTCCTCACATTAAGCTTTCAAATACGTATTTGAGGTAACTGTCAAATTTGGTAAATGTCTGGGTTAAATTATAATAATTTTTTTAGTAAATATTCTTATGTAATAATAGTACTATTGTCAGTTGACTGTCTTGTATACTGATATAGCTTTTGCTATATTAGTGATAGGTGAAAATCAGTTTTCTTTCAACAAGAAGGTAATTTAGTGTTTTAATTTGACTTAAATGACTAGCAATTTGAAATATATGTATTTCTTGGAACACTAGGTGGCCTTACAATCACAATTATTTTTACAAGGAACTACATATTAAGTTTTTAAAAATTTTTTGAAGGTTTTTTTTTTTTTTTTTTTGAGATGGAGTTTCACTCTTGTTGCCTAGGCTGGAGTGCAATGGCGCGATCTCGGCTCACCGCAACCTCTGCCTCCCGGGTTCAAGCGATTCCCGTGCCTCAGCCTCCCGAGTAGCTGGGATTACAGGCATGCGCCACCGCTCCCAGTTAATTTTTTTTTTTTTTTTTTGTATTTTTAGTAGAGACGGGGTTTCACCGCTCAGGCTGTGTCAAACCCCCCAGCTCAGGTGATCCACCCACCTCAGCCTCCCAAAGTGCTGGGATTATAGGCGTGAGCCACCGTGCCCAGCCGAAGTATTTTTTAGTAGTATAAAAATTGTTAATGAACAAATGAAATAAATCAACAAATGAACAAAATGGGAATAAAACATATTAAATAAAACATTTGTGTTCTGCATTTTAAAAATCTTATAATAGCTGGGCGCCGTGGCTCACTCCTGTAATCCCAGCACTTTGGGAGGCCGAGGAGGGCAGATCACGAGGTCAGGAGATCGAGACCATCTTGGCTAACACGGTGAAACCCCGTCTCTACTAAAAAATACAAAAAATTAGCTGGGCGTGGTGGCGGGCGCCTGTAGTCCCAGCTACTTGGGAGGCTGAGGCAGGAGAATGGCTTGAACCCGGGAGGCGGAGCTTGCAGTGAGCCGAGATCGCGCCACTGCACTCCAGCCTGGGAGACGGAGGGAGACTGCGTCTCAAAAAAAAAAAAAAAAAAAAAAAAAAAAAAAAAAATATATATATATATATATATATATATATATATATATATATATATATATATATAAAAAACAGTAATCTATTGGGGCAGGGGATAAATTGTGTCCTTGTTTAGAAGAAGACTTTTTTTTTTTTAGAAGAAGCCCTGTTGTTTTTGTTGTTGTTATTTGTTTGTTTGTTTGTTTTGAGACGGAGTCTCAGTGGGTCGCCCAGGCTGGAGTGCAGTGGCGCGATCTCTGCTCACTGCAACCTCTGCCTCCCGGGTTCAAGCGATTCTCCTGCCTCAGCCTCCTGAGTAGCTGAGACTACAGGCGCGTGCCACCACGCCTGGCTGATTTTTCGTATTTTTTAGTGGAGACGGGGTTTCACCATATTGGCCAGGCTGGTCTCGAACTCCTGACCTCGTGATCTGCCTGCCTTGGCCTCCCAAAGTGCTGGGATTGCAGGCGTGAGCCATCATGCCCGGCCCGAAGCCCTGTATTTTGAAGGTGAATGTTTTTGCTTCTTCTCTGATCAGTTACTAAAAGTGTTTTCCCTGTGCCATTTGAGAATTATTTGAGAACTACTCTAAGCTTATGGCACATTTCAGCATTTTTGTTGTCTAAAGGCAGCTGTATTTTAATCATGTAAATTTCATGCTGCCTCCTTTGCCTACCATATAGCTTCTGTTGAAATGTCCATGTTATATTTTATTTTATTTACTCATTTTTCTATATCCATAATAAGAGTTAAAGGTTATATTTTAGCAATGTGTTTTTTTCTCTGTCATAACATGTTAAATATTTTAAATTCAGCCATGATGTTAAACAGAGTGAATTGGAATTTCTAACGGATTTCGGCAGGAATGATTATATAAGACTTAGGGCCAAAGAGAGCCTGGGTGACTGTGTAGGGGTATTAGGCTATGCCCAGCACCACATCTGGTTGTCATTCAGGGGAGCAGCTAGGGCTGGAACTGCTGGGGAGTGCAAACTGCAGTATTCCCTGTTCCCTTGTCTCAGAGCAGAATTGTGGCCTCTATCCAGGTCCAATCCCAGTTAAAAAAAAAAATTCCAATGGTCTATTCTTCTTTTGAGCTATATTATTGTAGAGAATACTGACTTGAAAAAACAAAGTCACTAACTAGAAATAAAATTTGAACTGGGTGCAGTGGCTTATAACTGTAATCCCAGCACTTTTGGGAGGCCAAGGTGGGAGGATCACTTGAGCTCAGGAGTTCAAGATCAGCCTGGGCAACATGGCAAAATCCCATCTCTACAAAAAATACAAAAATTAGCTGAAGTGTGGTGGTGTGCACCTGTAGTTCCAGCTACTTGGGAGGCTGAAGTGGGAGGATGGCTTGAGCCCAGGAGGTGGAGGTTGCAGTGAGCTGTGATTGCATCACTGCACTCCAGCCTGGGTGATAGAGCCAGACCCTGTCTCAAAAAATAAAATAAATAAATAAAAATCAAAATAAATAAAATTTGAAAATCTTGGGTATGACTTCTTTCTTGTACCATTCAACATTCTTGATGTTTACTAGGCCAGTCCAAATAATCTATTTCTTGTGTGCCTGTTTATGTCAGTTTTTTGTGACGTGTGGAGAAGTGGAACTGGGAGTAACCAAATCAGAATGAAGGAAGAGCTGTTTGTGAATGTCCATATGACAAATGACAAAACTGGTTTTCCAAGAGGGACAGAGCATGTTCAAGTTGAACATTGTATCATATATCATAACTGGGCAAGGTTGAGCTATTCAGATATGTATTTATGGATGTAATTTCATTTACTTGACATCCTAGTGTATTGTTGAGAAGTTGTATGTTGGTAAATTGATCATCTTAGTTTTGCAAGAGGTTATACTTTCTTTCACTCTAATAAGGAGACTGCAGGAGGTTATACTTTTAGCCTTGTGTTAAATTCTTTGTAAAGAAAATTCTTTTGTGAATTAGAATATAATTTGTAAGTTTATACTGAATTTGGAGTGGGATTCATTGATTTATCATTCAACCTTATGTGGATACGCTGTGGTCATCTTACTAGTGCAGGTTGAGCAAAAGGTGTGTGCTTGAGTTTGTTCCTGTAAAATTTTTCATGACAGCACCTGGAGAGTGGAAATGTGAAAAAAGATGAGCATCAGCACTTTCTAGAAGTGTTGGTCTAAGTTTTCATTTATTTACTATATGATTTTGAATGCCATCAACTAATACATTTTCAATTATCCCTGAACCCTGTGGCTCAGTTAGTGTCAGTGGGAGTAAGAAAAGATCCACGTGTCCGGGAACAGTGGCTCACGCCTGTAATCCCAGCACTTTGGGAGGTTGAGATGGGTGGATCACGAAGTCAGGAGTTCGAGACCAGCCTGACCAACATGGTGAAACCCCATCTCTACTAAAAATACAAAAATTAGCCGGGCGTGGTGGCACGTGCCTGTAATCTCAGCTACTCAGGAGACTGAGGCAGCAGAATCGCTTGAACCCAGGAGGTGGAGGTTGCAGTGAGCAGATATCGCACCATTGCACTCCAGCCTGGGCAAAAGCGAGTCCCCATCTCAAAAAAAAAAAAAAAAAAAAGAAAAAAGAAAAAGATTCACATCTACTTGAGGCCTGGAAAATTGTTGGGAAGTTCCTGTACATATTAAACCAGATAATGTCCATTCAGTGGTGTTTTTATTTTATTTTATTTTATTTTGGAGACAGTCTTGCTCTATCGTCCAGGCTGGAGTGCAATGGCACCATCATAGCTCACTGCAGCCTCAACCTCCTGGGCTCCAGCCATCCTCCTGCCGCAGCCTCCTGAGTAGCTGGGACTACAGGGGCCTGCCACCACTCCCAACTAATTTTTTATTCTTTGTAGAGATGGGGTCTCACTATGTTGCCCAGGATAGTCTTAAACTCCTGTTCTAAAGCAATCCTCTTGCCTTAGGTTCCCAAAGTACTGAGATTACAGGCATGAACCATTGCCTGCTCCTGGCCAGTGTTTTTGATTTAAAAGAGAAATACAGGCCGGGTGCAGTGGCTCACGCCTGTAATCCCAGCACTTTGGGAAGCTGAGGTGGGGGGATCACCTGAGGTCGGGAGTTCGAGACCAGCCTGACCAACATAGAGAATCTCCACGTTTACTAGAAATACAAAATTAGCCAGGCTTGGTGGCGCATGCCTGTAATCCTAGCTACTCGGGAGGCTGAGGCAGGAGAATCGATTGAACCTGGGAGGTGGAGGTTGTGGTAAGCTGAGATCGCACCATTGCACTCCAGCCTGGGCAATGAGAGCAAAACTTGGTCTCAAAAAAAAAGAGAAATACAGGCCGGGTGCAGTGGCTCACGCCTGTAATCCCAGCACTTTGGGAGGCCGAGGTCCTAGATCGCTTGAGCCCAGGAATTCAAGACCAGCTTGGGCAATGGTGAAACCCATCTCTACCAAAAGTACAAAAATTAGCCAGGTGTGGTGGCACAGACCTGTAAAGTCCCAGCTACTCAGGAGGCTGGGGCGAAAGGATCGCTTGAGCCCAGGAGGTCGAGGCTGCAGTGAGCTTTGATTGTGCCACTGTACTCCCAGCCTGGGTGACAGAGCGAGACCCTGTGTTAATAAACAAACAAACAAATAAAAGAGAAATACATCTAATAATCTGCATCACTTATTTGTGCTTGAAACATTCAGTGTTAACCCCACCCTTTCCTTTTTCTCTAGGCAAATAAGGGCGAGACTGAAAAATCAAGTCACTCAGTTGAAGGAGCAAGTACCTGGTTTCACACCACGCCTGGCAATATTACAGGTATTATGATAGTGTATTTTCATTAATGTTGTCTTTGCTTGATTTCTCAGTATCATTTCAGACCTCTCCCTCTACTTTCCTCCTTTTTTTTTGGCTGTTGTGTAATCTCATGCCTTTTCAGTCTCTCTTGGCAGGCTCCCCCCTTTGGCTCAGCTTCTAAATGTTGGCATATCCTGGCCCTCTGCTCTTCTCTGTGGATACCCTTTCTCTAGGCCAGTGTCTCTTAACCTTTGGTCTTAGTAGGGCCCCTTTACAATCTTTTTTTTCTTTAATTTAATGTATTTATTTATTTATTTACTTTTGAGAGACAAGGTCTTACTCTGTTGCCAGGCTGGAATGTAGTAGTGCAATCATAGCTCACTGTAGCGTTGAACTCCTGGCTTCAAGCAGTCCTCCTGCCTCTGCCTGCCAAAGCATGGGTATTACAGGCGTGAGCCACTGTACCTGGCCCCGTTTACACTCTTAAAGATGTAAGACCTCAAGAAGCTATTGTTTATACAGATTTATCCATTAATGTTTACTATATTAGAAATTAGGAAGTTTTGGCCGGACACGGTGGCTCCTGCCTGTAATCCAGCACTTTGGGAGGCCGAGGTGGGCAGATCACCTGAGGTCAGGAGTTTGAGACCAGCCTGGCCAACATGGTGAAACCCCATCTTTATTAAAAACACAAAAATTAGCTGGGCGTGGTGGTGGGCGCCTGTAATCCCAGCTACTCTGGAGGCTGAGGCAGGAGAATCACTTGAACCCGGGAGGTGGAGGTTGCAGTGAGCCAAGATTGTGCCACTGCACTCCAGCCTGGGCGACAGAGAGATTCCGTCTCAAAAAAAAAAAAAAGAGAAATTAGGAAGTTTTAAAAATGTTTATTCATTTAAAAATGCCAATAGTGAGCTCATTTATTATATGTTAACATAAATAACATTTTATGGAACAAAAACTTTTTTAAAAAGAAAATTTAGTGAAAAGAGGGGCATTATTTTATATTTGTGCACACCTCTTTCCTGTATGGCTTAGTAGAAGAGAGCTGGAGTCCTATCTGCCTCTGCATTCAGTCTTTTGCTGTGTGCTGGTTTGATTGAAATATATGGAGAAAATTTGGCTTCATACAGATGTGTAGCTATAAAAGGGAAGAATTTTTTTAACAGTCCTTCCAGGTAATTGTGGGTATTTTTCTTTGATGTTGTACCAGGACTCAGTAAGTAAATTTTAAAAGATTAGTTGCAATGTAGAATCTGAAACTCTATCAGTGAACTTTGATACTTTGTTACATCTTCTCAGACTTGCACACTTTGTTACATCAAAATGTTACATTTGGAATGAATATTTACCCCATGCATGGTTTTGTAACATCCTTTGTTCCTCATTTGGAAAATAATAGTTCCCGGAATTATGCAGATCTTCCAAATGTTAACATTTCATTATGCAATATGAAAGAATTGGAATCATTAACATCACCAACAAGCTCATCAGAGAAGTTTTCAAGTATTGAGAAGCTGTCAAGCTCACAGGGGTGGATAAAAAATTTTAATTTTCACCCAAAAACTCACATTTTATCATTGGCAACAAATACAATTAATTGTTTCCCTTGAAATACCAGTTTCACTTTATTCATTTTTGAGAAAATATTTGTCAAATACTCAAGCCTGAATAATCATTGCTTGTCAGTTGTTATTTCAAGTAGGTGTTTCATATAAAAATGCATCTGTTTCAGCTAACAAGGCAAAAAAGCACAAGTGCAGCCTGGACAACAAAGTGAGATCCCATCTCCACAAAAAAATTAAAAAATGAGCCAGGAGTGGTCGTATAGAGGTGTGGTCCCAACTACATGAGAGGGAGACAGGAGATCACTTGAGCCCAGGAAGTCGAGGCTGCAGGGAGTTGTGTTCATGCCACTGTACTCCAGCTTAGGTGACAGTGAGATCCTGTCTCAAAAAAAAATAAAAATAAAAATAAAAAAGCACTAATGCTTTAGTAACAACCACAACCACTGTACTTCTGTATATAGCAGAAGTGCATTATGAGTGCTTCCCAATTCCTTACATAGACTATTAAAAACACATGCACTCAAGAGTTGAGGTTTATTTATATATATATATTTTTTACTTTTTTGGGACAGAGTTTTACTGTTACTCAGTGCAGTGGCACAATCTTGGTTCACTGCAACCTTCATCTCCCAGGCTCAAGTGATCCTCCCACTCAGCCTCCAGAGTAGCTGGGATTACAGGCATGCGCCACCATGCCTAATTTTTTTTTTTGAGACGGAGTCTTGCTCTGTCGCCCAGGCTGGAGTGCAGTGGTGCAATCTTGGCTTACTGCAGCCTCCGCTCCCAGATTCATGCAATTCTCCTGCCTTGGCCTCCTGAGTAGCTGGGATTACAGGCACCTGCCATTGCACCCTGCTAATTTTTTTTTTTTGAAACAGAATCTCGCTCTATCCCCCAGGCTGGAATGTAATGACATAATCTCAGCTCACTGCAACCTTTGCCTCCTGGGTTCAAGTGATTCTCATGCCTCAGCCTCTGGAGTAGCTGGGATTACAGGTGCCACGCCCAGCTAATTTTTGTAATTTTAGTAGAGATAGGGTTTCACCATTTTGGCCAGGCTGGTCTCGAACTCTTGACCTCAGGTGATCCACCTGCCTCAGCTTCCCAAAGTGCTGAGATTACAGGTGTAAGCCACTGCGCCCAGCCTTAATTTTTTGTATTTTTTTGTAGAGTTTTTTTTTGCCTTGTTGCCCTAGCTGGTCTTGAACTCTGGGACCCAAAGTGATCCTCCCATTTTAGCCTCCCAAAGTGCTGGGATTACAGGCATGAGCTACTGCGCTTGGCCTTAATTTTTTGTATTTTTTTGTAGAGACGGTTTTTTGCCTTGTTGCCCAGGCTAGTCTCCAACTCCTGGGCTCAAAGTGATCCTCCCGCCTTGGCCTCCCAAAGTCCTGAGATTACAGGCATGAGCCACTGTGCTCGGCCAAGTTGAAGTTTAAGAAAATTAATAATGTATATTTCTTCATCAAGGGTGGTCCTAGTGAAACTGGCATTTAGTTTTACTGGGAGTGTGTGGTAGTGAAGGATACCTTGACTACTAGTCCAAAGCCATTGTCTTGATTTGTGCTGGTTCACTAGTAGTCTTACACACCATTGCTTTTGCACCATCGGTACAGACGTTAACACAATGAAAAAGGCAAACAACATTGTAGTGGTATTATTATGAAGCTAGTCTGGCCCTCATAAATCTTTGAAAAGGTCTTGGGGTCCCTCAAGAGTGTGTGGGCCACATTATCAGAACCATTATTTTAGGCAGTTTCATCTATCAGGCCAGTGACTTCTAAATCTAGATTTCTTCTGAGCTCCAGGCTCTTGGTCTGGGACACCACTGGTTTCCTTCCCACCTTCAAGTCTCCTTTGCTTGTTGTTGCTCATCACCCTAATACCTAAACCATTTGAATGCCTTGGGCTCACCCTTGAGATCTCTTCCCCATCTTATTCTTTCCCTAAGTAACCTCACCCAGTCCCATAGCTTCATGAGGGAATGCTTCCAAATTTAGGTCTCTATCCAGTATTTCTTCCCTGAGCTCCAGATTCACCCAGTAGGGAGATATTCAATACATATTTTTACGGACAAATGTATGAAGGAATGTTTGCAATCTTGATTTGGATGACAGGAAACTCACGGCTTTCATTTGAAACTCCCATCAGAGTTTCACCCAAGTTGGACATAGTCTCCTTCTCAATCTCTTTATTTGTATGTCTCCAATAGATCATTTAATCCCTTGCTAAATTTCTATCCCTTGTTCATCAAGAATGTCAAGGTGGGCATGGTGCGGTGGCTCATGCCTATAATCCCAGCACTTTGGGAGGCTAAGGCGGGTAGATCACTTAAGGTCAGGAGTTTGAGACTAGCCTGGCCAACATGGTGAGAACTCATCTCTACTCAAAATACAAAAATTAGCCAGGTGTGGTGGTGCACACCTGTGATCACAGCTACTCAGGAGGCTGAGGCAGGAGAATCGCTTGAACCTGGGGGACAGAGGTTGCAGTGAGCTGAGATTGTGCCACTGCACTCCAGCCTAAGACTCCGTCTCAATTTAAAAAAAAAAAAGTCAAAGTGAATAGTACTTAAATATTCCCCTCTCCTCCTCTGCTGTTTGTCTAAGAGGGCTTAGCTGAGAAGAAAAGCACAGAAGGCCTGTCACTCTCTGCCTGGCATGTTCTCTGCTGTGGTGGATTTTCCCTTTTTTGCAAATTACTAAGAATCAAAAGTATATATTGTGGGTGTATACTGGTACATTTGGTGGCTGGTTATTTCTTGGCTTATTTTTGCAAATTGTTTGTTGTAGAAAGAGTAAATGTCATAGGCAAGAAGTATACCCTTTTTAAAGCAACATTGGGGGTGTTTTTTTTCCTCCATTTTAAAAACTGACTTCCAACCTTGTTTTTTAAATTTATTGATTACAAATGTTTTTATTACATAAACACTGTTCTACAGCTCGTCTCCTACGTCCTTGCTGATAAAACAGTGGTAGAATCTTTTAATTTTGTACTTTAGCACCAGAGTCAACAGCTTTCTGTGATACAAGGTTTATATAATATGTTGTAATCACATCTCCCTGCCTCAGACCTCTAGTCTTTTTCGCTGTGGTGCTGGCACCACCATCTTCCCACATTCCCTGAGCTAGAAGCCTGAGGCCGTCTCCTTAGGAGCTCTCTTCCTCACTCCCTGCATCCAGTTAGGGGCTATTGTCCTATTGATTGTGCCTCTCATCAACTCTTGGAATCTGTTGCCTCCCCTTGATTCCTATTTCTCCCAACCCTGGGGCCACTATAGTTACCTGCTTAATGATTTGGGGTTCTATCTATATACCTCCTGTCTGTCCTCCTGACTGCAATTGCAATCCTTGTTAAAATGCAAGTCTGATCACAATCTATCCAGCCACACTCACTCTCCATCCTTTACCAGAATGATAGTACAAGTTGAGTATCCCTTATCCGAAATGCTTGGGACAAGAGTGTTTTAGATGTTGGAATCTGTATATACATAGGGATGAGATCCAATTCTAAAGCAAAATTTATTTGTGTTTCATTATATACCTTATACTTGTAGACTGAAGGTAATTTTATATATATGTGTGTGTGTGTATATATATATATAATAATAATTATTATTATTATTATTTTTTTTGAGACTGAGTTTTGCTCTTGTCACCCAGGCTGGAGTGCAATGGCACGATCTCGGCGCACTGCAACCTCCACCTCCTGGGTTCAAGTGATTCTCCTGCCTCAGCCTCCTGAGTAGCTGGGATTACAGGTGTGTTCCACCACGCCTGGCTAATTTTTGTATTTTTAGTTGAGATGAGATTTCACCATGTTGGTCAGGCTGGTCTTGAACTCCTGACCTCAGGTGATCCGCCTGCCTCGGCCTCTCAAAGTGCTAGGATTACGGACATGAGCCACTGCTCCCGGCCAATTTTATATATTTTTAATAATATTTTGCATGAAATGCACTTTTAACTGTGTTTTGACTGTAAGCCATCACATGAGGCCAGGTGTGGAATTTTCTACTTTTGGCGTTGTCAGTGCTCAAAGTTTCTGATTTTGGAGCATTTTTTATTTGTGGTTTTTTTTTTTTTTTTTTTTGAGACAGGGTCTCACTCTGTTGTCCAGGCTGGAGTGCAGGGGTGTGATCACAGTTCATTGCAGCCTGGATCTCCCAGGCTCAAGCTATCCTCCCATCTCAGCCTCCTGAGTAGCTGGGACTACAGGCATCCAGCTAATTTTAGTATTTGAGACAGAATTTCTCCATATTGCCCAGGCTAGTCTCAGACTGAGCTCAAGTGATCCACCTGCCTTGGCCTCCCAAAGTGCCGAGTCACCGCACCTGACTGATTTTGGATTTTTGAGTTAGGGATCTTCAACCTGTACTACTTATATAGAGTGTCTACAATAATTCAAATTGTTTGTTTATATTTCTAATCGTTCTATGTTTTATACTACCCTACGATGTAGGAGATGTCCCCTTATAGCCATAGTAACTCATGCTCAAAGATCTTGGGTAGCTTGCCCAAAGCCAGTCAGGAAGGGACTGAGTCTGGGAAATGAACCCAGATCTGTCTCTAAAACCCATTTGTTCTTCCCCTTTGTTTTCCTAATTCCTTAGCAATGCATTCAAGAACATTCATGATCTGGCCCAAGTATATATTTAAAAGTTGAGTTTTCATTTTTTTTTAATAAAGTGGATGAGTAACTTCCCAAATAACTGAATATTTATAGGAAATTAAGACTTGACTTTTCATTATAAGAGATACTAATGGGCTAGGCATGGTGGCTCACGCCTGTAATCCCACCACTTTAGGAGGCCAAGGCGAGTGGATTGCTTGAGCCCAGGAGTTCAAGACCAGCCTGGGAAATATAGAGAGACTTTGTCTCCAAAAAAATACAAAAATTAGCTGGTTGTGGTGGTGCTTGCCTGTAGTCCCCACTACTGAGGAGGCTGAGCTGGGAGGATTGCTCACGCCTGGGAGGTTGAGGCTGCAGTGAGCTGTAATCGTGTCATTGCACTCCAGCCTGGGTGACAGAGCAAGACTTTGTCTCAAAAAAAAAAAAAAGTTTCTGGTAAGGTGATAGAAATACAGCCTCAGCCCCATAGCCTCATTAGTATCTCTCACTCTCTCTCTTTTTTTTTTTTTTTTGAGTCAGAATCTTGTTCTGTCATGCAGGCTGGAGTGCAGTGATGTGATCTCTGCTCACTGAAACCTCTGCCCTCCCCTGTCCCCCAGGGGATCCTCCCACCTTAGCCTCCCAAATGAGCTGGGACTACAGGCACACCACCATGCCCAGATAATTTTTGTATTTTTTGTAGAGATGGGGTTTCGATATGTTGCCCAGGCTGGTCTTTAACTCCTGGGCTCAAGCAATCCACACACCTTGACCTCCCAAAGTGCTGGGAGTATAGGCATGAGCCACTGCACCTGGCCAAAAAACTGATTTTTAACAGTATTCGGGAACTATTCAGAGTGCTTTATGTATAGTAACTCATTCAGTCCTCACAAAATACATGGACAGAATACAGTTAATAAACTCAACTAGCCTGTATCTTCATAAGGTTTTCTGAAACAGAAAGAAAAATGAACCAGTAGACCAATACCCAAGATATCTTACGGTGTAGAACACAGATTAGTAAACTGTGGCCCGTATCCAAATGCTGCCCAGTTTATAAAGAGTTAAAAAAGCAATAGCAGCAGCTGCTGTGACACGGTATGTGTCCCACAAAGCCTAAAATATACACCGTCTGCCCCTCTACAGAAAGTTTGCAGACTCCTGGTATAAAAAAAAAGTGTCCCTAACCTGTTCTGGAATAGGATCTTTTTTGGATGATGTAGTACTCAGCCACCTTCAAGGAGAAATCAGCATTCTTTTTTTTTTTTTTTTTTTTGAGATGGAGTTTCACTCTTGTCGCCCAGGCTGGAGTGCAATGGCACGATCTTGGCTCACTGCAACTTCTGCCCCCGGGGTTCAAGGGATTCTCCTGCCTCAGCTTCCCAAGTAGCTGGGATTACAGGTGCACACCATCATGACTGGCTAATATTTGTATTTTTAGTATAGATGGGGTTTCACCATCTTGGCCAGGCTAGTCTCGAACTCCTGACCTTAGGTGATCTGCCCGCCTTAGCCTCCCAAAGTGCTGGGATTACAGGCGTGAGCCACCATGCCCGGCCAGAATACACGTTCTTTAAACATTCTTTTTGCATCTAGTCTATCAATGGTTCTATAACCACTTTCCCCTATAAAATGCCTATACTGGCCAAGTGTGGTGGCTCACACCTACCTAGCACTTTGGCAGGCTGAGGCAGGAGGATTGCTTAAGCCCAGGTGTTTGAGACCAGCCTGGGCAATAGAGAAACTCCATTTCTACAAAAAATACAAAAATTGGCTGTTTGTGGCAGCGTGTACTGGTAGTCCTAGCTTCTTGGGAAGCTGAGGTGGGAGGATTGCTTGAGCCTAGGAGTTGCAGGCTGCAGTGAGCCATGATCATGCTACTGTACTCTAGGCTGGGTGGCAGAGTAAGACCCTGTCTCAAAAATAATAAATAAATAAATAAAACCTATACTAAGAGTGACTCTTTGAATTGGCTTTTAGATGTCTTTTCCAATAAAACTTTGACATACGCTCATAACTATAACTATTAAGTTTTCTTTCTGGAACTGGTTGTAGTTTTAGTGTTTTAGACAAACTCCTTCAGAAATATTCAGGCCGAAAATAGTTACATGTAAAGGAACAACAACAGCGAGAGACTTCAGACTTCTCCTGTGTGACATTAGATGCCAAAGACAACATCTCCGAAGGAAAATGCTGTCACTCCAAATCAGGCAAGGCCAGTCAAGTGCAAGGGACAGCAGAAAAATATTTTCAGTTATACAGACTTAGAAACATGTCCACCTACCTTTCCTGGAAAACTGACTTATAAGTTACATTTCACTTACTTGAAACATGAATGAAGATAAATTCTAGAACAGAGAAGTTGTGGCTTCCTTACTGGCAGCAAGTGATAAAACAATTTAATCTCAGAGTTAAGACTAAATAACTAGTGGTAGGTATAAATATGAATGAAATTGTAAAAAAATAATACTTTTGTATTTAGAACCACCTCCTTTCCTACTTTGATCTAAAAATTCCGGAATGTATCAAATCTGGTAACTGAACCAGTGAGGGTTGGGTGGTGGGGCAAAGAACATACATAGAAAGTGACCAAAGAGGAAACATGAGAGGCACGAAAAGTCTAGGGAAGCCCCTACGAGAAGCATCTAATGTACTTAGATACAAATAACCCATTAAAAAAAAAGGTAGAATTCCCCTCAAAGGACTCTTCTGGCTCTTGCAATTCAAATTAGCACCACAAAACTGAGAACTGTCTGTATAAGGGACAACTGAAGCTAAGATTCAGGCCATGTCCTGAGATCTGAGGAGAGCGTCCAGTAATAGCACCAATATGACAAGCTCAGAAAATCCTGTGTTACAAAAGCCGGCTTCTTTCTCTGCCATGGTCCTGTTAAAAGGAGCTGTGCTTCAGTTGTCTTTGATATGAAGGGACCACCACCTTTCCCTCTGTGATACCCTCTGCAATTCTGGGAGAAACACAACTTATGGTAGCATGTATCAACCTTGAGAAGGAGAAATACCAACCACTGGAGCATGAAACAATATTAGTACAATAAAATTTTACAAATAAATGGTTATAATGATAAACTATAAATATGTTCATGGTCAAAGAAACAGAGGGAACATAGTGAGACACTGCATGGTGGTTCAAAGGATTTAGCCTCTGCACTACAAGTTTCTCCCTGTCTCTCTCTTTTTTTTTTAAGAGACAAGGTCTCTCTCTGTTGCCCAGGCTGCCCAGGCATAGTACCATGACTCACTGTGCACTGGTGCAATCATGGAAAAACTCTTGACCTCAAGTAATCCTCCCACCTTGGCCTCCTGAGTGCTGGGACTACAGGCAGGCACCACTATGCCTGGCTAATTTTTTGTAAAGATGGGGGGGGGGGTCTCACTATGTTGCCCAGGCTGGTCTCGAACTCCTGGGCTCAAACGATCCTCCTCCCTTGGCCTCCCAAAGTGCAGGGATTATAGACCTGAGTTGCTGCACCCGGCCTCCTCTCTGTGTTGGGGCCAGCAGATTGCCCTTTGTCTTGCCTGGCTGTTTATTCTGTGTAAACTAGAGGGAGGTCCTTCCACCCTCCTTTCTATTGTCTGTGTGGCGGGGCCAGGGAGCTTTCCATTGCCCCTGCGGGTGGGGGAGAGGGTGTGGAATGTGCCCTCTGGGTGCTCCTGCCTCTCAGGCATTTTTCTTGCCTGATGACAGTTTCTCAGCCCTCCATACTCTGTTTTTCTGGTATGGCAGCAGAAATCCCACATGTTTCTAGTAGGCCTGCAGCATCCTTGCTTAGTTTCCAGTGCAGATGCAGATATCCTCTACTTTCTGTTTGGGGTTTGGCAGTGGGAACCAGGTGGGCCTTGTTTAGGGGAGGGGCTGTAACACCATCTGTGTTCACATAATCCCTCCTGCCCCCACAGCCTCCCTATACTCCTGTAAAAGTTCTCTGCAACAAGAGTCGCATGATTAAACATTTCTTTTATTAAAACTAAAATTGTAGAAGCTTTTCTGTGCACTTTGCCTTTCCCTAATCATCTGATTTGCATGCATTTATTATTCTAGGTTGGCAACAGAGATGATTCCAATCTTTATATAAATGTGAAGCTGAAGGCTGCTGAAGAGGTAACGCCAGAAGAGCTGTGCCATCACCCTCCCCAACCTCCACCTGGGTCCTATCGATTACCCCTTGCCCTTTTTGGTCCTCCCTGTGAAAACTTTTATCACCCACAGGAGACATTAGTTTATCTATTTTGTAAGTCAGAAATGGGTGGGTTAGATCTGTGGCCTCTGGTTTGCCCGTGAGTTTTTGTTTTCTCATTAATGATTTTCTTCCCAAAGAGCAGGATGTCAATTGAGGAAAGTGACAAGTCTCGATCATTTTAGGAGATTTATTTGCCAAAATTAAGGACACACCTGGGAGACAGGTCTATACCTTTCTCCGAAGATGATTTCGAGTTCTCCAAATTTAAAGAGGAAAGGGTGGGTTATTGAAAAGTACACGTTTTCATGTAAGAGGTGGGTAGGGAAAAATAGTCATTCATGACCTTCTCTGGCTCAGTGAATCTGCATTTTTTACATAAGATGACAGATGGCCGGACGCGGTGGCTCACGCCAGTAATCCCAGCACTTTGGGAGGCCGAGGCGGGCGGATCACCTGAGGTCGGGAGTTTTAGACCAGCCTAAGAAACATGGAGAAACCCCATCTCTACTAAAAATACAAAAAATTAGCTGGGTGTGGTGGCGCATGCCTGTAATCCCAGCTACTCGGGAGGCTGAGGCAGGAGAATCGCTTGAACCTGGGAGGCGGAGGTTGTGGTGAGCCAAGATAGTGCCATTGCACTCCAGCCTGGGCAATAAGAGTGAAGCTCCAACCAGAAAAAAAAAAGACGATATAGACAAGTGGGGCAGAGGAAAAATGCAGGCAATCTGCATTTTACATAAGATAACATAGACAGAATTGGGCAGGGGAAAAATCAGATATACATTTGTGTCTGGTGGGCTGGGGGGATTTACATTGCCATGGTGAAATTTTAACAGAAACATCATAAAGATGTTGCAGCTCACTACGAATTTCTTTGTGGGCAAAATATGGGGGAGGCATGTAGCTTTTCATCTTGTAACATCTTATTTAGGAACCAAAAAGGGGGAGGCAGATTTGCATGACCCAGTTCCCAGCTTGGCTTTTCCCTTTGACTTAATGAATTTGGGGTCCCAAGATTTAATTTCCTTTCTCAAGAAATAGCAAGCATGACATTGCTGAAGTGCAGTGGTGGCAATTAACAAGTGAATGATGAATGGGTTGAAGTGAGGGACTCATTCTTCAGAACATATAAGGGTGAAATGATGACCAACACCTCCTTGCTTGTTAGTCATGTCTGTAAAAGAAATGGTTCAATATCTCAAGTTGTCTTGCCATTTACCTGCTTTTAATGTCTGTTTTGCAGATTGGGATCAAAGCCACTCACATTAAGTTACCAAGAACAACCACAGAATCTGAGGTGAGCTTTTATGAGTTGATTGTGAAGAGGGAAGGTGAAGTGGTTTCCTCTCTGGTTTTGGTTTACGGGGGCTTTGGGGACTGACACATTTAGCCAAGACCTCCAGGTATTTTTTTTTTTTTTTTTTTTGAGACACAGTTTTGCTCATGTCACCCAGGCTGGAGAGCAATGATGCGATCTCGACTCTCTGCAACCTCCGCCTCCCAGGTTCAAGCAATTCTCCTGCCTCAGCCTCCCGAGTAGCTGGGATTACAGGCGCCCACCGCCTCACCTGGCTAATTTTTATATTTTTAATAGAGACGCGGTTTCACCACGTTGGCCAGGCTGGTCTTGAACTCCTGACCTGAGGTGATTTACCCGCCTTGGCCTCCCAAAGTGCTGGGATTACAGGCGTGAGCCACCACGCCTGGCACCTCCAGGTATTCTTTCTTCACAGACTCCCACAGAGGAGATGGTGCAGGGATGAACATTTGGTACTCAAAGTGTGACTGCAGTACTGTTTGCTTCCAAATCATCTGTTGTGTTTGTTAAAACTGATCCTTGGAGCCAGGCACGGTGGCTCATGCCTGTAATCCCAGCATTTTGGGAGGCCGAGGTGGGCAGATCACCTGAGGTCGGGAGTTCGAGACCAGCCTGGCCAACATGGAGAAACCCTGTCTCTACTAAAAAATACAAAATTTGCCAGGCGTGGTGGCGCATGCCTGTAATCCCAGCTACTTGGAAGGTTGAGGCAGGAGAATCACTTGAACCCGGGAGGCGGAGGTTGCAGTGAGCCAAGATCGTACCATTGCACTCCAACCTGGGAAAAAAGAGCAAAACTCCGTCTCAAAAAAATAGGTAAAACCGATCCTTGGCCTGTAATTATCTGCATTCTAAAAACCAAATATGTATTCCTTTTATATGAGGTTCAGGACTAGGCAGAACAAATCAGCGGTGATTAAAGTCAGAACTGTGGTTGCCTGTAGGTGGGAGATTAATGCTAAACTGTAGGAGGATAAAGCAACTTTCTTGAGGTTATGGCAATGTTCCATATATGCGCTGTCCAGTATGGGAGCCACTAGCCCCATGAGGCTATTTGAATTTAGTTAAAATGAAATAAAATTAAAAATTCACTTCCTTGGTTGTACTAGCCACTTTGCAAGGATTAAGTAGCTGCTATTGTATTGTAAGGTGCAAATTATAGAAAATTTCTGCCATCGCAGAAAAGATGATTGGACATTGCTGCTCTACATCTTGATTTGGATGATTGTAACATGGGTATTATTGCTGTAATAAGTTATTAGAGTTCTTAGCTCTTTTTATTTTATTGTATTGTATTTTTAGAGACAGGGTCTCACTCTTTTGCCTCAGCTGCAGCACAGTGGTGTGATCATAGCTCATTGTAGCCTCAACCTCCTAAGCTCAAGTGATCCTCCCACCTTAGCCTCTTGAGCAGCTGGGACTATAGGCATGAGCCACCATGCCCAGCTAATTTTATTTTATTTTTGAGGCAGAGTTTTACTCTTGTCGCCCAGGCTAGAGTGCAGTGGTGCAATATTGGCTCACTGCAACCTCCACCTCCCAGGTTCAAGCGATTCTCATGCCTCAGCCTCCTGAGTAGCTGTGACTACAGGCATGCGCCACCACGCCCAGCTAATTTTTGTATTTTTAATTGCCCATATTGCCCAGGCTGGTCTCAAACTACTGACCTCAAGTGATCTGCCCACTCAAGCCTCCCAAAGTGCTGGGATTACAGGCGTGAGCCACCGCACCTGTCCCCGCTTTTTTTTTTTTTTTTTTTTTTTTGAGACAGAGTCTTGCTCTGTTGCCCAGGCTGGATGCAGTGGCATGATCTCAGCTCACTGCAGCCTCCGCTTCCTGGGTTCAAGCGATTCTCATGCCTCAGCCTCCTGAGAGGCTGAGATTACAGGCATGCGCCACTATGCCCGGCTTATTTTTTATATTTTTGTAGAGACAGGGTTTCACCATGTTGGCCAGGCTGGTTTCAAACTCCTGGCTTCAAGTGATCCAGTAGCTGCTATTGTATTGTAAGGTGCAAATTATAGAAAATAATTTTCTATATTTTGGGAGGCCTGCCTTGGCTTCCCAAAGTGCTGGGATGACAGGTGTGAGCCACCACACCCAGCCCTAATTTTTTTTTTTTTTTTTTGAGGTGGAGTTTCACTATTGTTGCCCAGGCTGGAGTGCAATGGCACAATCTCAACTCACTGCTGGAGTGCAGTGGCACTATCTCAGCGGACTGCAACCTCCACCTCCCAGGTTCAAGCAATTCTCCTGCCTCAGCCTCCCGAGTAGCTAGGATTACAGGCATGTGCCACCACACCTGGCTAATTTTGTATTTTTAGTAGAGACAGGGTTTCACTATGTTGGCCCAGCTGGTCTCAAACTCCCAACCTCAGGTGATCCACCCACCTCAGCCTCCCAAAGTGCTGGAATTACAGTCGTGAACCACCGCACCCAGCCCCTGGCCCTAATTTTTAAAAAGTTTTTGTAGATATCACATTTCACTGTGTTGTCCAGGCTGGTCTTGAACTCCTGGGTTCAAGTAATCCTCCTGACTTGGCCTCCCAAAGTGCTGGGATTACAGGCATGAGACACCTCGCCCAGCCTCTTAGCTCTTTTATTTGATGGACTTCTTACCAGACACCTAGGGGATGCATTCTATGTTAAAGTACAGGTGCTCTCAGGATTCAAGGGGAAGGTACATTCTGAAAGGACTATAATTAAAGTGTTGGGGGGAAATAGGGCAACCTAATTTTTGCCTTAGAAAGTGTTTCTTCCTACCTTTTGATTTCTGTGTGATATACAAATTATATATGGTATTACTTTTAGGTGATGAAGTACATTACATCTTTGAATGAAGACTCTACTGTACATGGGTTCTTAGTGCAGCTACCTTTAGATTCAGAGAATTCCATTAACACTGAAGAAGTGATCAATGCTATTGCACCCGAGAAGGATGTGGATGGGTAAGTGTGGCTTGGCTTCCTATGTCTCATTGCATGCTTTCATTTATAATATGTTTCTATTTGGGGAATACAGCATAAATGTTTCTAAAGAGTAAAGACATCTAATTGCCTTTATTTCCTTCTTATTTCCATCACTTTTTTAAGATTGACTAGCATCAATGCTGGGAAACTTGCTAGAGGTGACCTCAATGACTGTTTCATTCCTTGTACGCCTAAGGGATGCTTGGAACTCATCAAAGAGACAGGTAAAAACAACAAACCAAACAACAAGAAAGCACCATTTCCTGAATCCTGGTCTTGACATGTGGTGGCATAGAGGAGGTACATTGTGGGCCATAAATAAATGGACTTGATTGGCAGAAGGGCCTGTCTACTAAGGATGTTACCTAAATTTTCTCTCAATTTTCTCAGCAACTCTGTGAAGTAGGTACTGTTATTGTTCAACTGCTAAGAAAATAGGCTCAGGCCAGGCACAGCGGCTCATGCCTGTTATCCCAGCACTTTGGGAGGCTGAAGCGGGCTGAGATCACCTGAGGTCAGGAATTCGAGACCAGCCTGGTCAACATGGTGAAACCCTGTCTCTACTAAAAATACAAAAAAATTATCCAGGCAGGGTGGCATGCACCTGTATTCCCAGCTATTCGGGAGGCAGAGGTGGGAGGATTGATTGAACCTGGGAGGCGGAGGTTGCAGTGAGCCGAGATCACCTGACTGCACTCCAGCCTGGGCAACAGAGCGAGACTCTGTCTCTAAAATAAACAAACAAACAAACAAACAAACAAAACCAGCTCAGAGAGAGCAAGTAACTTGTCTGGGAGACAACGGAACCAAGATTTGAATTCAGAGTTATCTGAGTTCAAAGCAATTTATTTTAACCTATACAGTAATAAAAATTTGGATAGTTTAAAAGGATATGAAGTGAAAAGCCCCACCTCCCCCCACCCCCAAAATGGGCACTGAATCTCCACAGTAGTTCCAGGACTCGACAGATGGCTGGAAATGGGTCTCCTGCACAGTTGGCCATATTGTCCCGTTACTAGTTAGCACCTTGCTATTTTAATTTCATTATGAATACTTTTAGCAGAGGTTATTTTTTACAAGGAAATGGGTCCTGGTAAAAAGAAGTAGGTCAGAAGTTTCAAGTGGAAAGTTTTGGCCAGCATAAATGAAAATTTTCTGTGGTTGGCAAGAAAAGGTCAAAGGTCAAGCTTTGACAGTTCATTTCTACAGTTAAATGTATATTCTTCAGCATATTTAGCAAACATTGTAGTGCCTTGCTTAAAAGAAAAAAATCCCACGAGGACAGCACCTGAAGGCCTCCCACTGCCTCTTATTGAGTGATGCTACCATTTGCCCTGATGCAGCTTTAACTCTTCTGCTGAATCCTAAAAAGTATAGAAAGTTACCTTTTAAAACTTTGAGGTCTTTACTTCTAGATGTTCATGATGTTCACATTATTATAAGAGTTTATCTTTTTCTGAAAAAAAATGATTTTATGCGAGAAGCACAATTTAAACCCTTGCTGCTTTGAGCAAGGGTCCACTGCCCTCAGCCTTGACTGCCCTGAGGACTCTGATGAAGTCGTCAACTTCTCTCTGCTTTCTTCTTTGTGGACAGCTCATTTTCGGGCTCCACTTTGTGGCCACAAACACCTACAGCCTGGTTCCATCCTCATGCCTAACAGTCATGGGATTGGATCTTATCAGCTGAGGGAAGAAATATGGTCCCCTGTCCACTACTGGGTACTCACTCAGGCTGTCTTTAGTAGAGTATGAGTCAGCCCTGAAAAGGACATTGGTATATTGCCAGAAAAATGGATGCTGTGATAGCAAAAAGAAAGCTTTGCTGCCACAGTTCAATTTCCCCTTTATCACTTCCCTGCAAGTAACCCTATGGCTCAGGCCCTAAGCCAAAAGAGAAATTTGGGTGAGGAACTGTATAAACAAACTTACCAAAGTTAGAAGGAATTACCGATACTAATCTAATTTCTTACACATCTCTCCAGCCTGTTACATACACCCTATTTGTTTTAACTTTTTTTCCCCATGTAATTTAATCTGATGTCTTCTTCCGTATGGCTGATTAGCTGTATGTCAGGGTTTCTTTTTTCTTTGAGTGTAGGTTTTCTTCCCACTCCCCTATGACTCAATGAATGATCTTGGCTTAAGCTGCTCCCAAAAACCCACGGCCAGAAGGACACAAGTACAAGTCCCAATTTATAGCTGAAACCCTAGAGTTGAGAATATTATTGCCAAAGAAGGAATGCTTTTAGGAAGGTTTCTGTTTGATGTTAAGAACCTGTTTTTGTGCACTTATTCTAATTTCTCCACGTGGCATGCGAAGGAGGGCAGCTTCTATCCTCCAACTCTGATGCAGGCTGGCTTTTCTTTCAGGGGTGCCGATTGCCGGAAGGCATGCTGTGGTGGTTGGGCGCAGTAAAATAGTTG
The DNA here is from genome assembly GCF_000001405.40 of Homo sapiens. Lineage (NCBI taxonomy): Eukaryota > Metazoa > Chordata > Mammalia > Primates > Hominidae > Homo > Homo sapiens. The sequence goes on from NC_000014.9 coordinate 64,417,942, forward strand.
GGGCCCCGATGCATGACTTGCTTCTGTGGAACAATGCCACAGTGACCACCTGCCACTCCAAGACTGCCCATCTGGATGAGGAGGTAGGGTGTCCAGAGGAGAGGTAAAGGTGTTACGGTGGGGAGGGTGGGTGTGCCAGAGGCTGCCATGTCCTTTACACTCATGACCTCATTTAACCCCATCATCTCATTTTTACAAGATGAAAAAACAAATTCAAATTAAAGGCTGAGTGGGGTGGCTGACACCTGTAGTCCCAACACTTTGGGAGTCTGAGGCAGGAGGATTGTTTGAGCCCAAGAGTTTTTGAGACCAGCCTGGGCAACATAGTGAGACGCTTTCTCTGCAAAAAAAATTAAAAATTAGCCAGATGGGGTGGGCACATGCCTGTAGTCCCAGCTACTCGGGAGGTTGAGGCAAGAGGATTGCTTGAGCCCAGGAGGTCGAGGCTGCAGTAAGCTACGATCACACCACTGCACTCCAGCCTGGGCTACAGAGCAAGACCCTGTCTCAAAAAAAAAAAAAAATTAATTAATTAAAAAAAACATAAAATTAAAAGCATGCTGAAGTTTATACAGAGTTTGTTCTGTGTACTTTCTCTCTTCCTTTTTCTTTTTTCTTTATTTATTTTTTTTGAGATGGAGTTTCACTCTTGTTGCCCAGGCTGGAGTGCAATGGCGCAATCTCAGCTCACCACAACCTCTGCCTCCTGGGTTCAAGTGATTCTCCTGCCTCAGCCTCCTGAGTAGCTGGGATTACAGGCATGTGCCACCACGCCTGGCTAATTTTGTATTTTTAGTAGAGACAAGGTTTCTCCATGTTGGTCAGGCCGGTCTTGAACTCCTGACCTCAGGTGATCCACCTGCCTTGGCCTCCCAAAGTACTGGGATTACAGGCATGAGCCACCATGCCCGACCTTTGTCTTTTTTCTTTTGAGACAGGGTCTTGCTCTGTTATTTAGGCTAGAGTGCAGTGGCAGTCCATGAGAGCCCACTGCAGCTTTGAACTCCTGGGCTCGAGTGATCCTCCTGCATCAACCTTCTGAGTAGCTGGGACTACAGGCATGTGCCACCATGCCTGGCTAATTTTTAAGCTTTTTGTAGCGACAGGGGTCTCACTGTGTTGCCCAGGCTGGACTCAAACTCCTGGACTCAAGCGATCCTCCTGGTTCACCTTCCTAAAGTGCTGAGATTACAGGCGTGACCCAACATGCCTGGCCTCTCACCAAGTACTTTCTACCCTAATCTGCCTCGTGGTGGACAGGGATTAGCAGTACAGGCACTCAGATTGACCTCTGGCAGCCAGATCCCATGTGTGTAAAAGTGGTGGCCTCAGAGTGAAGGTGCTCCAGAGGCAGTCGTGGGCAGTAGTCTGCTAATAGCTATGGCAGCTTGTTCTAGATCCCTGCATCAGATTCCTGAGCCCAAGAATGCGCACACACACACACGTGCCTGTTGACAGTGCAGTCTCTTAAATGTGGGGAGAGAGCAGGAGAGAGGCCTAGTACTTTCTCTTTTAATCCTCCCAAAGTAGTGCTCTACATTCTGTAGGAGAAGGAGCAGTGTCTGGACATAACACGCAGGGCCCCAAGCCTGTTTGCCCCTCTGCCTTGCAGGTTGACACTGATTTCCCTATTGGGTAAAATGGCTGGTGAAAGGGAGCTCTTTGGCATGTGTAGAAATGAGCACGGCATGTGAAGGGCTGTCAGAAACAGTGTGTGGCTTACATTTGAGGCCTTAACCCAATATCTTATGAAATAGCTTATGACACTTAAGAATTTAATACAAAGCTCAGGGATATCCTTTTCATTTCTGGGTTTTTTTTTGGTGTGTATTTCATTATTTCATTTCTGATGTCCAAATCCCCTACCCCTAGGTAAATAAAGGTGACATCCTGGTGGTTGCAACTGGTCAGCCTGAAATGGTTAAAGGGGAGTGGATCAAACCTGGGGCAATAGTCATCGACTGTGGAATCAATTATGTCCCAGGTGAGTGTTGTTGGAGGAGTAAGGTGGCTGCTGGTATTGAGGATGGTATCTAGGTCATCAAAAGAAGCCTGAGAGAGAAGCTTGTCTCATTTTATGCTTGTAGTACTAAGGTTTAGGAGACTGACTAGCCCAAGGGTGCACAGAGTTAGTAGATAGAAGAGTTGCCACTTGCAGGCAGGTCTGCCTGGTGCCAGAGCCTTTGATTTTCATCATGTGCTGTACAGCTTCCAAGATGACTTTGTCCAGGGAGAAAGTGAGAGGGAGGGCAGGAGGGATATATCACTTTATCTTCATGTAGAGATCACCCTTTATTTTAGCAAAGTTGATGGATGGATTTAAAATACAGTATAATTATTGCAAAGTGCTATGAGAGTCCAGAAGAGGGACTCATTCTGCCAAGAGGAGGGCTTTACAAAGAAGATATTTGACCTGGGTTTTTTTCTAGGCTGAGAGGATAAATCTAGCCTTTTAATCATGTCCAAAACTGTACTCGGCATCCTCATCCCCAAGTTACCCCTTACTCCCGTCTTTTGGTTAGTATCACCATTCTTCCTTCCCGCAAGTCTGAAGCCTTTTAGTTTCCCTCCCAAGCATTCCCTATATTGGACCAGTCTCTAAATATTAGGAATTGTTTTCTCTCTCCTCTGTTCTGAGTGTCACCACTGAGTGTTACCTTCTCAGCTGATGGGCTGTGATAACTTCCTTGCAGGTGTCCCTCCCTCCAGCTGCTTCCCACTCAGATCTATCCCCGTGCTCTCGCCTTGCCACGTTCACCTTCTGGCATGGAACTCTGAGCCTCTTCCTTCTTACTTGCCAGACTCCTTAGCCTCACACTAATTTCAGTGACCTCTGCAGCCTGTGATCTCACTTGCGCATGGTGAATACCTGTCTTCAACTTGTAAAGTGGACCACTTTCCCTTCCCTGCGCATGCCTCGTTTGCCCTTTGTAGTTCCCTCACCTGCATTCTTAGTGGAGTGGGCTACTCTTTCAAACAGAAAACTTCACAGAACAATAGGGCAAAACTTGCGTACGTCCTCATAGATCCAAGAAAGGAACAATCTTTAACGGAGCAACTACTGTGTATCCAGCACAATGCCAGGCCTTGGGCTACACAACTGAATAAGGTTCAACTTCACCTTCACCTTCAGCTGCTTCCTCCCCATCTCCTCTCTGTCATGTCTGTTATTCCTTCCAAACCTTGTTTGATTTCCCCTTATCAAGGGATGATCTTTCCTTCTCTCCCTCCCTCCTCTCCCATAGAACATGTGTATTGTATCTTTTGTTGCATGTGTCTCATGTACGGCGTCCTGTGCTCTCCTGCCTAGATAGCTCCTCAAGGGCAGTGGTCACTGTGGCGCCACATCCAGCTTCCTGCCATCTGACCACTGGCACTCATATCTATTGAATTGTCGAAGGGAGTTATAGCTGGAAGTCTTTTTTCTCCCTTCCCATCTCAAGTTTCAGATGTAGACGCTGAGCTGCCAGGAACATTAGTCACTGTCAAGCCTTCACCGTTTTTAACCTCCCTCCCACTCTCCCTACCGTGCTTTTAAGACAGTAGCTCATAATTGATCACTCATTTTCTTGTAGTGTAATTATCTAACAGGCGATAAAGAAATTGCTCTCCTACAACTCCTCACTTTGAATACTTGCGATATGACATTCAAGCTCAGTCTTTTTATTTATTTATTTTTTTAATTTTTTTTTTTTTTCTTGAGACGGAGTCTCGCTCTGTTGCCCAGGCTGGAGTGCTGTGGCGCGATCTCGGCTCACTGCAAGCTCCGCCTTGCGGGTTCATGCCATTCTCCCGCCTCCGCCTCCCGAGTAGCTGGGACTACAGGCGCCCGCCACCACGCCCGGCTAATTTTTTTTGTATTTTTAGTAGAGACGGGGTTTCACCATGTTAGCCAGGATGGTCTCGATCTCCTGACCTCGTGATCCGCCCACCTTTGCCTCCCAAAGTGCTGGGATTACAGGCGTGAGCCACCGCACCCAGCAAGCTCAGTCTTTTTAAAACCTCGCATCTTCTGTATCATATTTCTGCTTTTGGCATTTTTTTTTTGGATTACATGTGAGAAATGGAGAAGAAAAACCTGAGTGGGGATCTTGAGTGTTGCAGATAGGTAGGAAATGTTGACTTAAACATGAAACTTGCCATCCTTTTCACATTGATTCCTTATGTAGACAATAAAATATGAATAAAATCAAAGCAGTATCTTCCCTTCTGGTCAACAGTGTTTTTACTGATCTTGGGCATATAGGCAAATTAATGCTGATACAGCTGGATGTTATTGTGTTCCCCAAAGGATGGCAGAATCACTCAGTTACAGACCAGCAAATGGGCTGCAGGACCTAAAGACTGATATTTGCAAATGTTCACTTTAGAAGCAAACTTTTCTACCACCGAGCTACTTCTTGGTTCATATTTTGATTATTTAAATAGTTTGCATGGTCCACTCAGGGATAACATTGTAAGTCACTTGCCAAATTAAGAATGAATCAAGGTGTGTATACCTTTTACAAAGAAGTAATATTTTTAAAGATTCAAGTGCAGGGCAGAAAGTATTGGCCAGAGAAACACATAAAAGTGCTCTTCCTGCTTGGCTTACTAAAGATAAATTGAGAAGGGCCAGATCAATAGTGTTTTATTTGGAAGGGTTAAAAAGTGGGAACAGATTCCCCACCCTAATGCAATCCAGTCTCAACCTATCCAGTGTAGCTGCTTCTGGACTGGCCTCTATTATTAGGGTCCCCAAATTAAATGTAGAAGAGTCAGGGCTCAGCTGGATCTTTAGTTGATTTTTGTACATGTGATTTCCCAAAGAAAGAGAAATTCTAGGGCTGGGGGTAGATAACCAAAAGGTTTGCTCATTACTGAGGTCATATGCTTAGGCTGAGTAGTGGTCACTTTTTCCACTGACCACATCATCCTATCCACGAAGCACTGCATGTTTAGCAGTGTCTCGTCAACCCTGACAGTATTTGGTTTAGGAGCAAAACTGAACTCACCAGTGCTGCGTTTAGTCATGTAGTCAAAGATATGTGTCTCTTACCTGTGGGAAAACGAAAATGACTAACATTAACACGTAGAAATAGATGCAGCGGGTATTTCAAGCTAACTACAGTGTGAAGACGATTGAAACTTGTACAGAGGGCAAACCTCTATCTATATTTCCTTGGCATTTTGAAATGACTCTAGGGGCTGTAAGAGGAAATGTTCTGCCAGTTTGCTGCTTTATAATCTTCTAGAAACTTGAAACCATCCCAATGAGTTGTGTTGACCAGCTCCTTTTACTCCATATAAAAAATATCTTACGTATCTGTGGTGGAAAGAGAAACTCTTGCGTTTGGAGGCTGCTTTTTCAATTTCAGTAATGTACACATTTTCTCATTTTGCCCTCAGCAAATTTGTGATAGGTAGTGTTAAGCCTTCTTTGCATTTTGGACTTCAGATTAATATGGAGCCCACAGGAGCTGCAGAACTAACTTTTTTTTTTGAGACGGAGTTTCGCTCTTGTTGCCCAGGCTGGAGTGGAATGCTCACTGCAGCCTCCGCCTCCCGGGTTCAAGTGAGTCTCCTGCCTCAGCCTCTGAGCAGCTGGGATTACAGGTGCCCGCTACCAAGCCCAGCTGATTTTTTAATATTTTTAGTAGAGACGGGGTTTCACCATGCTGGCCAGGCTGGTCTCGGACTCCTGACCTCAGGTGATCCACCCGCCTTGGCCTCCCAAAGTGCTGGCATTACAGGTGTGAGCCACCACACCTGGCCCTAATTTTTAATAAAAGAGCTGATGCTACAGCTAATCTCTTTTTTTTCTGAGACAGAGTCTCGCTCTGTTGCCCAGGCTGGAGTGCAGTGACGCAATCTCCGCTCACTGCAAGCTCCGCCCCCCGGGTTCATGCCATTCTCCTGCCTCAGCCTCCCAAGTAGCTGGGACTACAGGTGCCCGCCACCATGCCCAGCTAATTTTTTTGTATTTTTAGCAGAGACGGGGTTTCACTGTGTTAGCCAGGATGGTCTTGATCTCCTGATCTGGTGATCCGCCCGCCTCGGCCTCCCAAAGTGCCTGCTAATCTCTTAATTCTGGCTTCTTGCCTCCACCTTGGAGCTTCTTCTCAGTTGTGGCGATCTGATCAGAGAGAAGTGGTGATGTCGCTAAAACTACCAGATGCAGCGCGGGAGCCTTATTGCTTCGAGGTCTAGGCCCGCCCCCAGCCCCTCCTGGAAGTGCACTGAAGCCAAGTGTAGGATGTTCTTTGTGTGAGTGAGCAATGATGCATCATTGGGTTTTGTTCTCTTGAATAGCTATTCTTTGCTGGTAAGATTTGTAGTTGTTCTTGTGTCCTTTTAAGGGAAGTGTAATTATATTCTTTGCCTTTAGCATACATTTAAGTAGCTGTGTCTTTGGAATTGGATGTTGAATTGTTCCTCCAGCTCACACATGGAGCTCACAAAATGCTGACAGTTGCTGTAGAAACGATATCTGGCAGCTGTGACAGAGTTGGATCTTTGTGCACCCAAAAAATTTCCTTTGTAGGCTTTAGCAAATTAACATTTTAAAATGGGTGCTCATTATATACTGGGTAGTTGGTTTTAAGAATAAAAAACAGTTGGTATTTTATTTGCCACCTGAGAGACTACAAAAGGATTCTCCAGGTTCTGTAAAACCACTTATGCATCTTGTGAATTTTTGCAGGTAAAATAATTTTCTCCCTAAGAAATAGCAAACATCTGTCATTCCATAGCTTTTAAGTTAAGTAGGCACTGGAGCCTGATGGGACTAACACACCCTACAATTCTGCTGAGTTTTTGTCGTAACTGATCACCAGGACTGTGATTCTGAGACTTAGTTTTGATTTCTCCCCCACTTGACCAGATGATAAAAAACCAAATGGGAGAAAAGTTGTGGGTGATGTGGCATACGACGAGGCCAAAGAGAGGGCGAGCTTCATCACTCCTGTTCCTGGCGGCGTAGGGCCCATGACAGTTGCAATGCTCATGCAGGTAATTGTGAATAAAAGTTTCTATAAGAGTTCTGAAAAGCTGATCGAGTTTTGGCTGCTTTTCTCCCCAAGTAGAAATGTCAAAAACCTACTCAGAAGTAAAGATGTGAATTTATTGAGAAAAAGGGAAGGGAAGAATAGAGAAATAAGATCAGGCACATTAATAGAGGAAAGTAGGGATGGCATAATTCCAGTCTGTTTTGGAATATAATAACTTTGAAAGAAGAAAAGTGCGATCACACTGGCTTGGCCAGGTCTGTTTTGGTTTGCCTTCCCTTTCTTTTTTTTTTTTTTTTTTTGAGACGGAGTTTTGCTCTTGCTGCCCAGGCTGGAGTGCAATGGTGTGATCTTGGCTTACCGCAACCTCCATCTCCCTGATTCAAGTGATTCTCCTGCCTCAGCCTCCTGAGTAGCTGGGATTACAGGTGTGCACCACCACGCCCGGCGAATTTTGTATTTTTAGTAGAGACAGGTTTCTCCACGTTGGTTAGGCTGGTCTGGAACTCCCGACCTCAGGTGATCCGCCCACCTTGGCCTTCCAAAGTGCTGGGATTAGAGGTGTGAGCCACCGTGCCCGGCCTGTTTTCCCTTTCTAACATGCACCAGCTGACAGGGGCCAGGCGAGCAGCCCCAAAGCATGTTAGGTGCCTCTTGACTCTTAGCTAGGATTGAAGCATGGTAATAAGTGGGTCTGAAGCAGTTCATTTTGTGATTGAACTGGAGTGACCTGGAGCTTGAAACTGAGGTGAGGATTAAAATAACCACCTCTTCTAAGTTTCATTTATTTCATTTTGCTTAGAGCACAGTAGAGAGTGCCAAGCGTTTCCTGGAGAAATTTAAGCCAGGAAAGTGGATGATTCAGTATAACAACCTTAACCTCAAGACACCTGTTCCAAGGTAAAAATAAAGTTTTACTGATTTAAAACTTTGTGAATTGTTGGTTTTTAGTTGACAGATACTGTGGGTTCACATATGCTCCCTCTGAAGGTGCCTTCAGTGGTTGGGGTTGGGTTGGGGGCTTGTTACTACTGTGGGATTAATTAAACTCAGTGGATAAACATTAATACCTATTTTCTATGTTTCCAAAGTGACATTGATATATCACGATCTTGTAAACCGAAGCCCATTGGTAAGCTGGCTCGAGAAATTGGTCTGCTGTCTGAAGAGGTAGAATTATATGGTGAAACAAAGGCCAAAGTTCTGCTGTCAGCACTAGAACGCCTGAAGCACCGGCCTGATGGGAAATACGTGGTGGTGACTGGGTATGCTTTTTATTCATGTTGCCATCCAAATCTTAGTATCAGTCCTGATACTAAGGCGTTGCATTTGCACTTGGCACATGTATGTAGAGGTGCCTTTAATTTGATTTTAGCATTTTCACCCGTATTTGATCTCATTTGATCCTTACAGCAATCCTGAGAGGTAGGTAAGAATAGATTATAATCATAGATGAGAAAATTGGTCAAGGTTATCCATCTAGTAAGTGGAAGAGTTTGGTCTTAAAACCCGGTCTTAAGATAGAATCACCTTTTGCTGTTGTTGTTGTTGTTGTTGTTTTGAGACAGAGTCTCGCTCTGTTGCCCAGGCTGGAGTGCAGTGGCACGATCTCGGCTCACCACAACCTCTGTCTCCCAAGTTCAAGCGGTTCTCCTGCCTCAGCCTCCCGAGTAGCTGGGACTACAGGTGCAAGGCACCACACCCAGCTAATTTTTGTATTTTTAGTAGAGAGTGTGTTTCACTATGTTGGCCAGGCTGGTCTCGAACTCCTGACCTTGTGATCCACCCACCTCAGCCTCCCAAAGTGCTGGGATTACAGGCGTGAGCCACCACACCCGGCCAGAATCACCTTTTTGAACCCAAAATTCATTAATTCGATGGATTTACTAAGCATTCATTTTTATTGCTGGGCTGAGGTTATATTAAAAAGCTAGTTTTTGAGAATATAAAATGAGAAATTAAAATTATAGCCGTGTCTCTACAAGATAAAGTATATTTGCTTCTTACAGCAAGAAGAGCTAAAATACAGGAATCATTTTTTTTCTTAAAGTTTTTTGGAAATTACAACTAAGACTTTTGAAAAAGATATCTTTCAGGGCTTTTGTCTTTCTTTTTCTTTGTCTTTTCTTTCTTTTTTTTTCTTTAAGAGATGGGGGTTTGCTCTGTTGCCCAGGCTGGAGTACAGTGGTGCAGTCATAGCTTACTGTAGCCTGGAACTCCTGGGCTCAAGTGATCCTCTTGCCTCAGCCTCCTATATAGCTGGGACTACAGGCATACACTGCTATGCCTGACTTTGTCTTTCTTAATCTTTAGATTACGAGTCATTCTCTAGGATCTGCTAGGTATGACTTAGTGATTCAGATACACTTAATTCTTTAAACCTTTTTCTCTTTTGCTTTCGTCTTGAAGAATAACTCCAACACCCCTGGGAGAAGGGAAAAGCACAACTACAATCGGGCTAGTGCAAGCCCTTGGTGCCCATCTCTACCAGAATGTCTTTGCGTGTGTGCGACAGCCTTCTCAGGGCCCCACCTTTGGAATAAAAGGTACTAGTGAGACTGGACCATGGGTGGTGACAGGGGACCTGCTTCTCCTTCAGTCCTCCCAGGCCCACGCAACCTATGATACTTATGGGGTCTTCAACTCATTTCAACACCAGGAATGTCATTCTCACAAACCTCTGTAGTCATGCTTTTGATGAAGGCTGTCATTGGATCTCCCCAGCTCCTGCTGTCACTGTTGGCCACTGCACAGGGATTCTCTGGGATGGGTGATATGTAGCTGGAGGTGCTTTTATTTGACCCTCATAGTCCACTGCTACAGTAACCATAAAGGTAATCATAGCTACTGATCATCTTACAGACACTCTAGAGACAATGACAAACCCCACAGATGTTTCACCTTGTTGGGAATAAGAAAAGCCTACCTTTATTGAATATATGCTTTGTGCCAGATATTGTGCTGAGCAGTTTTTGCATATTATTCTATCATCCAGTACGAGATAGTATTGTCACCATTTTAAAATAGCAGCAACTGGGACTTCAGAGGTGGCTTGGTCAAAGGCACCTGTATTAAGTACCAGAGTGATTCTTCCATGTCTATTTCAAGCTCTAAATTACTACCATACTCGCACTTTACCTTCAGATTTTTATTGCTGCGGTACTAAGAACATGTGTTTTTTTTTTTTTTTTTTTTTTTTTGAGACAGGGTCTCACTCACTCTGTCGCCCAGGCTGGAATGCAGTGGTGTGATCTCGGCTCATTGCAACCTCTCCACCTTCTGGGTTCAAGAGACTCTCCTGCCACAGCCTCCCGAGTAGCTGGGATTACAGGCACGCATGACCATGCCTGGCTAATTTTTGTATTTTTGGTAGAGACGGGGTTTCACCATTTTGGCCAGGCTGGTCTTGAACTTCTGACCTCAAGTGATCTGCCTGTCTCAGCCTTCCAAACTGGTAGGACTATAGGCATGAGCCACCGTGCCAAGCTGCTGTCTTAATTAAAATAATGTTTATTAATTATGATAGGTTCTTAGAGTTAGCTTTCTCTGCTTGGTGAGGGTATCACATTTTGCTTGTTCTAGCAATTACTACAAATGTTGACACCGGGAACACCTTCACCCTTCCACCTTTTTTTTTTTTTTTGGAGACACAGTCTCGCTCTGTTGCCTGGGCTGGAGTACAGTGGCACGATCTTGGCTCACTGCAACCTCCGCCTCCTGGTTTCAAGCAATTCTCCTGCCTCAGCCTCCCAAGTAGCTGGGACTACAGGTGCGTGCCACCATGCCTGGCTAATTTTTGTGTTTTTAGTAGAGATGGGGTTTCACTATATTGGCCAGGCTGGTCTTGAACTCCTGACCTTGTGATCTGCCCACCTTGGCCTCCCAATGTGCTGGGATAATAGGCATGAGCCACCGTGCCCAGCCCACCCTTCCACCTATTTTATAAATGTAATCACTTTGTTCTGCTCTTGAGCTTGTCTTAACCCCCTTTCAACTTCAGCACGAGCTATTCCTTGTTCTGCTTATTGAACCCATTATTTTCCTTTTACTCTTACTGCAAATTGCCTCACTGCACGGTCTCTGCCTCACAAAAACAAAATACATATTAATATATCTCTGGGCTGGGTGCAGTGGCTCATGCCTAAAATCCCAGCACTTTGGGAGGGTGAGGTGGTAGATTACTTGAGGCCAGGAGTTCGAGACCAGCCAGGCCAACATGGCAAACCCCGTCTCTATTAAAAACACAAAAATTAGCTGGGCATGGTGGTATGTGCCTGTAATCCCAGACCATTACCCTCCAGCCTGTGAGACAGTATGAGACTCTGTCTAAAAAAATATATATCTGATTTACATTTATTGCACTGATAATGTGGTAACCTGGACTTTTTTTGTTTGTTTGTTTGTTTTTTTTGAGACAGAGTCTTGCTCTGTCTGGAGTCCCAGCTCAGGCTGGAGTGCAGTGGCATGATCATAACTCACTGCAGCCTTGATCTCCCAGGCTAGGACTATAGGCATGAGCAGCCATGCTTGGTGTCCTGAACATTTTCAACTGGCTTTTGGCTAATACAGATTGAGCATCAGAAATCTAGAAACCTGAAATCTGAAAGGCTCCAAAATTCTAAACTTTTTGAGTGCTGACACGATGCTCAAAGGACATGCTCATTGGATCATTTCAGATTTTAAATCCTGGATTTGGGATGCTGGATCAGTATGATGAAAATATTCCAAAATCTGGAAAACAAAAACCCAAATCCAAAACCCAAATCCAAGCATTTTAAATAAGGGATACTCAACCTGTAATCCAAGTAGCCCAAAAAAATCTAGCAATTAGGCTGCTTTCTAACAGCCTAATCTATTTATCTCTATTTAGGAAAAATTATAGTCTTTTTGTTAGGTGTATGTATTTTAAATATTTCTGTTTTAAAAGCCAAAGTAGCTTTATGAGAGTAGGAAATTGAACAGGTTGCCTTTATGTAACTGTCAGCTGGGTGTTTTAACAAATGCCAGTAATTACAAGGAACATATTTCTAAAGATAATGAGTAGGTATATATTTGTTCATGGTTTTGTCATTTAAACTCAGATTTCAATTGAGAGACTAGTATTAGAAAACACTTGATCAAAACTGTCCAAATGATTCTAAAAAATAAATAAATAAATGTGCTTAGTAGTTACAATAATGCATTTGCATTTATTTGATTTCTAAGTCATTGGAGAAGCATGCTTAACTGAGCTTCCACCCTTGACCTGTCCCCTAGGTGGCGCTGCAGGAGGCGGCTACTCCCAGGTCATTCCTATGGAAGAGGTAAAGTATTCTGGGATTTGGCTGAATTAGATCCCCCTTTTTTTGTCGGGGGGGAGGGTGCTGAATTAGCTCCCTTTTTTTCCCCATGACGGAGTCTTGCTCTGTTGCCCAGAGCTGGAGTGCAATGGCGCAATCTCGGCTCACTGCAACCTCTGCCTCCCAGGTTCAAGCAACTCTCCTGCGTCAGCCTCCCGAGTAGCTGGGATTACAGGCATGCACCACCACGCTCAGCTAATTTTGTATTTTTAGTAGAGACGGGGTTTCACCGTGTTGGCCAAGCTGGTCTTGAACTCCTGACCTCGTGATCCGCCCACCTCGGCCTCCCAAAGTGCTGGTATTATAGGCGTGAGCCACCGCACCCAGCCTAGATTCTTTATTATAGCTTTTTCTCTCTGGAGATTAGCCTTTTTTGTAGAGCTCTTAGCGGACAAATGACTTGTTTCTCAGCAAAAGCAACACCTAGGGGGAAAACAACTTAATTTGCAGACTTGTGATACAGCTTGGTTTCAAACTTTGGCTTTCAGTGGGAATGATTATTATAAGCAAATGACCAAATGAAGCATGGTATCGGGAAGCACCAACACACAGCGATTTCAGAATTCATTTATGTAACTGCAGAAATTGGAACATTACATAGACATAGAGTCGGTGCTGCTCCCGTGCACTCCTCCTCGCTGTTTTGAGGTGTGTCCTCAGTAACCCAGTGTGGCTGTTGATCCCAGTGGTGTGGTATTTGTGGTCTCTGGACATCTCATTTTGGAAAAACTGCAAGTTCTGTATTTGGGAGGAGATTCTTCTGTGGACAGATAATTAGTCTTTTATGTTTTCTTTTTCTTTTTCTTTTTCTTTTTTTTTTTTTTTTAAGACAGAGTCTCACTCTGTCACCCAGGCTGGAGTGTAGTGGTGTGATCTTGGGTCACTGCAACCTCCACCTCCCAAGTTCTCCTGCCTCAGCCTTCCAAGTAGCTGGGATTACAGGTGCGCACTACCACACTTGGCTACTTTTTATGTTTTTAGTAGAGATGGGGTTTCGCCATGTTGCCCAGGGTGGTCTTGAACTCCTGGCCTGAAGTGATCCGCCCGCCTCGGCCTCCCAAAGTGCTGGTATTATAGTTGTGAGCTACCACACCCAGCCAGTCATTTATGTTTTCAAGAACTCCCTATATTGGGTGTTTGTCCACTAACTGGGCTGCCTTCAGTATTCCATTGGCTTTAAAATAGGGATTGAGCTTTGCAATAGAATGAAAGTTGGAAAGATACAGAGCAGCTGGGAGACTAATGTGGCTTCTGTTCTTTTGTAGTTTAATCTCCACCTCACAGGTGACATCCATGCCATCACTGCAGCTAATAACCTCGTTGCTGCGGCCATTGATGCTCGGATATTTCATGAACTGACCCAGACAGACAAGGTAGGATGCCAAAGCCCCATGAACCCCATTGAACAGTTTTGAAAGTATTGAACCATCTGAATTAGTGTTGGTGTCTTGGGTGCTGAGGATGCAGGTAGCAAAGCAGTGGGGCTCCTCTCATTTTAAAGCCCCTTTCTTTTCTTTAAGGCTCTCTTTAATCGTTTGGTGCCATCAGTAAATGGAGTGAGAAGGTTCTCTGACATCCAAATCCGAAGGTTAAAGGTAAGCTTTTTTTCTTCCACATTTTTTATATTGTATGGAATCTGGAATCTGATCATTGATTAGGACATAAAAGTCTTCTTGGAGTAGCCTATTTTAGATGAAGTTACATCAGTAATCATAGTCTTAAAGTCATGATATACATAGCAAAGATGGATGGTAGAGGTTATTTCTCATTTATCTATAGATTAGAAGTGGCTAGTGTGGAATAAATAGAACACTGACAACCTGCCCTCAGCTAAGAAAGAAACGACACTTCCTTTATAACATGAACAAGAGTCAGGATGTCACTGTGGCGGCATAGCAGCCTTTGGAGTTTGCATCATTGGGACCTTAAGCAAATTTGTTAAATGACTTGTTTCTCCGCTTACTTGTCTGTAAAATAATACTTGCCTTGCCCTGAATAGATAAGGGTCTGTGTTAAACAGTTAAAACCATAGTTATATCTATATTTTATTTGAATTTCTGTAACAAATACATAGTTAGTAAGCATACACCATACCACCTGACCCAGAAATCTCACCCAAAATAAATGAAAACTCTGTTCACATAAAAATCTGTACATTAATGTTTTTAGCAGCTCTATTAATAATTTCCAAAAACTGGGAACTAATCTAAATGTCTTTCATTGGATGAATAAATAAACAAACTGGTACATCCATCCAATAAAAATAAATGAGCTATTGATACAAGCAACAACTTGGATGAATTTCAGTGGCATTATGCTGGGTGAAAGAAGCCAGTCTCAAAAGCTTGCATATTGCATGCCTCCATTTATATGATATTCTCAATAAGAGAAAACTATAGTGCTAGGGAACAGATCAATAGATGTTAAGGGTATGGATGAAGGGAGGGTATGACCATAAAGGAACAGCAAAGGAGAGGTGTTTTGTTTTGTTTTTTGTTTTCTTTTTTGAGACAGCGTCTCTCTCTGTAACCCGGCTGGAGTGCAGAGGCACAATCACAGCTCACTATAGCTTCCACCTTCCAGGTTCAAGCAATCCTCTCATCTTAGCCTCCTGAGCACCTGGGACTATAGGTACACACACCACCACACCTGGCTAATTTTTTATTTTATTTTTTTGTAGAGACCGTGTCTCACCATATTGTCCAGGCTGGTCTCAAACTCCTGGTCTAAAGCGATGGTCCTGCCTCAGCCTCCCAAAGTGTTGGGATTACTGGCGTGAGCCACCACGTCTGGCCACAAGGGATTTTTTGTTTTTGTTTTTCTGTTTTTTAATTTTTCAAAAATTTATTGGTTGGTTGTTTGTTTGTTTGTTTAAGACAGAGTCTCACTCTATCTCCCAGGCTGGAGTGCAATGGTGTGATCTCAGCTCACTGCAACCTCCACCTCTCAGGTTCAAGCAGTTCTCCTGCCTCAGCCTGAATAGCTGGGGTTACAGGTGCCTGCCACCATGCCCAGCTAATTTTGGTATTTTTAGTAGAGAGAAGGTTTCATCATGTTGGCCAGGCTGGTCTCGAACTCCTGACCTCAGGTGACCCACCCGCCTTGGCCTCTCAAAGTGCTGGGATTACAGGCGTGAGCCACTGTACCCGGCCTGTTTGTTTATGTTTTTGAGAAAAGCTTTTACTCTGTCACCCAGGCTGGAGTGCCGTGGTGCAATCACATCTTACTACAGCCTCAACCTCCAGGACTCAAGTGATTCTCCCACCTCACCCAACTAGGTAGCTGAGACTACAGCCAGGTACCACCATGCCCAGATTTTTATATATTGTGTAGAGACCGGGTTTTGCCGTGTTGCCCAGGCTGATCTCAAGCTTCTGGGCTCAAGCAATCTGCCTACCTTGGCATACCAAAGTGCTGGGATTACTTGCATGAACCACTGAGCTCAGCATTTTTTTTTTTTTTTTTTTTTTAAGAGATGAGGAGGCCAGGCGTGGTGGCTCATACCTGTAATCCCAGAACGTTGGGAAGCTGAGGCAGGTGGATCACCTGAGGTTGGGAGTTTGAGACCAGCCTGACCAACATGGAGAAACCCCATCTCTACTAAAAATACAAAATTAGCTGGGCATGGTGGTGCACGCCTGTAGCCCCAGCTACTCGAGAGGCTGACACAAGAGAATCGCTTGAACCTGGGAGGCGGAGGTTGCAGTGAGCTGAGGATGCCCCACTGCACTCCAGCCTGGGTGACAGACAGAGACTGTCTCAAAAAAAATTGGGTTTGTGTTTTACAACACTTCTTGGTCACTATGATACTATGATTATTTAGGTCTAGGCTTAGGGAAATCTTCTGGTGCTCAGTTATAGGGACAAACATGTTAATAATACCTTTGTACATGTGTGAGTAATGTGAATTTGCAGATATCGGGATAAAATCACTTTTGTCAGACCCAGAAAAAACAGGGCTGGGAAAACATGAAGAAGAGGAGGCTTACACTTACGTGTCTGTGATAAGAACTGTTTGCAAGGCCTGTAATCCCAGCACTTTGGGAGGCCAAGGCAGGAGGATGACTTGAGCCCAGCAGTTCGAGACCAGCCTGAGCAATGAAGCAAAACCTCGTCTCTACAAAAAAATTTAAAAACGAGCCAGGTGTGGTGGCATGCACCTGTAGTTATACCCAGCTACTCGGGAGGCTAAGGCAGGAGCATCCCTTGAACCCAGAAGTTCAAGGTTGCAGTGAGCTATCATTGGGCCACTATAATCTAGCCTAAGTGACAGAATGAGACCTCATCTCAAAAAAACAAAAGCAAAAATTGTTTCCAACAACTTTATAAAACCCCAAAAGAAATCCCTTCACGTCCTTCACACATCTCCTGCTTTGCACAGCTTGCACATTTCAAATGTATACTTATGTTTCCATGACAAGACTTATCACTAGACATTCTTCAGGATGGGAGTAATTCAGATAAGATGCTCTTGAAAGTACACTTATCCAGCAACGGCAACTGCACCAATGAATTGACAACTCTGGCTTTGAGCTTCTGGGAGCGATGAATTCTGTTTTTTTTTTTTTTTTGAGACAGGGTCTTGCTCTGTCACCCAGGCTGTAGTGCAGTGGCACAATCATGGCTCACTGCAGCCTTGACCTGAACTCTCTAAGCAGACTACGTGAAGCTCTCCCTCTTTTCTTTTTTTTTTTTTTTTTTTTTTTTTTGAGATGGAGTCTCACCCAGGCTGGAGTGCAGTGGCGTGATCTTGGCTTACTGCAACCTCTACCTCCTGGGTTCAAGCAGTTCTGCTGTCTCAGCCTCCCAAGTAGCTGGGATTATAGTCACCCACCACCATGCCCAGCTAATTTTTGTATTTTTTAGTAGAGACAGGGTTTCACCGTGTTGGCCAGGCTGGTCTCAAACTCCTGACCTCAGGTGATCTGCCCATCTCAGCTTCCCATAGTGCTGGGATTACAGGCTCAGCCACAGGCTGAGCTTCACGCCTAGCTGAAGCTCTCCTTCTTTGCTAGTAAAATCTTCCCTTCCCTCACTAGGCATATTTGTGGCATCCCAGGTTATAATCCTCGTTGCTCATTCCTGAATAAACTCAACCTACTTGGAGATAATTTTTTGTAATGTCTTTCTTTAGGCTGACAGTAGGAAATAACCCCCAGCTTTCAGTTTTTCCTTCTGAATTTAAGATGGTTTGCATTTCCTAGAGGGGATCCCATTTAGAGGTAGGGGTCAAAATTTTTGTCTTACGTTTATTGTGCTTCTGTTTGTCTTATTTTATGTTTTCATTTTCCTACACTTTCAGAGACTAGGCATTGAAAAGACTGACCCTACCACACTGACAGATGAAGAGATAAACAGATTTGCAAGATTGGACATTGATCCAGAAACCATAACTTGGCAAAGAGGTACCAGAGCAGTATACAAGCCCCGTTTGTTTTGGCTATATTGCACACCCTACACCCTCCAGAAGAGTTGTTAAAATGTGAGGCTCAGAAGCTTCCATGTTGGTATTTTACCAGCTAAGGCATGACCAAGATGGTGACATTATTTCTTTTTCTTGCCACCTCTCTCAGTATCTCTCCTTATTAGCTATCATCAAATCTCTTTGTTGGATTGGTCGAACATTTTGCTGGCTATTCAGTGTTGACTGAAATTAGGGTAGTTAAACCAAAAATCACATTTTACAAATTTAATTTTATGCAAAAAGTTTTAGTGTCATGAAGTAGAGAAATTATGTTTAATCACTTCTTGAATCATGTGTGACCTTTATTCTTAGAACTCTTGTGTGGCATAAATGACTTGATTTTTTTCTGTAGTTCTCTAGCTTACCTAATCTTTTTTTTTTTGAGATGGAGTCTCGCTCTGTCGCCCAGGCTAGAGTGCAGTGGCACAGTATCGGCTCACTGCAAGCTCTGCCTCCCAGGTTCACGCCATTCTCCTGCCTCAGCCTCCCGAGTAACTGGGACTACAGGCACCCGCCATCATGCCCGGCTAATTTTTTGTATTTTTAGTAGAGACAGGGTTTCACCATGTTAGCTAGGATGGTCTCAATCTCCTGACCTCATGATCCGCCCACCTCAGGCTCCCAAAGTGCTGGGATTACAGGCATGAGCCACCGCACCCGGCCTACCTAATCATTTTTTTACCTCATTTTATTAAATTCTCTTATAGCATATTAGGTAGCCTTCAAGGTTTAAATACTTACCAGTTCAGTAAGTAGGTTTCCTGGCTTCACTGCCATATGCTACTTTTCTCAATGCACAACTAGTGTAGCTTAGATTTCACTTTGCATCAACAATGCAACCTTCTATTCTGTATCACTATTGAGAAAGAATCTTCATCCACTCATGCAGAATAGAGCTGAAGGCCAGTTTATTGACTGTTTTTGTGATTTTCCTTGACTCAATAACCGTTGCTAGCTAATGGCCTTATTTAGATGACACTCTCAATGTCTAAAACCACATTGGAATTTCTCTTCCTTTGCTTCAATAGCTTTAGACAAATGGTATAATATTTTATAAGGAATAAGCTAAAAGTCCATTTTGAAGATTTAGTATCCGATTTACTTTTCTTTTGCTTCGTGTCTCATTCATGTTTTCTAAGCAACTAGAGGCAGTCATACCTATTGACTAGCTATTTTTTACAGAAATATTAGTTACATGAAACCTGATACTTTTTTCTTTTGAAAAATAAGGGTTGGCTTTAACAACACATTACAGCAAGAGTGGGGGGTGTGTGTGTCTGATTGCTATATAAGACACTGCTTTTGGTATGAAATTATGACAGTCTTTATGGAAAATAATTTGGCATATTATCAAGTGCCTTAAAAATGCTTCTCCTCCTTGACTCATTTAGAGTATGAACTGGGTTTTTTTGTTCATTTTGTGTGTGTGTGTGTTTTTACTTTGAAATTATTTTAATTTTGAAATAGAAAACATCTTGAAAAAAAAACCCACAAAATATATAGGCAAATTTGTACTCTGTGAGCTTCTCACATCCTTACACTGCTTCACCAATCTCTAAGATGAAAAACTCTGTTCTAAAACATATTCAGCCATCAGCAATGATGTTATTAGTAGGAATATGGATCAATTTAATTTTGTGTTTCTTTGATATTGTTTGGCATTTGATACTGAAATGGCAACTCCTGTTTCCTCTCTATACTCATAGTACTCTCAGCACCTCACTTCTGACACCAGATGGGTAGTTTTTCTCTTCCACAACAATTCAGCTTTCACTTCTCCAGTGGATATTGACTGAGTATCCTATGATTTAACTCAATTCTGACACTAACTGTCTGGAGCAGATCCTACAGGTAAAGGGCTCAGTCCTAAAAGACTGCCCCACTTCAGACACGAATCGCAAGTCCAGGTTGTCACCTGTGCTTCTGACCAACTGGTTATAAACTGGAGGGTCCCCACAACCCCCTGCTCAGGTTCATTTGCTAGAATGGCTCACAGAACTCAGAGAAGCATTTCACTTGTGTTTATGGTTTATTATAAAGGATACAGCTCAGAAACAACCAGATGGAAGAGAAGCGTAGGGGGCATCACTCTCCCAGCACCTGGATGTGTTCACCAGCCCAGAGGCTCATCAAATCATGTTGTTCAAGAGTTTTTTTTTTGAGACGGAGTTTTGTTCTTGTTGCCTAGGCTAGAGTGCAATGGAGTGATCTCAGCTCACTGCAACCTCTGCTTCCCGGGTTCAAGCGATTCTCCTGCCTCAGCCTCCTGAGAAGCTGGGATTACAGGCATGCACCACCACACCCGGCTAATTTTGTATTTTTAGTAGCGACAGGGTTTTTCCATGTTGGTCAGGCTGGCCTCGAACTTTTGACCTCAGGTGATCTGCCCACCTTGGCCCCCCAAAGTGCTGGGATTTACAGGCGTGAGCCACTGTGCCCGGCCTGTTCAAGAGTTTTATACACCCCTAACACCTTACCCAGAGGTTGGTGGGTGGGACTGAAAGTTCCAGCCCTCTAATCATTTGGTCTTTTTGGTGACCATTCCTTTCCTGAGGCTGTCTAGGAGACCTACCATAAGTAACTTATTACCATAAACTCAGGTGTGATCAAAAGGAGTTTGTAATGAATAACAAGACACTCCTATCACCCTTGGAATTCCAAGAGCTCTGTGAGCCTTTTGTCAGGAACCCATGACAAAGGTCAAATATATTTCCTATTACACTACACATACCAAAAGCCAGAACTGAGGGTACACTAAAATGTTAACAGTAGTTAGTCCTGGGAGGTCGTTAGTTGGTTAGTTGCTTGGTCTTTGCCATGTTTTTTGTGGTTATATAATTGGATAGATATTCTGTCATCAGAATAAAAATTCTCTCTGCTAAGTGTGCTATGTTTCCTAAATTTCCAGACCAGGCCTGGCACCCAGCGTGTTTCAAAAGATATTTGCACTTGCCCTGATTTGATGGCTCCTGCATTTCTTACGGTGGTGGAAAGTCAATGAGTCATCATCCCACAGAACAACAACACAAACCTCAGTCTTTTGAAAAAATGTAGACTGCTCTGTTTTTCTTATATGTGGAATATGCTTTAAAATAGATTCCAGATTTCTAGTTAACTGTTTGAATTCTCTAGATGGGATAAAACCAAGCCATTCCACATTCCTTTGCTGTAAAAATAACTCCTGTGTATTTATGGTATATGAACATCATTTCTTAACTTTAACACATATTCTAGCTTTGCCATCCATTTTGAAATATTGATAGACAATCATGAAATTAGACTTATTGCTTTAAAACTCTGCTGCTTCCTTTAACTTTGTGGTCCTTTTACTCAAAATCGTTCTATATCTTGCCTGTCTGCTGTAGTGTTGGATACCAATGATAGATTCCTGAGGAAGATCACGATTGGACAGGCTCCAACGGAGAAGGGTCACACACGGACGGTAACAATTT
The DNA here is from genome assembly GCF_000001405.40 of Homo sapiens. Taxonomy (NCBI): domain Eukaryota; kingdom Metazoa; phylum Chordata; class Mammalia; order Primates; family Hominidae; genus Homo; species Homo sapiens. The sequence continues at coordinate 64,439,183 of NC_000014.9, forward strand.
GTCCCTTTCCAAGGAAATTAGTTCAGAGGCACTAGATCTTGCTGCTTCTCTCCTCCTCCATCCTCTCTCATACGACTGATACTGCCAGGTGTTGTTCTGCCTTCTCCCTTTTAAAATGGAAGTGAGTAGGTGTGTGGCATTGAGCACTCCTGACAGCTTTTGCAATAAATCCCATGTGTCACCTGTGTGTTTTTCCCCCGGCATTTTTTCCTGGAGGTGGAGAGCCCCAAGTGAATATCCTTGCATAGAAATTGATTAAAATTGCTTCTTTTTTGTGGCCATTTCACTGTATATCTCCTTGGTTTAAGAGGTACCATATTATTCCCTTGTATATGAAAGAAACAATAAGCGCATGATTATAAGCGGCCTTCATAGGGATAAAATCATAGCTTTTTGGTCCTACTATAACATTTATTTTAAAAAACTGACAACTCAGGGCTGGGCGTGGTGGCTCACGCCTGTAATCCCAGCACTTTGGGAGGCCGAGGCGGGCGGATCACTTGAGGTCAGGAGTTCGAGATCAGCCCGGCCAAACCCCATCTCTACTAAAAAAATACAAAAACTAGCTGGGCATGGTGGCACGCGCCTGTAATCCCAGCTACTTGGGAGGCTGAGGCGCGAAAATTGCCTGAACCCAGGAGGTGGATGTTGCATTGAGCCAAGATTGTGCCACTGCACTCCAGCCTGGGCAACAGACCGAGACTCTGTCTCCAAAAAAAAAAAAAAAAAAAAAAAATGACAACTCAGGGTCTTGGAATAATTAATTAATATATTTTTTTGCTATTAGAGGATTATTTTCATTAAGTATTTTGGGTAGTATTCTGTTATTCTATCCTTTTAAGCTATTTGTTTAAGCCTCAGATGTAAAAGAGGATCACTTTTGCAATTCACACTTCTGGTTTAACACAAAGTTTTTGCTAGTACCTCTTTTCCCTGCCCACAGGCCCAGTTTGATATCTCTGTGGCCAGTGAAATTATGGCTGTCCTGGCTCTCACCACTTCTCTAGAAGACATGAGAGAGAGACTGGGCAAAATGGTGGTGGCATCCAGTAAGAAAGGAGAGCCCGTCAGTGCCGAAGATCTGGTGGGTACCCAGACACGCCAGGCTTGGCGACATATCTGTGTCTGTTGTCCTAGGGTCTTTCAGCAGTTATTAATAACAAAATGTAATGCTGTACTTAAGACATTGCAATTAATTCATCAATTTAATCCTATTTTGCTAATTACAAGATAATTATGAAATGTTTAAAAAGTACATCAGAGTGAATAATAGCTGGTATGCTTTAGTAATAGATCACAAGTTCCAGATGATTTGAGTAACATCTTCATCCTGTGGGCATCTCTAAAAGTGGGTGTATGACTTCAATTTGCAGAGAACATCAAGAGTACCATTGCTTTATCTTTGTTGCTAGGTAGTTCAGCTACACTTTGATGGCTTAATAGAGTGACCTGATGTTAAAAGTTGGTATTGAACTCTTGCGTAATATTGCAGTTTCAGCTTTGGAAGACACATATTGAGTTTGGTATTTATAGAAATTTCTGCCCAGATACCAGAGTTACAAATAACTGAGTACTCTGGGAACGAGCATTGTCGTGCTCTAAAATAGTCTAGAATGGATTTCTCACATCAGTCAGCAGCTGAGCTTGATTAAGATGCTTGTTTCTAGAGTTACATGTTTTTCCAGATATTACATGTGAATGTCATTTGTATTCTATCTGGCAACTTTGGCCAGGCGTGGTGGCTCATGCCTGTAATCCCAGCACTTTGGGAGGCTGAGGCGGGTGGATCACAAGGTCAGGAGATTGAGACCATCCTGGCTAACACAATGAAACCCTGTCTCTACTAAAAATACAAAAAAATTAGCCGGGCATAGTGGCGGGTGCCTGTAGTCCCAGCTACTCGGGAGGCTGAGGCAGGAGAATGGCGTGAACCTGGGAGGTGGAGCTTGCAGTGAGCCGAGATTGCACCACTGCACTCCAGCCTGGGCAACACAGCCAGACTCCGTCTCAAAAAATAAATAATTTAATAATTGGCAACTTCATAGCATATCCAGAAAAAAACCATGAATGGTCCAATTCAGGTGAAAGTATCAATTGGTCCAAGATGGCTAACATGGGTAAGCCTAGAATGTCAAATATTGGTTTCAGAAGGTTGGGTTTTTTTGCTGGTGGGAGTTGATGCTGCACACATTTGTTTTGTAGGGGGTGAGTGGTGCACTGACAGTGCTTATGAAGGACGCAATCAAGCCCAATCTCATGCAGACACTGGAGGTGAGCAGAGTGACTCCTGCCTTCTTGAATTGGTTTTGGACAGTCAGAGCAGAGTGGTTATAAAGCACACTTGCAAGGCGCGGTGGCTCACACCTGTAATCCCAGCACTTTGGGAGGCCAAGGTGGGCAGATCACAAGGTCAGGAGATCGAGACCATCCTGGCTAACATGGTGAAACCCCGTCTCTACTAAAAATACAAAAAATTAGCCGGGCATGGTGGCGGGCGCCTGTAGTCCCAGCTGCTCGGAAGGTTGAGGCAGAATGGCGTGAACCTGGGAGGCAGAGCTTGCAGTGAGCCGAGATCACGCCACTGCACTCCAGACTGGGCGACAGAGCGAGACTCCGTGTCAAAAAAAAAAAAAAAAAATTAAGCACACTTAACCTGGGTAGTCAAGACCTTCTCCACTTGCTCATCTCTTTCTTCTCATTCTTCCTCACACCTGTGACTGGGACGTTACTGAAATAAAAGAGATGACTTTATATTTTCCCTCTGGGAAGTATTCTTCCTTCCGATTCCAAATCAATTCCATACCGTTGAATGTGTGATCCCACTTTGAAGCAGGATTGGCAGCTCAGCTCACGGTGTCCTGGTTTCCACAGGGCACTCCAGTGTTTGTCCATGCTGGCCCGTTTGCCAACATCGCACATGGCAATTCCTCCATCATTGCAGACCGGATCGCACTCAAGCTTGTTGGCCCAGAAGGGTTTGTAGGTTAGTGTTTTTTGCAAAACCAGTGAATAGACTGTATGTTTCTTTTAACATCAGGGGAATTGGGATGGCATTTTTACTGTTGCTTTCCTCTTTACAGTGACGGAAGCAGGATTTGGAGCAGACATTGGAATGGAAAAGTTTTTTAACATCAAATGCCGGTATTCCGGCCTCTGCCCCCACGTGGTGGTGCTTGTTGCCACTGTCAGGGCTCTCAAGATGCACGGGGGCGGCCCCACGGTGAGTGGTGGGTTGAAGTATCTGATTATCGGCAGTGTGCTGACGGCCAAAAGGAAGTTGGATGACTTCTGCCTGTTTCTTCATTGAGTTGCTCTTATCCTCGTGATTAACAGGCAGCAAAAGCAAGGGACGGGCAGACAGCCCTTGTGTTGGCTGCCTTATCACTCACAGGCACCGTCAGCGCTCAGCATTTTAAGAGGGCCAAAATCGGCTGCCTGGCCTACCTTTCGGAGGACATCTGACAATATCTAAACCCCTCCAAGGACGTGTACTCGGCTAGCCCCACAAAAAACTGTTTTACGTTCAGACTGTTCTTTTTAAATCTGCATCCCTCTGTATAGTGACACTGGCAACCAGCCAACCAAACCAGTTAGCTGAGACAGAGGTCAGCCCCTTCTTGAGTATACTGTTCATGCTGGACAGGGCCTCCACACCCTAGGGAGGGAGTGGGGGAGAGGAGAATGGCAGATCTGCCCAGGGCTGCCCTGGGTAACAGAGAAACAGGTGGAGACTGGCTCATCCTCACCTCCAGCCTGAATTTTGTATTTCTCTGAATTCCTACTGCTTAGAAATTCCTACTACTTTTTATCCTAGTATTTTAACACCTTTTCTTTAGGGCCTACATGAAAAGACATGGTGCTAGGTTTTCTGAAATCATTTGAAAAACTATTAAATTCCTGTCCACCAGGAGCTTGTATTATAACTTAGGAAATAAGGACTCCCTGGCCTACAGGATAAAAATCAAATTTGTTTTGGTCAGGGTTTGTCCTAATGTAGCAGTTCTCTGTTTTGGCCTCAGAACCTCTTTACACTCTTGACAGTTATTGAGAGCCTAAAAGAGTTTTTGTTCATATGGGTTATAGCTATTGATATTTACCATATTAGAAATTAAAACTGAGTTACATGTAAACATAAAGAACTTTGTAAACATGAAAATGCATTATCTTTTCCCAGCAAAATTTAGGCATTGTACATTTTTCAGATCTTCTCTGGGTCTGGCTTAATTGAAGACAGCACTTGATCTGTTGTGACATCACATGTCTCATAACCTTTGGAAAAGTCCATTATATGCTCAATGAGAGAATGATAATGAGAGTAAAAGGGCCATAAGATGTTACAGAATCTTATGGAAATAGTTTTGACTTCATGGACCCCTTCAAAGGATTGGGTCCCCGGAGCACACTGGGAATGCTGCCATAACAACCCCAGCACCCCTATCCAGTCTTAGTTATCCCTGAGTGCCAAAGGCACTCCCAACCCAGCACACTCCTTTCTGCTAGTAGCACAGGATAGACTCCCTTTTTTTTCCCAGTCACAACTAACATTCCTCTCTCTTACACCCCTCACTCACCCTCACACCATCACACCTCCTTTCCTTGCTTCCTCCTGACCTCACAGTCAGGATAATGTCCCATAATGCTGTGCATGGAGGGGAACATTTGCACATATGGCTCTGTCAAGAGAGTAGGCCTCCTGCTCTCATTAGCTTGCTGACGGGAAGCTACCTGTAAGGTCCTTGCTTCTTGCTCTGCCTCCACACAGCCCCTTCTGGAGTTGGAGCACATAGTCTCACTGCAATGGAAGAGGGCAGAGCTTCTTAATCACTATCCACTGCCCATGGTGGGGCCCATGAAATGGACACCTTCACCCATTTGCTCATTTCTGTGGATGCAGCAGGGCTGAGCCACGGCATAGATCAAGACTGGGGGCTGGGGGGCGGGGCGGGGAGGCACCAGACACCTCCATCCTTTAGATATACTCTACAAAAGAGAAAGAAAATCCTTCTGTATTGTTTTCCCTCTTGTTTGTATTGACCCTGCACCACGGTTCAGCTCCACCAATGCTAGGTTGGCACTGTGGACCAGTTCATGAAACCATGGCAGGGCTCATCACGGGCTCTATCGACAGACATCCCAGGGTGACTTCCGCAGGCCCGACCGCTTCCTCTTTCCCCACACTCCCCTTGACTTCCAACCCCACTGCTATGGCCTTCACTCGAGTCACTGCACCTGCTTGGTACACCCCTTTCCACCTCTCCTGCCATCGATCCGGTCCTTCTCACCTCCTTAATTCAGGTCATAGAGGTCTTCCACGCTGCCCAAAGCAGTCGATTTTGTTCTGTGCTGTGTGATTGGTCACATACCCTAAGTCCTTAGGGCAGGAAATAATCTTATACTACTGTACAGCCTGCAAGCATTGCAGCGTCTTGCCTTTAACACATGAAAAGCACCATTTTAAGCTAGGAGATTTAAATAGGAAATGCCTCTGACTCTGTTTCTTTTCCTTCCAGGTCACTGCTGGACTGCCTCTTCCCAAGGCTTACATACAGGAGGTAACCTGAGTTATTTCTCATCACGTGTCCTAGAAAGCACCACACCTTGAATCAGCATTTCTCCACCTGGCCCATGTGGAAATGAATGGGTTATTGCTGTGACCCAGGGTGCAGGGTGCCAAAAGGCCTGCAGTGTGCTGAGGAGTTATATTAAATGAGTAGATAGGGAAGATGTACCTCACAAAATAGAATTGTCCCACATAGGGTGTCAATAAGCCACTGCCCTAGACCAGTGGTTGATTCTCAACAGCTGATTTTGACCCCGGGGACATTTGGCAATGTCTAGAGACTTTTTTTATTATTACAACTGGAGGTGGGGAGTGCTACTGGAATCTAGTGGGTAGAAACTGGGGATGCTGGCTAAACATCCTTTAATGCACAGGACAGCCCCTACAACATTATCCAGCTCAAATGTCGGAGTGTGAGGCTGAGAAACCCTGTCCTAGACTAATAGCAGTTCCCTTCCATTGTCTTCCCTGCATTGGCTGGGTAAGTTCCAAATGCCATTCAGATCAGAAGCAAGTAGAGACCTTTTTTGAAATGGCTTCTCCTCTGCCGATTTAAATCCATATTAACGGGCCAAGATATATGGTCAGGATTCTGGTTGTTTTTCTAGACAAAGCTTCCTGGATATTTATAGCATCAAACAGGAGGCTAGAGAACAACTGTGAGCTCAAATCTTTTCATATTTATGTCATTTACCATCAAAGAAACATCTCTAAAGCCAGTTTGGGGTGGTTACAGGAAAGACAGGCCATCAGATAAGGTGGCAAGGTCACCTGCTGTCACTGCTAATTCAATTTTTCTGCCTTTTTGGAAGGCTTTTAAATTATCAAGCAATACAGGGTCACTGTTCAGGCCCCAAATGAAGTATTTCAAAACTGGCTAGAAAAAATTGCTGGTACCTTCAGTCTGCCTGTCTTCTGAGTTATGGTTTGCCTTTTATGGTCATTTGTCTGATTCACGCGTAGGAGGGGAATTCACAGTTCTGGCCCTCCTGCCACCCCACAGCCTTTCCTGTGTCTAATTACAGTGACTGCCCCTAGCTGGCCCAGCTGGTGTCTTCATTTAAGAAATTCTACTTATTTAAAACTGTTCTTGATCAGCGTTACATATTAATTGGTTTTCATGTGACTAGAGGTAAAGAATTAGCAGTGTTCTTTAGAAGCTCAAATAAATCATAATCTCAGTTTTCAATTATTAAAGGAAAAAAGCATAAATCACATTTATAATGAACCTAGTTGTTTTCCACCTTTTATCCTACCTATTTCTGCTTTTTTGGGATCAACAAACATTAGTGCTGGGTTTTGCTCGATGATTCAGTATATGTATTTTTATAGAAGACTCTTTTATTTTTAAAATATTTAATGTATTGTTAAGCCTACAATAGTAATATACCCTTTGTAAAAAATAATAATTAAACATTATAAGAATGTAATATATGTGAGTTGAGTCCCCTTAACAGTTCGGTGCATATTTCTCGACATTTAAAAATTTTTCATGAATTATATACATGTATTTTTGTGTTTGTCCTAAAATGGAATAATTAAGCTCTCCATGGTTTTGCACCTTTAGTACATCTTGGACAGGTTCCATGTTAACACAGATGGGTCTCACTTTCATAACATCTGCATGATAAATATTTATTGAGTGTATATGTCATAATTCATTGGCCCAGTCCCCCTTGGAGGAGGTTTATGTTTATAATTTTCCAATGCTACAAGCAGGGCTGCAGTAAACATACTTAAAGATACATTTCCTTAATTGCTTCCCTTTAGTTTGTAGTACTTGGTTTTTGGTGGGTTTTTTTGTTTTGTTTTGTTTTGAGATGGAGTCTGGCTCTATTACCCAGGCTGGAGTGCAGTGGTGTGATCTCGGCTCACTGCAAGCTCCGCCTCCTGGGTTCACACCATTCTCCTGCCTCAGCCTCCCAAGAAGCTGCGACTACAAGCACCCACCATCATGTCCGGCTAATTTTTTTGTATTTTTAGTTGAGACGGGGTTTCACCGTGTTAGCCAGGATGGTCTCGATCTCCTGACCTCGTGTTCCACCCGCCTCGGCCTCCCAAAGTGCTGGGATTACAGGCATGAGCCACCACGCCCAGCCGGTTTTTGGGGTTTTTTTTACAGACAGGGTCTCACTCTGTCACCTAGGCTGGACTGCAGAGGCGTGATCATAGCTGCAGCCTCTAACTCTTGGGCTTAAGCAGTCTCCCCGCTTCAACCTCCCAACTAGCTGGAAGAACAGGAACACGCCACCACACCAGGCTAATTTTTTAATTTTTTGTAGAGACGGGGTCTCCCTATGTTGCCCAGGCAGGCTGCTGTCGAACTCCTAGGTGCAAGTGATCCTCCGATCTCAGCCTCGCAAAGTACTGGGATTACAGGTGTGAGCTACCACATCCAGCTCAGTTCTTTTTTTTTTTTTTTTTTTTTTTTTGAGACAGAGTCTTGCTCTGTCACCAGGCTGGAGTGCAGTGGTGCAATTTCAACTCACTGCAACCTCCGCCTCTGGGGTTCAAGTGATTCTCCTCCCTCAGCCTCCCAAGCAGCTGGGACTACAGGTTCCTGCCACCACACCTAGTTAATTTTTATATTTTTAATAGATACGGGGTTTCACCATGTTGGCCAGTATAGTCTTAATCTCTTGACCTTGTGATCCACCTGCCTCGGCCCCCCAAAGTGCTGGGATGACAGGCATAAGCCACCAGGTCCGGCCCTTTTTTTTTTTTTTTTTTTAATTAACTTCTCAGTTGTAGAGATGGGGTCTTGTTATGTTTCCTAGGCTTGTCTCAAACTCCTGGGCTCAAGTGGATTCTCCTGCCTCAGCCTCCCAAAGTCCTGGGATTACAAGTGTGAGCCACTGGGCCCAGCCACTGGCCTGATTCCTAAAGATAGTATTTATCTTATTTCTTGCCCTCGTTCACGGTCGAGTTCATTAAAACCTTTGAAAACATCACTGCTTACTTCATATTTCCTGGCAGTATTTACGGCAGCCATATAACGAATACCTCTTCTGTGCCAGCCACTATGTTGTTAGGCTCTGTCTTCTGATGGAAGGGTCTGTGCTGTGCAGAGTAGAGTTAATTTGTATTATCATAACCCTATGAATACATAAAATCTATAAACACAATTGGTAAATATAATTTGGGTAAGGGTAACTAATTCCTTTCAAACAGCAAATAAGCTATAATGATGTGGCATAATGACAGGAAACATACCAGCTCTTTTTTTCTTGAAGGCTGGGAAACAAGCAGAGCTCTACTCTAGTGTCATAGGCTGGAGTGAAAGCTGCAGTTCTCCATAGCATCCACTCACCGCACTGGAAAAAATGCACCAAGGGACCTTCTCTCTTCTTTCTTGGCCTCCTTGTCCTGATAGTGAGTGGCTGCTGGCTCAAGGAGGTTGTTTGCCTTTGAAGAAGAACCTGCAGTGGTTTTCAACTCTCTGATCTCATAGGCCTTTCACTGTTGTTTTTACAGAACCTGGAGCTGGTTGAAAAAGGCTTCAGTAACTTGAAGAAACAAATTGAAAATGCCAGAATGTTTGGAATTCCAGTAGTAGTGGCCGTGAATGCATTCAAGTAAGTGTAGAGTGTAAGCGAAAAGGATGAATGTGGAAAATCTCCTGGAGCTGATTGTACAGCACTGCTTTTAGCTTTATTTTGTTTTTCAGTTACTGCTATTGGTTATAGCCTGTGGTTTTAGCCTGCACTGTGACAGGCATTGCATACGTCACTGCGGGCTCACCACCTCACCCACTGAGGGTCCCAAAGTCAGATTCAGCTCCTATGGGCCCTTTTCCTTTCCACTGGGGGAAGTAACACACAAGCCTGAAGTTCAATGTTCCTTTTTCATCTTTAGAGGCCTTTTATGCTAACAGAAGGTCATAGGCCTATAGTGTTCCATTATTTTACTAGATCTGGTGGGATGTTGTCTTGACAAAGAATTGGGCATATTACTCTGGAAGGGGTCATGCAAGAACTTGTGTGGGTTGTTTAGGTATTGCATTGGTGGTCAGGGTTTTGTTATAATGGCCTCACCGTAGTAGAATGGGAAGCAAAAAATCTTTTTTTTTTTTTGGGGGACGAAGTCTGTCTCTGTTGCCCAGGCTGGAGTGCAGTGGCACGATCTCCACTCGCTGCAAGCTCTGCCTCCCGGGTTCATGCCATTCTCCTGCCTCAGCCTCCCTAGTAGCTGGGACTACAGGTGCCTGCCACCATGCCCAGCTAATTTTTTGTATTTTTAGTAGAGACGGGGTTTCACCGTGTTAGCCAGGATGGTCTCGATCTCCTGACCTCGTGATTCTCCCACCTCGGCCTCCCAAAGTGTTGGGATTACAAGTGTGAGCCACCGCGCCCAGCCAGCAAAATTCTTAAATGCTAGTATTTACTGATTCCTTCTGGAGTGCTGGGAATTTTCCAAGTATTTTACATGGATTTACCATCTGAGTCTCATAACGTCCCAATGAAATAAGTGCTGTGATTATTCGCGTATTACCAGGGTGGAAATTGAGGCACATAAAGATTAGGTAACTGGCCAAAAGTCACCAGCTAGTAAGTTTCGGAGCTGAGATTCAAACCCAGGCCAAATTTCTTGGTTAGTGTTCGTTTATCAGTGGGTAATTCACATGAGGTTTAATGGCAAAAAGAAGACAATTCTGTCTCTCCAGCCATTTTCCATGCTTTGATATGAAATGCTTCCTTTATAGGACGGATACAGAGTCTGAGCTGGACCTCATCAGCCGCCTTTCCAGAGAACATGGGGCTTTTGATGCCGTGAAGTGCACTCACTGGGCAGAAGGGGGCAAGGGTGCCTTAGCCCTGGCTCAGGCCGTCCAGAGAGCAGCACAAGCACCCAGCAGCTTCCAGCTCCTTTATGACCTCAAGGTGGGTGATTTGCTGTCTGCAAAAAAAGAAAAAAGACGAAAAGGGCACAGTGAAGTTTCTGTGTGGCTACTTCTATTAGAGCCCCATGCTTCGCAGCTTCAGCCTTGCGGTTTGATTCCCACGTAGGTGACTTACACAACCACAGCCTGGACTCCCAGCTGTAGACAGCCTTCTTTTTATTTTTGAGACGGAGTCTTGCTCTTTTGCCCAGGCTCGAGTGCAGAGGCATGATCTCAGCTCACTGCAACCTCTGCCTCCTGGGTTCAAGTGATTCTCCTGCCTCAGCTTCCCAAGTAGCTGGGATTACAGGCGTCTGCCACCGTGCCCAGCTAATTTTTCTTATTTTTTTAGTAGAGATGGGGTTTCACCATCTTGGCCAGGCTGGTCTCGAACTCCTGACCTCGTGATCCACCTGCCTTGGCCTCCCAAAGTGCTGGAATTACAGGCGTGAGCCACTGCGTCCGCCCAGACAGCCTTCTTATAAACATATGCCACTGCTTACTTACAGAGGGGATTTAAGCAGGAATACCCCAGGGTGGAGGGGGAACCGTTGCTCATATCCTAACTTCGAAAAGGGTCAAAGTACAGGTGGCAGAAGAGAAGGTTACATATAGACCAAATATGTAATTCACTGTAGCCTTTAAAACAAGGCACCAACCATGTAGCAGATTGGTAAGGGGCTGCATCGAGCTTACAAAATTTTTCTGATGGCTTTTCAGTAATAGGGGAAAGAAGTGTGCCCCCACGTTCACTTCCTGGTAAGGTGCTGCCTCAAGTTGAGGGCCCTCACATGCAAAACCAAAGTACTCCAGGAAGCTTCATCATTTTTTCCATCACTAAGCAAATTAAATTACACCTGGTCTAAGTAGAGCCCTGCTTACTCTATGATACAATAAAGTTAGTTCAGGAAAAGGTTCTTATTATAGGGTTGTGTTTTGTTTTCATTTATCTGTCCAGTGTATTTCAGGATGTGATTTGACATTAAGTAGTATGGAAACAACAACTGGAAACTTTGTTAGGAATATGAGATATATGCTGTAGTTAATTTTTCCTATTCTCTAGGCTAGTTTCTGGCTTGATTTTTTTGTTTTGTTTTTTGTTTTAAGACAGGGTCTTGCTCTGTTGCTCAGGCTGGAGTGCAGTGGTACAATCATGGCACACTGCAGCCTCAACCTCCTGGACCCAAGTGGTCCTCCCACCTCAGCCCCCTGAGTAGGTGGGACCACAGACATGTACTACCAAGCCTGGCTAATTTGTTTTATTGGCCAGGCACAGTGGCTCACCCCTGTAACCCCAGCACTTTGGGAGGCCGAGGTGGGTGGATCACCTAAGGTCAAGAGTTGGAGACCAGCCTGGCCAACATGGTGAAACCCCATCTCTACTAAAAATACAAAAAATTAGCTGGGTGTGGTGGCAGGCACCTGTAATCCCAGCTACTTGGAAGGCTGAGGCAGGAGAATCGCTTGAACCCGGGAGGCGGACGTTGCAATGAGCTGAGATCACTGCACTCTAGCCTGGGCAACAAGTGCGAAACTTCGTCTCAAAAAAAAAATTTTGTTTTATTTTATTTTATTTTTCTTGTAGTGACTGGGTCTCCCTATATTGCTCAGGCTGGTCTCGAACTCCTGGGTTCAAGTGATCCTCCTGCCTCAGCCTCCCAAAGTGCTGGGATTATAGGCATGAGCCAATGTGCCTGGCCTGGCTTGGTTTTTAATAGATAATCATAGACTTTCAAAAACAGCCATAAAAAAGCAGAAGGAATAAACTTATTACTCTTGAGTTTTAGTGTTCTCTTATTTCTCTTTGCCCCTTGCAGATATAATACACTTACAGTTAATTAACATTGACATTGACATTCTCCTGTTGAGCTTTGATTTTATAGGCAAGTTTTAAAATCTGTTCAGCAATCATCCTTTTAGAAAAATGCCATAAACACAAATTTGCACACAAATGCAAAGCATTTATAGGCACCCTCTCCAGGCTCCAATGCATAGCACCCAAGGCTGGAAGCCCAGTCCTTGAAAACCAGCAGGAGACCTGAAAGAGCAGGGACATATGGACTTTAGAACCCATTTCTACTTGCAACTTTTATCCATTCTGGCAAACAGGAGGCTGCCACTTTTTGTCTTACTCAGCGTCTGCTAGTCTTAAATCACCCTTCAACCAAAGTGCTTTTGCTTCAGAAGTTCTAAATGTGCCTTGGCATTTATAGAGCTCCAGTTATGAGATGCATATGAAAATAATCTGTGTTTCATCTTTATAAAGTCCTTATTGAATGTTCACTTTATTCATGCCCATTATATAAAGCCCCTTCATAAATTATCATTGTTTAGTTCAAAAGGGAATTTTTGTTTTTATAGATAGATTATTGCTCCTTTTAAAAACAAAACTTGGCTGGGCGCTGTGGTCACACCTGTAATCCCAGCACTTTGGGAAGCTGAGGTGGGTGGATCACCTAAGGTCAGGAGTTCGAGACCAGCCTGACCAAGATGGTGAAACTCCGTCTCTACTAAAAATATAAAATTAGCCAAGCATGGTGGCCCATGCCTGTGATCCCAGCTACTTGGGAGGCTGAGGCAGGAGAATCTCTTGAACCCGGGAGGCGGAGGTTGCAGTGAGCTGAGATGACGCCATTGCACTCCAGCCTGGGCAACAAGTGCAAAACTCTGTCTCAAATAAATAAGAACCTGCCTAATATGTTCTTTTAGCTTTAGTTGCTATAAAGACAGATATATTGCCTAATTTTTGTAATTTGCTCATCCAAATTACCCATGAGTAGCTTTGCTTCTGATTTCCTTTAGGCAACCTCTCCGTATGCTGTTCTCTTTGAATCTTAATGCCCTGAACTAGTCTACACAGCATTTAAGAAGCCAGCTCCACTTCTCTGAAGGCTTTGCCCCGGAGGAAACAGCCCATGGGACTGAGGCCCTCACCAGTTAGACCACTGGTCTCTGTCCACTGCACTGTTTGCTTCAGGTGCCACAGAAAGTGGACATGCCCAATGCGTGTTGATCATGTAAATCACTGGGTTGTTTTTTCTAATACCTGGGTGATTTTGATTTTATGACTATTTCCTAATTCCTGGTGCTTGCACTTAATCAATTGTGTTAAGGGTGGCATCTGCCTCTCATATACAGACTGGGAGTTATGTAGATGGACATTGGTTGTCTTATTTCATAAACAGTGTCCCCAGGTCTGGTTTGACAGGACTGATCTCCAGTATTAGAATAGAACATCTACTTTTTAATTTTTATTATTATTTTAAAATTTTTATTTTTTAAAGAGACAGAGTGTTGCTATGTTGCCCAGGCTGGTTTCAAACTCCTGGGCTCAAGTGATCCTCCTGCCTTGGCCTCCTCCCAAAGTGCTGGGATTACAGGGATGAGCCACCATACCCAGCCTGAACATCTACTTTTTATTTATGAAGAAATAATTATTCTTGGGTAGTCAGCAACACTGTTTATGATGTACTTAGCGAGAGATTTTAAATATGTACTTATGTAAGTATATATTTAAAACCTTAATATATATTAATATGTGTATCTATATCTATATATATATGTATGTGTGTATATGTATATCTGCATATATAGATATAAAAACTTTACCTCTGTGGGACATTTTCACTTATAAAATCTGAGGCTTGATATTAAAAGAAAGTGTTCCTGGCTGGGTGCAGTGGCTCACACCTGTAATCCCAGCACTTTGGGAGGCCAAGGCTGGCAGATCACCTGAGGTTGGGAGTTCAAGACCAGCCTGACCAACATGGAGAAACTCCGTCTCTACTAAAAATACAGAATTAGCCGGGCTTGGTTGCGCATGCCTATAATCCCAGCTACTCGGGAGGCTGAGGCAGGAGAATCGCTTGAACCTGGGAGGCAGGGGTTACAGTGAACTGAGATCGCGCCATTGCACTCCAGCCTGGCAACAGAGCGAAACTCCGTCTCAAAAAAACAAAAAGAAAGTGTTCTTAACCCAATCATCAACCTCAAACTATTTGCTTATGTATATGTATATAAAAACCATCTTCTGCCCCTTTTAGGGACTCTGACCTAGAATGTGGCTATGTCCTGGTTAAATGTCCTCACATGTGTCCAGTCATGGTGTCCCCATCTCTTTCTTGTGCATTAGCTCCCAGTTGAGGATAAAATCAGGATCATTGCACAGAAGATCTATGGAGCAGATGACATTGAATTACTTCCCGAAGCTCAACACAAAGCTGAAGTCTACACGAAGCAGGTAGATGTTTGGTTAGTTTGTCCTTTCAACTCTTTGCAAAGCAGGACTTGGAGTCACAATCTCTGGGTCCTCCCAGCCCTGCCAAGTACCCGTTGCTTCACTTCTCTGGGTGGCAGCCTTCTCTCCTCTGAAATACTGAGTTTGGATTAGGTGGCACAGTCCCTGGTTCTTTATTTACCCATAGGCGTTATATGAATGTGTAGAAATCCATGAGGAAATACAGAATGTCTTACCAAAATATTGAGAACGTCTCCAGTTTTTGTTATTTTGAGATAGGGTCTGGCTCCATTGCCCAGGCTAGAGTGCAGTGGCACAATTTCAGCTCACTGCAGCCTCTGACTCCTAGGCTCAAGCGATCCTCCCACCTCAGCCTCCTGAGTAGCTGCGCCTACAGGCACGCACCACCACACCTGGCTAATTTTTGTGTTTTTTGTTGAGATGGGGTTTTGCCCTGTTGCCCAGGCTGGTCTTGAACTCCTGGGCTCAAGCAGTCCACCCATCTCAGTCTCCCAAAGTGCTGGAATTTATAGGCATGAACCACTGCACCTGACCCTCTCCAATTTTATTCTCATATCTACTCCAAACTATTATTTTAAATTAGTTTTATGTTATTTCCATAGATGGAAATAAAATATTCACTTGTGGACTACAGTTGTGAGTACCTAACTCCCTCACCCAACAGTTCTTTTTTTTTTTTTTTGGCTTAATAAATAAGCTGGAGGACAGCAAGATAGAGATGTATATAAAGGGAGTTGGATGTTTCGAATAAATTGAAGAATCCATGTAATCACAGGGCCCAGATGGTCATTGCTGGGTTGTCATCTTTTCATTTGTCCTCCCTCTCTTCCCTTCTTTCCCCAGGGCTTTGGGAATCTCCCCATCTGCATGGCTAAAACACACTTGTCTTTGTCTCACAACCCAGAGCAAAAAGGTGTCCCTACAGGCTTCATTCTGCCCATTCGCGACATCCGCGCCAGCGTTGGGGCTGGTTTTCTGTACCCCTTAGTAGGAACGGTAAGTGCATGCTGCAAGGGAGTAGTGGGCGCATCTGCACTTCTCGTCTGAAGTGTGTTGCCGAAACCATCAAGCAAATGCCAAGTGAGCAGAGTTCACTGCCCAGAAGAAAATTGGAATCGGGCCTATTATGATTGCTGTGGATCATAAGCTATAAAGCAGGAGCTATATAGCTCTTGCTGTGGACCATCTTGGTGTCAAATCAAGAATGATGCCAGGACTACTCATACTGAATAAAAAATTCTGTTTCCCAGGGACAGTATGCTCTTCACTGAATCTAGGATGAGCCCAGTTGATAGGCTGGGGTAGTGCTAACATAATCACAGTTAATGTTTATTGGGAGCCTTACATAGATTAACTCAGTCCCCCCACAGCCCTAGGAGGTAGGGACAGAGGTTTTACTGACAGGCCTAGAACTTACGTCTGAAATTCAGGGGGTTCATTATTTTTAAGTAAGGAATTTCCCCATTAAAAAATGCAAATGGACCCTTGAGATATGAAAGGTGAGGTTGCTTATTTACGCTTCAAGGTGAACAAGGTGTCCATTGCTTTCTTATCTTACAGATTTTATGCATATTCAAAGAAGAATATTGCCAGTTGGGAAGCAGAGGGGAGGGATGCTTAAGGACATAATCATAGTTTGGGCTGACATTGTTCCAAGGTTAACTTGGATCCTGAATCTAGGTTATCCCCTAAATCTGCCCTGTATCCTGTATCTACAGATTGTACTGCCATGCAATACAGGACTGAAATATTAAACTAAATCAACACACATGGAAAAGAAACCAACATACATCCTTTTGGATTTATGTCATTCTTTCAGTATAGTAAGAAAGTGGTAGGAGGTGGCATTATAGAGTTGAAAACGTAGGACATTAGAGCTGAATTCATTTTCACCTCTTCAGATCTTGGCCTTGGGCAAATTATGAAAGGTGAGAGCCCTGCTGCCCTCAGCTCACACTGTAGGCAACATCATCACATCACAGTGGTGCTTAGCACAAATGCCTGCATCTCACTGCCTCCTTAGCTCTCTATAGAGAGCAGAAGGCTTAGACTTGCTATGATGTACATCAGTCTCCAGGATTTGTAGAAATCCCTTGTGGTAGGAATTTTCCACCATTTTTACCCAGCACCTTGAATAGTGCAGAAATATGTGTTGTTCTTTTTGGAGAAGTTGTCAGCAGCTACCAGCTGAAAGACGGGTAGCTGTACTCTTTCTTGTCACTTTTGATCTTCACATGAAGAAAAGGGTAACAGTAGAGGTGAAAGCAAATCTGGAAGCAGTCAGGCCAGTGAGAGTCAGGCTGTAAGGTGGAGAGAGACACAGCCTGCCGAACTCAAGACTTTCTCATTTAGAACAAAGTATGTGTCAGAGGCTTTTAACTTTAAGTTGGACCAAGGCGTTTCCACACATGATCAAATGGTTTAATCACTATTCTAACACCTTCCAGTTGCCGTTGGGGCCTTAACGAGACTCAGATTATTTGAATATTTTCTATATTAATTCAAAGTGTGATGGCTTATTTTCAGAACTTTATATCTAGGTTCATACATGTGCGTACACATAATATTGTCTTTTTTTGTATTTTTTCTGATTATCAGTGACCAGTGTTTAGGAGGGAAAATCCTCTTGGGGAATGAGTGAAAATATCAAAAATCCTACTCATCACTGTTTAGGGAACCATCTTTAGGGTTTTCTGCTGACATGCACATGCCCGTCTACAACAATGGGCATGTGTCTTTTATCTTTATAATGTCATCTTCCGGTTTTTCTGCTGTGTCTAAGGACCCATCCTTTCCTCTCTCCTACTTGTCTCACACCTAGCACCTCCTTACCTCTTACACAATATAAGAATATAAACCAGTTGTCAGATCCCTATAATGTGTTTTGGGGAATATTGATTGGTACTCAGAAGTCAGTCAGAATGAGGTTTTCTAAAGTATTGATGATGTTTTGTGTTACAGAAGATGACTCTTTTTAAATAACCTTTTTATAGTTAAGTTTTAGAAGTAACCTAAGCTGTTTTCCTGTCTAGATTTGATTTGGAACTTGTGTGTATTCATTATATAGGACATTGTTACAGATAAAAATATACGGAGTTTTCACTTGCAAGCCGTACATATTTGCATCTAAGTAGAAATTTGTCAAAGCCGAGTCTTTAGAAAAGTAGTGAGTACAAATATAATTTGTAAGCATTACAAGTTTAGTTTTAGAAGGCCATTTTGGGCCAGTAAGAATGGTGATTATAAAACCATCTAGATTATGTACAAAAGTGTCTTGGCCCAAGTTAAAGGATACTAACTCCTACCATCGTGTTGCTGAAGCAAAAATCACATGGGCAGCTCAGCTAGCAAGACTGAACGAAACAAAATTTAAAAGCAGGCAAGCCCTGTACCTCCTTTTGGTCTTGCAAAGCGTGAGCTGAGGAGGCGAGTGAGCAACTCCTCTACTCCCCAGCACTCATTCTTGTAAGGTGAAGGTGGAAACACCTCCTGCTACTGCTTGTGACCACATGGAAGATGATAGTGAAGGCTGGCATTTGGTTTGCAGAAGGACATGAGGAATCAGTTTCTTTTCTTTTCCTTTTTTTTTTTTTTGAGATGGAGTCTTGCTCTGTCACCCAGGCTGGAGTGCAGTGGCAAGATCTCGGCTCACTGCAACCTCCGCCTCCCAGGTTCAAGCGATTCTCCTGCCTCAGCCTCCCAAGTAGCTGGGATTACAGGCACACGCCACCATGCCCAGCTAATTTTTGTATTTTTAGTAGAGATGGGGTTTCACCATGTTGGTCAGGCTGGTCTCAAATTCCTGACCTCAGGTGATCCATCTGCCTTGGCCTCCCAGAGTGCTAGGATTATAGGCATGAGCCACCACGCCCGGCAGGGATCAGTTTCTGAGTTTTTTAACAGGATCAGTGACTTGATTTTTAATATGTAACAAGAGTACCCACTTTATTGACAACTATAAAATGATGTTCTATCTTTATGCCTTGGGCTTTCTTTCTGAAGGAAAAGTGAAAGTAAAGATGACTTTACGTTTATTTTAGACATGGCCTTGCTCTGTCGCCCAGGCAATCGGATGATCATGGCTCACTGTGGCCTCAACCTCCTAGCCTCAAGCAATCCTCCTGCCTTAGCATCCCAAGTAGCTGGAACTACAGGCACATGCCATCATATCCAGCTAATTTTTTATTTCCTGTAGAGATGGGGGTCTCACTATGTTGCCCAGGGTGGTTTAGAACTCCTGGCCTCAAGTGATCCTCTCCACCTCAGCCTGGGATTATAGGCGTGAGCCACTGTGCCCAGCATTAGTTTATTTGTAATGCTTTTTTACATCCTAGATGAGCACAATGCCTGGACTCCCCACCCGGCCCTGTTTTTATGATATTGATTTGGACCCTGAAACAGAACAGGTGAATGGATTATTCTAAACAGGTAAGTTGTTACTGGGTAATAATTTGGCTTTTTTCCTCATGTAGCTTATTTATGAATTATAGGGCTCAAACTGACGCTATAAAAATTCACATTCTAATGCTTTCAAAACATTTCTTTTCAGACTTCCCTGAGGGGAGAGGGGATAGTAATGAGAGTTGGCAATAACCAATGAATTGAAATATTTATATTTCAACACATTTTTGGAAGAAGCGCAGCATGGCTTGTCACAGGTTGACAGTGTAGGGGAGAAAACTGCTGTCCAATAAACTACAGAGGAAACTACAGGAGAGGTTAGACTCCCTCTGCTGAAGCCCCAGGAGGCTTGGGGTTCAGAGTTGATGACACATTGCAGGTCAGGAACAGCTGACGGTCTGTATACTCTGAATAGGTAGTTAGAAGGCAAGAATTAGCAAATGTCTTAGGAAGTATAATAGAAAAGAGAAGGAAACAGGACCAATCTGGCAGTTCTTAGGGCCTTAGGTGAAAGGGCCCTGAGTACCGACTGCAATGAGTGACATTGCATTGTTTGATATTTTTGAAATTTCAACAGGACGTGTCTCTCCTTAGGCAGACCCTTGGGGCTGAAGCAGCAAGTTGCAGTGTGCACTTATATCCCTAGACACATCCTGTTGAAACTGCAAAAATATCAAACATGAAAATCCTAACATCTTTCTCCAGAGACGAAAAAAGTGGCTTGCCTATGAAAAGAATGAGAACTAGACTTAACGCCCGTCTTACTGGCAATAAGAAGCTTTTAGACAATGGAGGAGTGTCCTGTAAGGTCACAGGGAAGATGACTTTCAACATGTGCTCACACCTAGCCGAATCTATCTGGATATTTTCAGACGTGCAAGGGTTTGCCACCCCACATCTCTTCCTAAGAAGTTATTTAGCAATGTACTTAGCAAAATGAGGAATTAACCAAGAAAAAAGGAAGACGTGAGTTTTGGGAAACTGAACCCTCATTTGGACATTAGCGAAGGGGCATTCTGATAACCATGCAAATGACCTGAAGTTACAAATCCTGTGTGGAACAGGTTGGGGGAGCACCTGAGAAAAACTAGAAAAAGCTAGAAAAGACAAGGATATCAAAGGGTCATAGTATAAAACAAAAGCTCTTGCATTATTTGAGAAAGTTAAGGTCCAAGTAGAAGCAAACTGTAGTTTGATGCTAGAACACTATTCTTTGAGAGGGTATGTGTGATACTCGAAATGCAGTCATGGCTCACGGCTTGGTCTGGTCTTGAACAGTATTCACACAGTACTATGGAAATACCATGCATCATTTTCAAGTCCATTTATGGACACGCCCTAGAAGAGCTGGTGGCAGGAAAGGATGTAAATGTTAACAGCTTTGGCAATGTGAGTGGGTAATGGTGCAGTATGGAAGGAACAGGAAACATTTCAGTGCTTGCTTAGAGAAAACATTTATTTCTTGTTTTTCCTTCCAGATCACCATCCATCTTCAAGAAGCTACTTTGAAAGTCTGGCCAGTGTCTATTCAGGCCCACTGGGAGTTAGGAAGTATAAGTAAGCCAAGAGAAGTCAGCCCCTGCCCAGAAGATCTGAAACTAATAGTAGGAGTTTCCCCAGAAGTCATTTTCAGCCTTAATTCTCATCATGTATAAATTAACATAAATCATGCATGTCTGTTTACTTTAGTGACGTTCCACAGAATAAAAGGAAACAAGTTTGCCATCTTGGTGTTGCAATATGAATTACAGCCTTAACAGACTGTGCCACAGGTCTCTGCCATCCTTTGTGAGCTCATTTGTCAGGCAGACCCTTGGGCTGAAGATGCAAGTTGCAGTGTGCCCTTTATGATACTGTTGTGTTTAGAGGGAAATGTATGCATGCTTGTGTATTTCTGAGAGGACACATAATTCAGGG